>NC_000003.12:118554058-118857089 GCF_000001405.40 Homo sapiens | reverse complement strand
GAAAATGGACTAATACAAAGCTGTTTCCCTTTCTTATCATTTGTGTTTCCACTGGAGTAGTACTTTTAGTTTCCTTCACTAGTTTTTCCTTTTCATTCGTAACTTGGCTAACTGTTGGTACAAGAGGCCTAGATTTAGGCATATCTTGGCTTTGACATGTATTCCTCATTAAACTTAATCACTTCTAGCTTTTGATTTGAAATGAAAGATGTATGACTCTTCCTTTCACTTGAACACTAAGAGGTAATTGTAGGCTTACTAATTGGTCTAATTTCAATATTGTTTTGTCTCAGGGAATAGGAAGGCCCAAGGAAAAGGAGAGAGGCAGGGGAATGACTGGTTGGTGGAATATTAGAACACACCCAACATTTTTGATTAAGTTGGCTATCTTATATGGGCAGTCAGTGGTTCTCTAAAACAATTAGAGTTGTAGCATCAAAGATCACTGAATGCAGATCGCCGTAAGAGATATAATGATGATAATGAAAACGTTTAAAATTTTGTGAGAGTTACCAAAATGTGACACGAAGACATGAAATGAGTGGATGCTGATGGAAAAATAGAGCTGATAGAATTTCTAGATGTAGATTTGGCACAAAGCTTCAATTTGTAAAATATGCAATATCTGTAAAGTGTAATAACATGAAGCATGGTAAAACAAAGTATGCCTGTATTCTTATTTAGTGAATATGTCATTATCCCTCTGTAATTTTCCTTTATTGCTTTATCACCTTTCCATGGAAAAATTACTTGTCACTTGGCCTGGCTTATATCCATAGAATAGTGTGTTTCACAGTATTATGTACATATTTTCCTTGCCCTTGCTGATATTTCTTAGAGCTGTGACTACATCTGTCATTCTGGATTATGGACAGTAGCTTTTCTTATGCAGCAGGTGAGTGATTAATGTTAAGCTTGGAGAGTAGAACTAGGATGAGAAACATGCCACAGAGCAGGTAAGAAACCATGTAGGCAAATCTGATTCGGGCCACAGTTTCCTGAAGAGCAAAGCAATGTATGTAGTATACCATCCAGGGAAAGGGTTGAGACTTATAGTTCTGCAGAAGCAGAAGACGTAGAGAAAAGCAAACAAGAAAAACAAGGGGTATAAGGTAGCTGCAAAATGGTGGTGTCTAATGAAGCCATGTTCAGCCCCAGAAGTTTATAGATCTTTCTTGTTAAACTCAAATCTCTTCCCTGAAATGGCTGCCTCTGGACCTGTAGGTAGCAGTGAATGAAATAACTTTGTGGAGTGGAGGGTGGGATGGAAGTTAAAGGAACAAAAAGAAGGTCAATTTCTGGTGTAGACACTATTATTTATGCAATTTTGGATGTCTCCTGTATCTAGAATTACAGTACAACTCAGAAGCACTGCTGTCTGGAAGAGACAGTTGCAATCATATTACAATTTAGATTTTAGACACATTATATGGAGGCAGTATGAACTTTACTACTAGCTCAAATCCTAGTAACCAACACACAGTGGGCACTAAATTTATGTTTGTCGAATTGAGCTAGACCAAATATGGGAAGGCTGTAACTTGACCAAGTAGGAGTTTTGTGTGAATCAGATAGGAGGGAATTAATATTAGTTTTCAAAAAGGGCAGAAATATTGAGAAAATACAAGTTAGCAATAATGGAAGGCTGTATAATGGAAGAGAAGAAGGAATATTAAAAAAAAAAAGCAAAGACACAGTGTAAGAAGTACAGAGGTGGGGCATCCCCAGGGGAAGTTAATTCATAGCTCACTAATGTCAAGAATGGCCAGCCTCTTTCATTCTTTTTATCTTCATCTTTAGTGGGATGCTTGATCTTCAGGTTCACCCTTCCCATGGTGACAAGATGTTTGCCACTGTTCCATACTTGTGTACAGACATAACCACCAGAAGGAAATTATGAGAACTAGCTCTTCCAGGTTCTGCTTCTTCATAGAGAGATCCCAGTACACCTCTTTTTTTTTTTTTTTTTTTTTTTTTTTGAGACGGAGTCTCGCTCTGTCGCCCAGGCTGGAGTGCAGTGGCGGGATCTCGGCTCACTGCAAGCTCCGCCTCCCGGGTTCACGCCATTCTCCTGCCTCAGCCTCCCAAGTAGCTGGGACTACAGGCGCCCGCCACTACGCCCGGCTAATTTTTTGTATTTTTAGTAGAGACGGGGTTTCACCATTTTAGCCGGGATGGTCTCGATCTCCTGACCTCGTGATCCGCCCGCCTCGGCCTCCCAAAGTGCTGGGATTACAGGCGTGAGCCACCGCGCCCGGCCCCCAGTACACCTCTTTTCGTATCTCTTTGGCAAGAACTAGGTCCCTATTTCCTCCTAAATCAATCACTGACAAGCAAAATGAGATTTTTGTTAATGGCATATATTGTGCTGAGCGGAACATATTCCTTGGGGCTGGGGGACTGGAGATGGAGCTATAGTCTCTTTAAACACGAGGTAGAAGTGAGTTGATGAGTCAAGGAGTTTGAATAGGTAGTCTTATCATCATACCTGTAGTAATAGGAATTGAGGGGGGTTGGAAAGCTTTTGGAGCTGGCCAAGGTCTAGTGTCTAGTGTGACTATCACACTGATCTCACCTCTGATAGAACACATGTGTATTATTAACCACTGAACTGGGGTTGGTGTTGAAGACCATTCATGCAAGTGGATCATGAAAGGATGGAAGGGGAGAGACTACATCCCCAAGTCATGGTCTTTGATAGAGAAACCCACCTGTTCCCTTTGATGTTGTAGGTATTTGTCAGGGGAGCCTTCTTTGGGGGGATTGCTCTTAGCCTGGTTCATTATATAGCTCTATTGATGATCCACAAGAAATGTTGTTTCTCCTGGTCAAGTGACTATTGTGCATGGTCTTGAAGACTAACAACGTGGATGCTCATTCCTCAGAACTCAAATAAATCCCTCTATTCTTATTATCTAGATGTCTTTCCACAGCAATCTCTGCCCTACCAGCCCCCACTTTCCTTATTTAAGCCCAGGCTCATGTACTTTCCAAGATTAGCTAAAACCAATATGGAAAATGCATTTCTGTCTGGGACTTTCAGCCAGCCCTGTGGGGAAGTTAGGAGTAGGACACCTCTCTCACGACACCCCTTGTCCTACTAGATAACTATCCTATCCAATCTACCTCCTAGCATTTGTTCTTCTACATGTATTTCAAGTTCAAAGTAGCCAAAGAGAATGGTGCTTTCTTCCTAACCAACTTTTAATTGTGTTTTTCACTTAAGGTGGTTGCAACATTCATGTGGCAATGTAGTTTTAGTTTTGGAAGGGTATCTCATTCCTATTTCATCCCTCACACCTTAGTAGCACTTAGTTATAAATTCTATGGTTAAATTCAATTGGAAAATGAGATTTCCCTTATCTCATTCTCAGTTTCATTATGTGAGAAAATCACAAAAGGCACTTTTTATGTTCTGTCTCCTGAGGTTTAAATGCCAGTCTAACCTCTTGTGCCCTTGACACATTGTCCCAAGATGATTTCACTATAGAGACATTTTGATGCCATAGGATATTTCATAACTTTAAATATTTTATAACAAATTAAATGTTAATTATATGCTGGTCAGGGAAGAAAATCACTGAAGTATTTAATTAACATTTAATTTATTAGTCATCAAATATTTAAGTAGCGCCTATCTGAGGGACTTTTACTCCTCATTAGTTGTAAGTGAGTAACAAGTTATCATTGTTAGTTGCTACAGCTTCTACTATTCCAAGTATGAATGGCTTTTCTGGATTTCTTTGAAAAGATCTTTGCATACATTCATAGGCAGACCCCCAAAAAGGAAGAATATATTTCTAAAGCATTTTTGTTTTTTCTGAAGTCTTTTCATGAGTTCAGTTGATTGCTACTTGGGTGCATTTTCTTACAGAAACCCTATGCTTGCATGGTACTTTATAATTTGAAAAATGCTATAATCTCCATGACCTCAGTTGGCCTGGTTGTTAGCAACAATTTTTATAAAATTCATAGGGTGGGTAGAATCAGCGTTATTTTATAGGAGTTGGAATCTCATAGGGTTTGTGTGACCGCACCAATGTCACACAGTCAGGAAAATCAGACAAAACTTAATCCTAAATTTTCTGCCCACAAGTTTCACATTGTGTCATGATCAATGTCAAGTGACATTTTAGCCTCAGAAAAGTCCTGACAGTACCTTAGAAAGCAACTTTTATTTTTTGTTTCTAATTGATTATGAATTGAAAATATAGCCTGTAAACTATATTCTCTTAATAAATCTTTAAGCAAAATACATGATTATTTTTGTAAATGTTTTATGGACATAAGACAAAAATGTATATTCTCTATTTAGAGCTATGCCGCTTTTCATATATCTAATACAGTTATTGATTGTATTAATTTATTGATTGCATCAGTCTATTTCTCTAGATATTTGCTTATTTTTTGTGTGGTAGAGCTACCCATTTCTGAAAGAGAAGTTTTGAATCCTTCTACTATATTTGTATTTTTATTAAGTTTTCTTTATAATCTCAATGCTTTTTTTGACATATTTATTGGCTGTGTTATTTGGTGATCACTGCCTCTTCTTTATAATAGTGCATTCTTACTGCAGAATATCTCTTGATCTTCCTTTTTTTTTTTGAGATGAAGTTTCGATCTTGTCACCCAGGCTGGAGTGCAGTGGCACAATCTCGGCTCACTGCAACCTCTGCCTCCTGGGTTCAAGCAATTCTCCTGCCTCAGCTTCCCGAGTAGCTGGGATTACAGGTGCCTGCCACCGTGCCTGGCTCATTTTTGTATTTTTCGTAGAGATGGTTTCACCATGTTGGCCAGGCTTGTCTTGAACTCCTGACCTCAGGTGATCCGCCTGCCTTGGCCTCCCAAAGTGCTGGTGAGACGAGAAGTCCTCTCCTGATTGAAGGTTTTTTCTCGATCGAAGGGTTCGTGGCTTCACAGGCTTCAAGGAATGAAGCTGTGGGCTGCAGCAGCGAGTGTTACAGCTCCACTAGAGAAATGCATGGACCCAAAGAGTGTGCGGTGGCAAGATTTAGTAAAGCAAAAACGAAAGTAAAGCAAAAACGAAAGTAAAGCAAAAGCGAAAGTAAGCGAAAGCAAAAGTAAAGCTTCTACATGGTGGAAGGGGACCCGGAAGGGTTGCTGTTTCTGGCTTGGGTGTCTTATGCTTATATCCCCTTATGACCCCTCCCCTTTTCCTTTTTCTGTCCTATAGAATTAGCTTATTTTCTATCCACTTGTGGGTTGGCGGGCCTGACTGGTTAAAAACATCAGGCTGCAGCTAGAGCTTAAACTCCCTATATGATTGGTTGAAGTTTCAATCCCTTAGCTTGCAGCTGTGACTCATTTTGGCTTAGGGGAAAGTCCCCTTAAGGAAGTCCCTATTGACCCAGGAAGTCCAGCCAACTTAGCCACTTAGTCCCTCAGCCCCCTCTCTCAACAGGAAAGCCCAAGTGCTGTTGGGAAGTTGGGTGACGATGGTTCTAGCTACTTCCTGCTGAACTGGGGTATAGAAGGGGCTCTGCAGTTGAGGTTTCCTGGGGAGGGGATTCTTCGATGTTGTGGTGGGAGAACAGGTTGGTGGATTGGTCTAGGGGTCCTCAATAGTAGGTGCTAGTGGTGGTCATTTGGGGCTCCATTTGTAGAACCAATTGCAGTTTCATGGATTCTAGTCAGTAACAGACACATTTTACAAGGAGGTTAAAAATGCAGGTCCAAAGATAAGCAAGATCACAGTAGCCACCAAGGGTCCCAAGAAGGGGAGAAGCCAGGACGTCCTATGCAATTGGTTGACAATACTCCAAGGTCCTGTGTCTTGGAGCTCTTGTGCCCAGTGCTATATCTGGTCTCGAAGCTCTTTAACCTTCTTGGTGACAATTCCGGATTGATTAACGAAACAACAGCACTCTTCTCCTAGAAAAAGACAGGTCCCACCTCTTTCTGCTGTTAATAAATCTAAGGCTCTCCGATTTTGAAGTGCTACTGCTGCTAAAGAGTTAAGCTGGCTTTGTAAGGTGACTAGTGAATCTGCGACTTGTTCCATGTTATCATTTAACTCTTGTGATAATTCATAATAGAACTGGGTGGAGGTGGTAATGCCTCCAATGCCGGTTCCTAGTCCTCCTAGTATCCCAGCCCCGATAATGAATGGAAGGACTAGTGCCCGTTTGTAACGGGGTTTGGGTAGAAGAAAATCCTGTAACTCCTGATCAGTGTAGATAGTCACAGGGGGGCGCCAAAAAGGAGAGAAAGCATAGACTTTGTTAGGAACCATTTAAGCAGCGGTAAGCTGAGGAGTCACAAACAAAAAGGATTCCTGATGGCAAGCAAGAGAGTCGTGGAAGTAGGGTAGTCCATATTTTGCACTGGAAGGCGGCTGCGTCAATTGTTTTGCTAAACTTTACACAGGTTGAGATTTGATGTATGTGTTGTTTCTAGATTTGAGACTAAAGGGCCCACCAGGCCTGTGGTGTTTGTTCTCAGTTCGGTGGCATTCCAATGTTCGGGAACAGGAACTGGGACATATGGTTTAAAGCATAAGGGGAGGCACATCCAGCAGGCAGTTGGATTTTGGCTGGAGGCCCTGTGAATTTTGGTAAGGGTGACATTAAATAAATTTAGCAAGCGGGAGTAAGTGCGAAGAGTTTTATGTAGCCTTGAGAGGTCTAATCCTTGTAGGGACTGGGTGTACTGGGGGTTTGAACCAGTTTGGAGATCACCTTCTGAAGGTGTTGCTCTTGGGCTTGATCTTGGACCCCACCTGTGTTGGATAGGCCAACATGTGTATAGTAGGTCCAACAAGGAGTGGCTCCATATCTGCCTGGACAATCAGCTCTGATCATTTTCCCTGTCCAATAATTGGTGCCTGCATGTGTACAGAGGGTAGCAGCCTTATAGCACTCTCTGCACATATAAGTGTGGGCAGTAAAGGAGGCTCCCCTCCCAAACAGGCGTGCAAAATTGACTACTGCCATGTTTCCCAGGAGTCATGAAGAACTGAAGCCAGGGGTGGTGCAGGTACATGAAGGGAGAGTATTAGCCAAGGGAAGCATAAAGACTATTAGGAGGAATTTGAAATAGGAGGGGGCCATGGGGGAGAGTGGTTATTAGTTAATTTCCTTAGGAATTTACTTGAAGAGCAGACACAGGTCCTCCAGCAGTTCACAGGTGTAGGAGGCATTGTTTTCAGAGTCCTGGGTTGTTGGTTCCTCGAGTCCTCCTGGTGGCGTCCAGAGATTGATTCGAGTGTGATGAATCCAAGATTCTATCCCAACTACCTTAACTGCGATTGGAGTAGAGAGAATGACTGGATATGGTCCTTCCCAGGAGGGGCCTAGGGACGGGGAGGTAGAGGGACTAATACTAGGTCTCCGGGATGGAATAGCTGTTTTCCTTTTTCTCTCTGATGTCTTTCAGGCAATGCTTTTAGAATGTGCTGAAATTTTGCTAGGGAAGTTATGCTTTTCACAAGATTTGTTGTTTCCCTATCAATTACTAGGCCATTCATGGGAAAAGGCCATCCATAGAGCGTTTCACAGGGACTGATCCCTATTCTTTATGGGGAGTTACAGATTCTTAACAAAGCCAAGGGTAGCAGAGTAGGCCATGGAGGTGAGTTTCCTGTGTTAGTATTTTTAAGTGTTTTTTGAGTGTTTCATTCATTTTTTCAACTTTCCCTGAGGACTGTGGTCTCCATTCACAGTGGAGGTGGTATTGTATTCCTAGTACTTTGGGTATTCCCTGAGTTACTGCAGCCTTGAAGGCTGGGCCATTGTCACTTTGTAAAGTACGAGGAAGCCGGAATCTGGGAATTATTTCATGAATTAGGGTTTTCACTACTTCCTGAGCTTTTTCTGTCTTACAGGGGAAGGCTTCAACCCAACCGGTGAAGGTGTCTACCCAGACTAGGAAGTATTGAAGTCCCTGGGATTTGGGAATGTGGGTGAAGTCTAGTTGCCAGTCCTCTCCAGGGTAACTACCTGCTCTTTGTTCCCCTGAAGGAGCCTGACAATAAGGCAGGGGCTTATTTCTTTGGCAGACTTCACAGGACTTCACTATTTGCTGAATAGTTTTGAAAAGGGCCTGTCCTGTAAACAATGATTTAGCCATTTGATAGGTGTTATCGATACCTAGATGGAATGTCTGATGAAGGGTTTTTAGTATCTTCCACTGGCTAGCTGCAGGTAAAAGTATTTTTCCTTCCTCGGTTGCTAGTCATCCTCAGGGGAGGAAACTACGTCCTCATAAGGTTCCCCACTGTATTTTTTCAGATGAATATTGGGATTTGGCCTCTTGGAGAGGATTGTCCCATATTAAAGGTCCCTCTATGGGCACTTCTAATGGAGGATCCCATCATGAGGCTTTTTTGGCTCCAGCATCTGCTCGGCAGTTTCCTTCTGCTTCCCTCTCTCTCCCTTTTTGATGGCACCAGCAGTGTAAGACTGCCACCTCTTTAGGTTTTTGCACAGCTCGCAATAATTTCATAATCGCTTCTTGATGCTTAACAGGTGTTCCCGCTGAGGTTAAGAATTCCCTTTCTTTCCATATTGCAGCATGGGCATGAAGGACTAGGTAAGCATATTTGGAATCTGTATATATATTTACTCACTTTCCTTCTCCCAGTTCCAGTGCTCAGGTGAGTGCTACCAATTCTGCCAACTGTGCACTGGTACCTGGAGCGAGGGGGTTACTTTCAAGTATTGCATTATCACTGGCCACCGCGTATCCTGCTTTCCAAAGTCCCTTTTCTACAAATGAGCTTTCATCAGTATAGAAGTTGAGGTCAGGGTCAATTAAGGGGACCTCTGGAAGGTCCTCTGAAGCAGCAGAGATTTGGGCTGTAACTTGTTGACAGTTATGCTCTATTTCTTCTTCACTGTCTGGGAGAAATGTGGCTGGGGTAAAAGCTGCACAAGTGCGCAGTTGCAGTACCGGCCCTTCAAGTAACAGAGCCTGATATTTAAGCAGGCGGTTTCCAATAGCCATAAACCCCCCTAAGCAGTGAGTATACCGTTTATATCATGGGAGGTCCATATGGTGAGATCTCTTCCCTGTATTGTTTTAACTACCTCAGATACCAAGATGGCTACTGCAGCCATCACCCATAGGCAGAGAGGCCAGCCTTTTGAAACTATGTCAATTTCCTTACTTAAGTATGCCACTGGTTGCAAATTGGTCCCTTGGACCTGAGTAAGAACTCCAAGAGCTCTTCCAGTTCTTTCTGTGACATGTAAAGAGAAGCTTTGCTCTGTTGGCAAACTTAACACTAGGGCCTGGGTCAGGGCCTTTTTTATGGCCTGAAAAGCTGTTTCTGCCTCAGGTATCCATTCTAATAAATGAGTATTAGCTTTTTGAGTTTCCTTAATTAATGTATATAGTGGCCTGGCCAACTTGCCATACCTGGGGATCCATATCTGACAGAAGCCTGTTATGCCAAGAAACTCTCTTAGTTGTTTTAATGTCTTGGGGCAATGATAAGCCAGAATGGGTTGAATACATTCTTCACTAAGGGCCCTGGTGCCTTTGGATAGATTTAGCCCTAGGTATTTAACCTGTTGTAAACATAGTTGAGCTTTTGCTTTTGAAACCTTGTAGCCACAAGGGGCGAGAAAGTTTAAAAGCACTTGGGTGGCCTGATGACATAAGGTCTCTGAGTTAGCAGTTAACAGCAAATCATCTACATGTTGAAGGATGAAAACGTCCAGGTGGGAGAACTGACTTAAGTCTTGGGCTAGGGCCTGGCTGAATAAATGGGGGATATCTCTGAATCCTTGGGGTAGGACAGTCCAGGTAAGCTGAGATGCTGGGTTTGAAAGATCTTTAAAGGCAAATAAAAATTGAGAGTCAGGATGCAGAGGGATGCAGAAGAAAGTGTCCTTTAAGCTCTAGGACTGTATAACCATTCTGCTTCCTCTGGTATCTGGGAGAGTAGATTATAGGATTAGGTACAACTGGATACAGAGGAACAACTGCCTCATTGATAATTCTGAGGTCTTGCACTAACCTCCATTGTCCGTTGGGTTTTTGCATGCCTAGAATAGGAGTGTTGCATGGACTGTTGCATGGCTTTACTAATCCCTGTGCTTTTAGGTCCTTAATGATCTTTTGTAACCCTTGTTGGGCTTCTGGTCTGAGGGGTACTGCCTTTGATAAGGAAAGGAGATAGGATCCTTTAATTTAACTTGACCTGGACAAGCGTTTTTTGCTGGTCTGTATAGTCTTTCCTCTGCCCAGACTTCAGGATTAACTCCCTCCTCGAGTAGAGGGCAGCAAACAGGTATTCCTTCTCCTATATTCAAATATATAATGGCCTCCGCTTTAGCTAATACGTCCCTTCCTAGTAAAGGAGTAGGGCTGTCAGGCATAATAAGAAAGGCATGTGAGAAACATAAGGTTCCCCCGTCACAATTTAGGGGGTGGGAGAAATACCTAGTGACTGGCAGTCCTAGGACCCCTTTGATGGTGACAGACCTGGAGGATAGTTGTCTGGAACAGAAGAGTAAAACTGAGGAGGCCATGCTAGTGTCCAGAGGAAGTTAGTTTCCTGGCCCTCAATGGTTAAGCTTACCTGGGGCTCTGTGAGGGTGATGGCATGGGCTAGTACCTGCCCCGGGCACCCTCAGTCCTGTTGCTGGACCATCTGGTTAGTGGCCTCTGGCCCAGAGGACTTTGCCCTCGGGGGCAGTGTGCCTTCCAGTGATTCCCCCGGCACAAGGGACATGGACGAGGGTGCAGCTTATTTTTGGGCAGTCCTTTTTGACGTGCCCCTGTAAGCCACACTGATAACAAGCCCTGTTAGGCAGGTTGCCTGCCCAGCGCTTCTTTCTTTCAGAGCCACCGAAATTAATCTGCCTGAGGGCCATGACTAAAGCAGCAGCCTTTTCTTGTCTTGTCTGTCTCATTCAGCCTACTCCTCCTGATCCCTATTATAAAACACCGAAGTTGCCAAATTCAACAGAGTTTCCAAATTTTGCTTGGGGCCCAGAGCAGACTTTTGAAGTTTCTTTCTTTCTTTTTTTTTTTTCTTTTTTCTTTTTATTATTATTGTTATTATACTTTAAGTTTTAGGGTACATGTGCACAATGTGCAGGTTAGTTACATATGTATACATGTGCCATGCTGGTGTGCTGCACCCATTAACTTGTCATTTAGCATTAGGTGTATCTCCTAATGTTATCCCTCCCCCTCCCCCCACCCCACAACAGTGTCCAGAGTGTGATGTTCCCCTTCCTGTGTCCATGTGTTCTCATTGTTCAATTCCCATCTATGAGTGAGAACATGCGGTGTTTGGTTTTTTGTCCTTGTGATAGTTTACTGAGCATGATGATTTCCAATTTCATCCATGACCCTACAAAGGACATGAACTCATCATTTTTTATGGCTGCATAGTATTCCATGGTGTACATGTGCCACGTTTTCTTAATCCAGTCTATCATTGTTGGACATTTGGGTTGGTTCCAAGTCTTTGCTATTGTGAATAGTGCCGCAATCAACATACGTGTGCATGTGTCTTTATAGCAGCATGATTTATAGTCCTTTGGGTATATACCCAGTAATGGGATGGCTGGGTCAAATGGTATTTCTAGTTCTAGATCCCTGAGGAATCGCCACACTGACTTCCACAATGGTTGAACTAGTTTACAGTCCCACCAACAGTGTAAAAGTGTTCCTATTTCTCCACATCCTCTCCAGCACCTGTTGTTTCCTGACTTTTTAATGATCACCATTCTAACTGGTGTGAGATGGTATCTCACTGTGGTTTTGATTTGCATTTCTCTGATGGCCAGTGATGATGAGCATTTTTTCATGTGTCTTTTGGCTGCATAAATGTCTTCTTTTGAGAAGTGTCTGTTCATATCCTTTGCCCACTTTTTGATGGGGTTGTTTGTTTTTTTCTTGTACATTTGTTTGAGTTCACTGTAGATTCTGGATATTAGCCCTTTGTCAGATGAGTAGGTTGCAAAAATTTTCTCCCATGTTGTAGGTTGCCTGTTCACTCTGATGGTAGTTTCTTTTGCTGTGCAGAAGCTCTTTTTCTAATGTCTGCAGCTGACTGAGTGATAAACTTATCCTTTAAAATTAGTTGGCCTTCAATAGAGTCTGGTGACAAGGAGGTATGCTTTCTTAATGCCTCCCTTAGCCTCTCTAAAAATGCCATAGGGTTTTCTTCTTTTCCCTGCATTCTGGTGGACATCATTGAGTAATTCGTTGGCTTTTTTTCTGGCCTTTCTTAATTCCTCTAGTATACAAGTCAGTAAGTGCCTGTGACTCCAGTCTCCATGCTCAGAATTGAGGTCCTAATGGGGATCCACACTGAGAACCACCTGTTAGCCTGTGGGGAGTTGTTCCCTTTCTTCTGATGTCATTTTATCATTTACCTGCCTTAGGTACCAGAGATTCCCAAACTCCCGGGCCGCAGCTAAGGTGGCCTCTTTTTCATTGGGAGTTGATGTTTGACCTAACAACAACATAATATTACTCCATGCTAAATCAAAAGACTGTCCTAATCCCTGTAAGACGTCTATGTATCCATGAGGATTATGAGAATTTTCCTAGGTCCAGTTTGATCTGTTTTAAGTCTGAGAGGGAAAAGGAGACATGTACTCATGCTGGGCCAAAGTCTCCTCTTCCTCCCGTAGCTTGGAGGGGGCACAATCAAGGGCCATTGGCGCCTTTCGGTTCCTTGACTATCTTTTTTTCTGGTTCCTTTTGGGCTGTTAGGGCCAAAGAAGAGTCCTTACTAGTGGGAGGCAGAGCTGTGGGGAGACCAGGGTTTGAGGGTAGGCTTTGAGGACCGCTGGTAGGATGTAAATTACATTTTTTACATAATTGTGGGTTATCCTTTAGTGAGAAAAAAACCTGTACATATGGCACTTCACTCCATTTGCCCTCTCGTTTACAGAAGAGATCTAACTGTAGGATGGTATTATAGTTTGTACTTCCCTTGGGCATCCATGTCTCTCCTCCAGGAAGAGAATATTGTGGTCAGGCAGTGCTGCAGAAAAATATAAGTTGCTTCTTCTTCAGCATTTGAGGGTCAAATTGATCCCCAGTTATCCAGAATACACCTCAGGGGTGGCTTTGCTTTTGAGGGAACATCTCCCATCTGAAAGGAGAACATAGGAGTGCCTGCACCCCTAGTCATCCCCTAGTGAGCAATAGCCCTAGGGTGTCCCCTATGGTTCTAGTGTCCTTTTCTTTCCAGGGTGTGCAATCACCCATGGAACCCTGCTGATCTGATTTAATTGCACTTACCGATGTAGCAGTTTTGGCCCGCACTCATTTCCCTCACTTTTTTAGCTGCAAAAAAAGGGAGCTGGGGCTGCTGGATTTTAGTGGCTCCTTACCAGCATGCTCACAATTGCCTTTGCATCTGTGAGTGGGTCTTAGGTTCGGGGTGTATTTTGAGTTCAGAGACCAGGCACCAGTTAGCATATTTCTGGGCTTGGAGCTTTCCCAGCAAGATGAATTCCATGAAAATGGAACTGGAGCACAACAGTTTTAGAGTAGGCAATGGCGAATTGGAGGACCAAGGTTGAAACAGTGCTTTTTGTACCCGAATTTTCTGTCCTCATTTGCCCTCATAAGATTATTCACTGACCTTTGGCCTTGGACCAGGGGACCTATTGTCTGTTATATTGTTTTCGGCCCATACTTCTGACTGCTTCCAGTGGAGATGTTCTACAGTTCTAATCACTGATCCCAGACAGGAAAGATAGTAATTAAAGTAGCCTCTACAATCTGGAGTAAGTTTAGGCCAACAAAAGGAAAAATGTCCTAGGCCTTCTATCAGCACTGACATGCCTTTTGATGTCCCGGATAGTGCCGAGGGTACAGGTTATGAGGGACAAGTCCTGTGTAAGGATATTGATACCCATCTGCATAAGAATAAGCCTGGGGGCCCGATGAGCAAGGGTCTTTGGATTGCTTCGCTACTCGACTTAGGCTCCTAGCCAAAAGATTCTTAGACTCAGGGGTAGGAAGGATCCTGGAGGATAGGGCCTCAAGAAAGTCTTCTCTGAGGACATTAGGACCCAGGAGGCATGGGTCAGAAAAGGCAGGGAATGCATGCATGGGCAGCTGCAGAGTAGAGGCTTCTCGCTGTGCCATAATCTCGACCTGGTCAGTGCCAGGAGTTCAGGACTACAGTTTTCCACTTCTAGCCAGCCCTTGGCTTTTCCCAGGAAAGGTAGAGAAAGGTGGAATTGGTTCTAGGCAAACTAATACTCTCAGCCTGGAGGGCCAGGGGTTGTTAGGGAGCCCTTTCCCAGAAAGCCTCATACCTGTGTCTTAAGTCCGGCAGCCACACTTGTCACTTCTAAATGGCCGACAGGTGCCTGGTGTTTTCCTCCAATTTCTAGCAAGAAGATAGAAAAGAATAGCAAGCAAAAGGGGTCTGATGTTACTCACTGCTTTGGAGAAATCCTGGACGAGCCCCCAGAAATGAGACAAGAAGTCTTCTCCTGATTGAAGATTTTCTTCTCAATCAAAGGGTTCGTGGTCTCATGGGCTTCAAGAAATGAAGCTGTGGACCACAGCATGGAGTGTTACAGCTTGACTAGAGAAATGCACAGACCCAAAGAGTGTGCAGTGGCAAGATTTATTAAAGCGAAAGTGAAAGTAAAGCGAAAGAGAAAGAAAACTTCCACACGGTGCAAGGGGACCTGGAAGGTGGCCTGGCATGGGTGTCTTATGCTTATATCCCCTTATGACCCCTCCCCTTTTCTTTTTTCTGTCCTATAGAATTAGCTTATTTTCTCTCTGCTTGTGGGTTGGTGAGCCAACATTAGGCTGCAGCTAGAGCTTAAACTCCCTATATAATTGGTTGAAGTTTCAATCCCTTAGCTTGCAGCTGTGACTCATTTTGGCTTAGGTGAAAGTCCCCTTAGGGAAGTCCCTATTGACCCAGGAAGTCCAGCCAATTTAGCCACTTAGTCCCTCACTGGGATTACAGGCATGTGCCACTGAGCCCAGCTGATCTTGCTTTAAAAAAAGTTTTTTTTTGTTTTGTTTTTGTTTTTAAATAACCTTGTCTGATTTTAAAATGCTCCATCCAACTTTCTTTTATCTATATTTTCCCCAGTATTTCATTGTATATCTCTTTGTTCTCAACCTCTCGTGACTGCTTTAAGTGTTTCTTTTAAGGTAAGAATTTTTTTAAAAGAGAAAATAAACTTATTTTGTCTTTTATCTTTTGGTGGAAGAATTCAATCATGCACAATGTAAGGATTGATTTACTTGATGGTATTCCATCTCTCTTGTTTTATGCTTTGTATTCATTACATGGTGATCTGATTTTAAAATGCTCTATCCAGCTTTCTTTTATCTATATTTTCCCATGATTTCATTGTATATCTCTTTATTTTCAAGCTCTCATGACTGCTTTAAGTGTTTTTTTTTAAGCTTAGATTTTTTTTTAAAGAGAAAACACACTTTGTCTTTTATCTTTTAGTGGAAAAATGAAATCATGCACAATGTAAGGATGATATATTTGATGGTATTCCATCTCTCTTGTTTTATGCTTTGTATTCATTACATGGTTTGGTCCTCTTTTCATCCCATTTACTGAGATATAAATAATTAAATCACATGAAATGTACAGATTTAAAGTGGACAGTTTGATCACATTTGATATATGTATACATTTGTAAGCCATATTCAATCAAGATAACAAATATTTCTAACACCTGCAAAAGTTTCTTTGTGTTTCTTAATATTCTCTCCTCTCTTCACTCCTGTCTTTAGGCAAACACTGTTCTGCTTTTTGCTAATATACATTAGTTTAAATATAAAATTTTATATGAGTGGAATCATATAGTATGCACTCTTTTTTGCCTGACTTATTTCAAAGGGCATATGATTTTGAGACTCATCTATTTTGTGTGTAGGTATAGTTCATTTCTTTTATATTCCATTTTATGGATATATCACAATTTGTTTATTCAGTGGCCAATTGATGAATATATGGTTTTTTTCCAGTTTTGGGAGTTCATGAAGAAAGCTGCTGTGAACAGTCATGTAGCAGTCCTTGTATGGACATGTGTTTTTATGTATCTTGGGCAAATATGTAGGAATAAAATGGCTGAGTTACATAGCAGTTATATGTTTAACTTTACAAGATACTGAAAAACTGTTTTGTAAAGTGGCTAAACCTTTTAATATTCTGGAGATATATGAGAGACCCAGTTTTACATACTCATCAACACAAAGGATTATTAATAGAACCCAAAGTCTACATGACATAACAATCTGATACTTGACATACAAAGTACCAGAAAAATGTGATCAATTCTCAGGGGAAAAGGCAATCAACAGAGACCAATCCTGAGATCACTCAGATGTTAGAATTATCAGACAAAGTTTTTAAACTTTTTTTAATATCTATGCTCCATGATGTTAAGTTAAACACTGATATGGTTTGGCTCTGTGTACTCACCCAAATCTCATCTTGAATTGTAATCCTCATGTGTTGAAGGAGGGAACTGGTGGGAGGTGATTGGATCATAGGGGTGGTTTCCCCAATGCTGTTCCCATGATAGTGAGTGAGTTCTCGCAAGATCTGATGGTTTAAATGTGTGTGGAGTTTCCCTCACTCATTCTCCTCTGCCACCATGTAAGATGTACTTTGCTTCCCCTTTGCCTTCTGCCGTGATTGTAAGTGTCCTTAGGCCTCCCCAGCCATGCAGAACTGTGAGTCAATTGAACCTCTTTTGTTTATAAATAACCCAGTCTCAGGTAGTTAATTATAGCGTGTGAAAATGGACTAATACAGAAAATTGGTACCAAGAGTTTGGGGCACTGCTATAAATCTACCTGGAAATGTGGAAGCGACTTTGGAACTGAGTGACAGGCAGGGGTTGGAACAGTTTTGAGGGCTCAGAAGGAGACAGGAAGCTGAGGGAAAGTTTGGAACTTCCTAGAGATGTGTTGAATGGTTTTGACCAGAATGCTGATGGTGATATGGATAATGAAGTCCAGGCTGAAGTGGTCTTGGATAGAGATGAGAAACTTATTGGGAACTGGAGCAAACGTCACTCTTGCTATGCTTTAGCAATGAAACTGGTGGCATTGTGTCCCTGCTCTAGGGATCTGTGGAACTTTGAACTGGAGAGAGATGATTTAGGGTATCTACAGGAAGAAATTTCTAAGCAGCAAACCATTCAGGGTGTGGCCTGGGTGCTCCTAACAGAATATAGTCATATGCATTCAAAAAGCAGATGATCTGAAATTGGAACTTATGTTTAGAAGGGAAGCAGAGCATAAAAGTTTGCAGCCTGGGCCTGGCAAGGTGGCTCACACCTATAATCTCAGCACTTTTGGAGGCCGAGGCAGGCAGATCATGAAGTCAGGAGATTGAGACCAGCCTGGCCAACATCGTGAAACCCTGTCTCCACTAAAAATACAAAAATTAGCCACGTGTGGTGGTTTGTGCCTGTAGTCCCAGCTACTCGGGAGGCTGAGGCAGGAGAATCACTTGAACCCAGGAGGCAGAGGTTGCAGTGAGCTGAGATTGTGCCACTGCATTCCAGCCTGGCAACTGAGCAAGACTCTACCAAAAAAAAAAAGTTTGCATCCTGGCCATGCAGTAGAAATGAAAAACCCATTTTCTGGGGAGACATTCAGGCTGGCTGCAAAAATTTGCATAAGTAATGAGGAGCCAAATGTTATTAGACAAGACAATGGGAAAAATGTCTCTAGGGCATGTCAGAGGTCTTCATGGCAGCCCCTCCCGTCACAGGCTTGGAGGCCTAAGAGGGCAACATGCTTTCATTCGCTGAGCCCAGGGCCCTGCTGCTCCGTGCAGCCTCAGGACATGGTGCCCTGTGTCCCAACCACTCCAGTTCCAGCCATGGCTAAAAGGGGCCAAGGTACAGCTCTAGTGGTGTCTTCATAGAATGCAAGCCCCCAGCTTTGGTGGCTTCCACATGGTATTGGGCCTGTAGGTGCACAAAAGACAAGAGTTGAGGCTTGGGAGCCACCGCCTAGATTTCAGAGTATGTATGAAAATGCCTGGATGTCCAGGCAGAATTCTGCTGCAGGGGCAGAGCCCTCATAGAGAACCTCTTACTAGGGCAGTGCAGAGAGGAAATGTGAAGTTGGAGCCCCCACACAGAGTCCCCACTGAAGCACTGCATAGTGGGGCTGTAGGAGGGCTACTATCCTATAGACCTCAGAATGGTAGATCCAGCATTGAAGCCACAGCCACTCAATGCCAGCCCATGAAAGCAACCAAGAGGGCTGTACCCTGCAGAGCCATGGGGGCAGAGCTTCCCAAGGCCATGGGAGCCCACCACGTCCATTAGTGTGCCCTGGATGTGAGACATGGAGTCAAAGGACATTATATTGGAGCTTTAAGATTTAAAACTGCTCTCTCGGTTTTGGTCTTGCATGGGGCCTATAGCCCCTTTGTTTTGGCCAATTTCTCCCATTTGGAATGAGAGCATTTACCCAATGCCTGTACCTCCATGGTATTTTGGAAGTAGCTAACTTGTTTTTGATTTTACAGGCTTATAGGCAGATGAGACTTTGGACTTGGACTTTTGAGTTAATGCTGGAATGGGGGGTACTGTTGGGAAGCCATGACTGTGTTTTGACATATGAGAAGGACATGAGATTTTGGAGAATCCAGGGGAAGAATGATATGGTTTGGCTCTGTGTCCCCACTCAAACCTCATCTCGAGGTGTCATCCACACATATTGAGAGAGGGATGACTAGATCATGGGGGCAGTTTCCCTCATGCTGTTCTCTTGATAGTGGGTGAGTTCTCATAAGATCTGATGTTTTAAAAGTATGTGGAAGTTCCTTCTTTCTCTCTCCTCTGCTGCCATGTAAGACGGGCCTTGCTTCTCCTTCACCTTCAGTCATGACTGTAAGTTTTCTGAGGCATCCCCAGCCTTGTGGAACTGTGAATCAATTAAACCTTTTTTGTTTATAAATTACCCAGTCTCAGGTAGTTCTTTATAGCAGTGTGAAAATGGACTAATAGAAACATGCTTGAAGTAAATGAAAAAAATGTGAGCTCTCTGAAGAGAAATAAAAATTATAAGAATAAAATGAAAATTTTAGAACTAAAAATGCAATATGTAAACTAGAAAAATATACTGGATAAGCATAATAGCATGGTGGGTAAGACAAATAAATAAGTGAATTTGAAGATAGATCAATAGAAATTGTCCAATCTGAGGAACAAAAAAATAAAAGATTGAAAAAAATGAACAGAGCCTTTGAGACCTGTGGAGCAATATTAAAAGCTCTAACATAAATTTTATGGAAGTTCTAGAATTAGAAGAAAAAGAGATTGTGAGAGAAAACACATTTTAAGAAATAACAGCAAAACTTTCCAAATCTGGAGGGGAAAAGCCCATACATTTACATTCAGGAAGCTCAGTGAAACCTAAACAAGACAAACTCAGAGAGCTGCACCCAGATACAGCATAGTCAAAGTGATGTAAGAAAAAATAAAGCAGCAAGTCTTGGAAGCAGCTAGAGAAAAATTACATGTTACATACAGGGAGGCAATAATTAGAATGATTATAGATTGCTCATCAAAAACCTTGAAGGACAGAAGAGAATGAAACGAAAACTTTAAATACTGAAAGAAATGAATTGTCAACCTCAAATTCTATGTCCAGTGAAAATATCCATCAGGAATGAAGATAAAATGAAGATGCTTTTCTTAGATGAAGGCAAGCTAACAGAATCATCATGGGTAGATCTGCTTTCTCAGAAATGTCTACGAAAGTTTTTTTCAGGATGAAAGAATCTTCAGAAATGAAGGAAAAACAACAGTGGCAAAT
This sequence comes from Homo sapiens, assembly GCF_000001405.40. Lineage (NCBI taxonomy): Eukaryota > Metazoa > Chordata > Mammalia > Primates > Hominidae > Homo > Homo sapiens. The sequence continues at coordinate 118,837,313 of NC_000003.12, read as the reverse complement.
CTCTCAGTGAATACAAAAGACTTTTTTTCTCTTAAAGTCTTTAAATTATGTATGACTGAAAAAAGCAAAAACATAGGGTTTCTCACTGTGCAAATATGCAATATATATAATATTTATAGCATAAAGTTTGGTGAAGGGAGCTATATGGTTGGGAGTCTTCTACTTTTATAAAAAGTGGTACATAATGATCTCTAATTAGACTGAGATGGTAAGGTTAGATATTTATCTTAAAATCCCTAGAGCAGCCATTAGAAATAAGATAAAACAAAAAAATAACCAAAAAGCCAATAGATAAATTAAAATGGAATACTTAAAGTATTTAAATAATCCAAATGAGTATTATTTTAAAATTATTATTGTTTTTGCTGGTTTGTTAAAGTTGATATTCATTTAATTTGTCTCCTGTTGTTAATTTGGAAGTTCTACTATACTTTGCCCTTCTCTTTTGTGTTATTCAAACTCATATACATATTTCTCTACTATTTAATTTTTAAACATTTTGCCTATTTCTCTTATCAAGACCCTGTATCCCCCCTCTTATTCTCTTACCATGATGTCAATAAAATAAAACTTTAAGAATACGTTAACTTTCATCATCTAATAAATTCCAGCCCCAACCCAGGTGACACTTTGGAATACATCAACATCCTGACCTTAAAATTTTGCTGAAATAGTTTAGTTCTTTTTGTTCTTAGACATTATTAAAATTTTCACTGATGTTTATTCCTTCTATTTTAATAATCCTTATTTAGTGCCTACATCATTCATTCCCATAGTTTATCAGTATCCATTTATTGTTTTCTCTGTGTCTGTCTCTGTCTCCATCTCTGTCTCTGTCTCTCTCTCTCTCACACACACATGGGCTGCAAAGCTTTATATTCATCATTGTTTCCTCTCCTCTTCATTATGTTAGATATTGAGTTTTCTGTTATGATTCGTTTGTTTTTTATTATAGTGCTTTCTTGAGCATTTTATTCTGGTGAAATATGAATGACATGCATATCTACAAATTATTATTTTTTCCTTCTGACAGTTAAATAATATCACGGTTGGATACAGAATTCTTGGGTTGCAATTCTTTCCTCTCAGTAGTTTTTCAGATAGTACACCAACATCTAGTTTCCAATGTGGTTGATAAGGAGTTTTATACTACTTCTTAGTAGATAATTAATTTTCCTGTTAGAAACTTATAATATATTTGTTATCCTTGGAATTCAGCAGTTTTAAGAGGATATGCTTGGGAATATCTTTTTCAGTCAAATTTGTCTGTAATTTAATGTAATTTTAATCTGAAATTTTGAATTTTCCTTTATCTTAGGAAGTTCTCTTTTATTTTTTATTTAATTATTTCTTCTCATTCCTGTATTTCATTTGTGATTTCTAGAACTCCTATTATTGGCATTTCTATTATCTTGAATTTATCCTTTAAGTCTTTTATCTTTCACTTTACCATTTTTTTTTCTGTGATTTGAGATTGTTCTTATAATTGGTGTTCCAGGGCATTAATTGTGTCTCGCTGTTAACCACTTCTCTGTCAATTAATTTACTGAGATATTTAGTTTGAAAATCAATGTTTCCAGTTTCCAATGATCTTTTGAGGGTGCCTGTGTACTGTGCTTGAATTTTAAGAAGTGCTAGTGGTAATCCTCAATGAAACAGTGTTGGGAGGTTGGTCCTAATGGGAGGTAATTTGGCCATGAGAGCTCTGCCTTTATGAATGAATTAATGTCATTGTTGAGGGAGTGGGTTCTTTATGAAAGAATGAGTTTTGTTATCTCCTGCTCTCTCTTATTCTCTCTTTGCCCTTTTGCTATGGAGGGAAGGAGGCCCTCATAAAATGCTGGTCCCTTGATCTTGGACTTCCCAGCCTCTAGAACCACAAATCAATAAATTTCTCTTCATTACAAATTACCCAGTCTGTGGTATTTTGTTATAACAGCACAATGTGGACTAATATGGCCTTATGTAATATATGTCCTTGGTGACAACTTAATGTTTTGTTTGAACCCATCTCAGATGTTCCTGTAGGCAATAGTTTTGATGAGCTAAACTGGTCATCTCTTGGATTTTAAGTCTATTTATAAAATTGGGAACAAGGATGGGAAATGTGGCTTTATGAAGGACTGAGTTTTTTTTGGATATGCTACTGGAATATTATTTTGAGGAAGAACAGCCATACTAGGGAAAAAGAATAGTCAGGGTAATTTTAGTCTATTGGGAGCTCATGACTCATCTTGGAACCATTTTTTGTTTCCTTGCTTTGTTTCCAAACAGGTCTAAGGACATTTATTGGCCCATATTACCTGGAGTTGGGCCTTGGTGAGAGGCGTAAGGGTAACCCTATTCTTTTGCTTCTTTTTTCCTCCTGGGAAGAGCTTACCTGCCTTGGTGTGTAAGCTTGGATGGTGGGAAGAAACTATTTTCTTGGTGTGCTTTTCCTTGGAATTGCTTTTCCTTCCCATTAGAGTGGTAATATTCAGAGGATTAAGATGTGAGTGTCAGCTTATGGGAAAGGGATCTAGGGGGTCTCTGAGTTTGCTATGCTTATATGCCTCTTAGGCAAAAGGGGTCTTCCATGTGGTTGAGTCTGGTCACCAAGGACCACATTGGAATTGGGGTAAACAACTCATGGTAATAAAGATCATGCATTTTTGGCTTTGTTCTATCTATCTATCAATCATCTTAGGAACCTTGGTGGAGCAGTGGTAATGGTCATAGGAGACAGTATTTAGGCATTTGTGGATATTAGAGACTTGGCTTTTCTCTTAGTTGTTCTCATTTTTAATAGGATTTATAACCTAGGAACTAGATCTAGTCTGGGCAGTTTTAGGAGGCCCTTTATGTCTTTTATATTCTTGGGAAATCACTGGCTTCTTCAGGGGCTACTGGGGCTAAATGTTGGGGGTCCTTTGAAATAGGGAAGAGCATAGTGGATGTCTCTGAACCTCCACAATTTCCCAGTGTAGAAAATCTCTGGTCAAGGGGAAGGATAGGTGCTTTCTGTCAATCATTAAGCTATTGTCTCTTACCTCCAAAGCCATCATAAATGTGATACTCTACCAATCATATTTATGGTTTGCCAGCTGGTTACTTATTCATGTTGCCAGTATGGGGTACTAAGAGGGAGACTGAGAGACTAAAGGAAGAAGAAGGGACTTAACTCCTTTCTGTTTGCTTTTTGTTCCTTTGGGTGTCACTCAGTAAAGCTTCTTCACTCTGGCAGCAGCAGTTCCTTTTTGTAGCAGTACCTGAATTTGGTTTACAGATTTTCCACTACCTGGAAGATCAGTTTTATTTTTTCCCCTTGAGACAATAGCACTAGTCAGCTGCCACCCCTCCACTCCCCCCAGAAGTCAATGTCCCTCCTGTAATTTTTTTTCCTTCTTTAAGTTTTAATAATTGCAAACTACTTTGTTCTCCAAGCCCTAGAGATGATAGCTGTTTCCTGCAGTTGCTGCCTCCATAATACCTTAATGTTCTTTCATTCTCTCTGTTTCTTGGTTAATAGCCTTATACCATTCTTTATATTACATTCTCTCTATTCACATTTCTTTGGTGCTTTCTGTCTCCTGACTGTACCTTAACTGATATAAAATCTTACCTGAGCTTGTGCTTGGAACTGTAATAAGGATTCTCAGACAAGGCCAATATAGGAGCCCTTGAGACTCATAGTCTTTACCAGAATATAGAAAGATATGTGAGCCTTTGCAGTTTCCCAGACCCTCTGTGAAAAAGGATCAAATGAATCCTGCCTTACACAATGGTTCCCACCAAGAGCTACCCCTTCTCCAGGATGCTAACCTGGGTCATCAGAAGTTGCTTACTTCTAGGGCAGGCATATCTGAGCTAAGACAACCTGGGAAAGAGCCCAGGAACCCAGAAAACAAACCAGTGATGTAGGGGAGTGATCTTTAGCCTACTGAGAGTCTGCAAAACCAGCTAAGAAGGATTGGGTCTGGAATGGAAAGAGTTAATACTGAAGCCCTCTCTGGAGTTGGCGGCCAGAGCTTTTAGAAGAGCCTTAGTAACTGCTGCTTCAGTAGCTGCTCTAGGTCAGATGATCAGGGTTTATGGGAAGCCAGAGAACGCTTGATCAGCAATTAGGAATCTGGGCAAAGTTTGTGTTTTTTTTTGTTTTTTTTTTTGAGACGGAGTCTTGCTCTGCCGCCCAGGCTGGAGTGCAGTGGCGTGATCTCGACTCACTGTAAACTCTGCCTCCCAGATTCACACCATTCTCCTGCCTCAGCCTTCCAAGTAGCTGGGACTACAGGCGCCCGCCACCAAGCCCGGCTAATTTTTTGTATTTTTAGTAGAGATGCGGTTTCACTGTGTTAGCCAGGATGGTCTCGATCTCCTGACCTCGTGATCTGCCCACCTTGGCCTCCCAAAGTGCTAGGATTACAGGCATGAGCCACCATGCCCGGCCCAAAGTTTTTAACGATGATTGGAATATGGCAGTTAATAGCATCTTCAATTTATTGAATACTTACTATTTCTCAAATATTTCACAGGTATTTTTAATCCTTACAACAACCCATTTTGTAGATGAGGAAATAGTTTTGAAGAGATTCAGTAATTTGTCCAGTCAGGCAGTCGTGTAATAGTTAATGTTGGAAATGGGCTTTGGATCGAGATTTATAAATCTATCTTGAATCTAGAACTCCTGAGCACTATTCTTAACCTTCTTACCATGCAGAAATTTTAAAAGAGAAGAAGTCAATATTCCAAGTAGTGGAAAGAGCATAACCCTTTCTATAGGAGCTATAGGCTATAACTGCCTAGTTCATACTCCTCCCTATCAGTCTGAAATTAGTTGTAATAAAAATAATGTTAACTTAAAAGAATGATAATTGATGTCTGTTTTACCTCTAGGCAGCCCAAAGTTTTTTCACCTTTGGTTCAACTTGCGTTTACATCTTTGATGACCTGAGGTATCACTTCAGGGAACAAATCACTTTCCTTTATTCTATTTTCTTTCTGTTCCTCCTGCCTGTACCCACTTTTATACAATTCATTTTTAAAAATTTGTTATTTTTGAAACAGGGTCTCACTCTGTCATCCAGGCTGGAGTGCAGTGATGCCATCTTGGCTTGCTGCAACCTCTGCCTTCTGGGCTCTAGCAATCCTCCCATTTCAGCCTCCCAAGTAGCTGGGACTACAGGCACATGCCACCATGCCTGAATAAATTTTGTAGTTTTTGTAGAGATGGGGTTTTGCCATGTTGCCCAGGCTGGTCTTGAACTCCTGGGCTCAAGCCATCCTCCCACCTTGGCCTCCCAAAATGCTAGGATTACAGGCATGAGCCACTGTGCACAGCCTAATTAGTTGATTTTTACGCAAAGCTGGGCTCTCTTTTCTGTGACTGTAGAAAGATTCCTGATCCACCCTCAATTATTTAGCATGTATGTACATAGAGTTAATCTTACAACCGGGCTATGGGAAAGGAATATAGTGGAGAGAAGGTGTAGCAGGAGAGGGTATCAATATCTTCTCTCTTCCCATTAGATAACAAACTCTTGGAAGACAACTATGTTTAAGATTCTACACTGCCTAATCACCAATGTTGTTAACTGGCATTAAATAACTGACCTAGGACTTCTGTTTTAATATATTTTATAACCTTTCCTATAAGAACAACATACCTAGCCATCTACCATATTTTGGCCAGCCTGTCTTCATGCCTGATATTGTTGGTGGTGATATGAGTGGAGGTGTTTGATGAGTTTACTGCCCAGTCCACAAGTGGGTTGATGGTGCTTTTCTATAAAAAATAACACTGCTACTCATTAACAGATAATTTTTTGAGCCAATACTCAAATTTGTATTTCAATTGCATAATGTTAGAATATTTAAATTCAAACCTAGTGGCAGTCATAAATCTGAAAAAGGGGCTTTTTGGGACCATATCATGGACAGAGCACATGTCAAAAGAAAGAGCACTTGAACTTGGAGTCAGTGGATTTGAATTTGTGCCTTTGTTTCGTCAATTACTAGCTATGCACTCTTGTGTCATATAAAATATTAGAACTTCACACTTATCTCTAAAATGAAGAGAGAACATTTGATCAAACAACCTCACTTAGTAACTATATCAGTTAGGGTAAAATCAGTTACAAGTAACAGAAAATCCAAATCAAATTAGCTTAAGTAATCAAAAAAATTTATTAGTTCATGTAATTAGAGGTCTAGAACTATGGCGAGCTTCAGGATGGGTGTGATTCAGCAGACCACAATGTCAGTGTATTTCTTTCTCTCTCTGTCCTTTTTTGCCTTCCTGTGTGCCAACCTCATCCTGAGAATAATTCTCCATCACTCTCCAACTTGAGGACCAGGTTTCTTGTCCACATTTGCAGTGTGTAAATATGGGAACCCACTGGGAGTCTTTTGGAAAAGAGGGGATGCTCTTTCTTATGGCCTCCTAGAAAACTCCAGCATACAATTTCACGGGCCCACATTGTGCTATATTCCTAGCCTTGAACCACTAACTGTGGCCTAGGGACAGAATAACACTTATTTTCCTACATGCCCCAAATCTGGAATCAGCTGTGCCTTAGTTTCCACCAAAGCACATGGGCTACAGTGGGCAGGATGTGGGTTCTAGAATGAGAATCCTGATGTTTACCAAGAGAAGAGGAAAGAGAAGTTAAGGAGGCAACCATAGCCATGACAGTAAATAGATTATAAAATCAGACAATTGATGGCTATGGTTATTAAAATTCTGTGTCTCATTTAGCCTCAAGAGCTACCTCATAAGGTGTGACGGAGTGAGGGATGAGACACTCAGGTCCGACCTGCCCCTAACACACATACCTTCAATCAAAGCAGTGCTGACCAATGAACTGTGGGAAATTGTTAGTAACATATAAAGCACCAGGGACTGATTTCATGGAAGACAGTTTTTCCACAGCCATGGGGGTTGGGGAAGATGGTTTCCAATGAAACTGTTCCACCTCAGATCATCAGGCATTAGTTAGATTCTCATAAGCAGCACGTAACCTAGATCCCTTGCATGCACAGTTCACAATAGGGTTTATACTCCTATGAGAATCTAATGCTGCTGCCAATCTGACAGGAGGCGGAGCTCAGGCAGTAATGCTCACTTGCCAGCCACTCACCTCCTGCTGTGCAGCCTGGTTTCTAACAGGCCACAGACTGGTACCAGTTCGTGGCCCAGGATTTGGGGATCCCTGCTATAAAGGACTGCATAAGTTATTACTATTAATAACAACAATAACAAAATGAACATAGTCTTAACTGGTTTAGATTTGTATCCTTTTGACTTCGTCATTTACTTCTGTTTAACCAAGAAAAGAAAGATCATTTTGTATCTTGCCAAGGTCTAAAGAATGTTGAGTAATGCTCATCCTTCTAAGCTTATGCCATTCTGTGATTATAATATATTTGAAAGCACCTTTTCTGCACCTGCAAATGCAGATTGGTTTCTGTTTACTGTTGCAAGAGACACCTTTTATTAAGATGTAAGCAGAGCGGAAATAAAATTATAGAAGGAGTCTTCAGTTTTGACCTTCTTGACTTTGTTGCTAATAAACTGTCAAGATAACACATTGCTTTATACAGAACACCTTAAAATATTCAAGACTCTACTGGTCAAATTCCTTAACCAAAGGAAAGATAAATCTATGTATAAACAGGTAGATTACCAATTGGTGTTTTCTGTTTCTTCTTATCAGCCATTGAGGTTCAAGGCTTTTAGGGTAAGAACTCTTAGCTCTTTAGTCTCTTGACTTTGGAATGTCATTCAAACTATGGAGTCTCCCTCTAATGTGGCCTCAATTATTCAGAACGCCTTTAATCTTCCAAATTAACCAAATCTGTTCCACTGCCCTTGCCCAGGGCTCAGGGTAGACCTTTATCAGTTAATGAAATTTGACTTGAAAATTTTGAGGTTTTTATCATTTATGTTTAATTTTAAACTCTTTTTTTTCCTTTATCACAAGAGTGAAAGCTATAGTGAAGAGCAGACTTGTCTGAAAGTCTGATGGTACTATTTTAAAACAATAGATTTTATTGAAATGCTAACCAATAGAATAAAAATGTCCTATCACATATGGGCTGGCTTTGGATATGCAGTTTCTTCATCTAAAGGATTTCATTTAGGAGCCCTCGTCTCCTCCCTCCCTCTTTTTGTTTCTTCTTTGCCTTCTTCCTTTCTTTTTCTCCCCTTCCTTTCTTTCCTTCTCCCAGCCTCATCTCCCTCCTCAAGGGCTTTAAGACAGATTTTTGTCCTTCTCATCTGCACTGCTTGGTTTTCTGGACTGCTCTGTAGGTTTCTGGCTGAGATAATTTCGCTCATGAGATATACTTTTCTATACTGAATTTCATGACGCATATGGGATTGGGGGCAGGCGTGTAGCACTCTTTCCCATTCCCTGCACTACAGCCTCAAATCTGAAATCCCCCACTCCAACCCTTTGACCTAACCCTATGCTGTAATTCACCTCAAGGGTTCTCCTCAAGCCCTCCTCAATGTCCTGCCTAGGCCATTCCCCATTGCGAAGGTCCTAAGCCTGTGCACCCATCTGCAAAACAGAGAGGATCTCCTCTGCTGGTGTCTGCCTTCTTCCCAGCCCAGGAAATCTGGGTACCGATGACTGGAATCTGTTATTTACTAGAGTAATTGGGTTCTACACACCTTTGAGGACTGCCTGGTGTGGCCAGGTGCAGGCAGGTGCTATAAAAGTTGCTTTTACCCCATTCCATGGATGCTTTCACCCCTTAAAGTCCCCACAGACCTTCTTCCAGAGATCACTCAGGGCTGGCTGTGCTTGTCCATCAAATCCCAACTGGGTAAATAGTTTTCCTATGGTTTAATCTCCACCTAGGAGCTTTTGCCTCTGGATTGCCAAGGGCTGCTGCACCAACCAGACTCGATGGGCTTCCACAGGGGGCTTGTGGTCGGTTGCCACCTGATGGGGCTGATGTGGGGCCTCCCGCTGCTGGGCTGACCTGCATTGTGCACTCTCTCTCTTCAGCACAGGGCTCAGCCTGAGGGGCTAGAGGGAGATGCCTGTCCCAGGAGTCAGCACAGAGCACACTATGGTCACCTCTTGTGTCAGCACACGTCCCCTTTGGCCACTGTCACCCAGCTAGGCTTTTTTGCCATCCACGATGAGGACTGGATAAATACTCTGATGGAATTTTTAGTTCCTTTTCTGTCTCAGGCAGAATGTGCAAATTGAACTCAAAAGATTCTGCTGGCTAAACTGACCCCAGGAGGGGCTGTTGACTATTGTGGCACATACAGCCCACCCTCCCAGCGAGCTTGGCTGCTTCTCTGTTAAGGTGCCTGTCTGCCTCTCTGCCACTTTCTTGCATCAGTGTTTGTAGAGTAGAAAATATTTCCTGTACTCAGACTGTCTGCATTCTGATCTCAGCTGTACTGCCTTCTATCTGCGTGCCTCTGGGCAAGTTAACTTAGCTTTCCTGGGCTTCAATTTCTTCAGCTATAAAATTAGAGCTGTGTGAGTATCTACTTCAGAGGGTTCCGAGAAGGTGTAAACAACCTAATGTCTCTTCATGTACTTAACCCTGTGCCTAGCACATTATAAATGCTCAATGAACAACTGTAATAATTATTACAATTATACCTGTGTTTGGTTACACTTCTATTATCTGTCAGTGTTTTCATACACATTATGTGATTTAAACCACTCAGCAATTTTGAGAGGCAGAAATTATGGTGTCTTTTTTACATACGTAGAAACCAAGGCTCGGGGGCATTCAGTAATTTGTCTAAAGTTATGAAGCTAAAACATGAGAAGCTTGCTCATTTGGACACTGGTCTGTATGAATTCTAAAGCTTCAGCTCTTCTGACTGTTCCCTGCCACACAGTTGGATGACCCAGCCCAGTGAAGCTCCCAGTGTCCTTCCCAGGCCATTCCCCATTGGGAAGATCCTAGGCCTGTGCACCCCTCCCAGAAATCCCTTCTTTCAGAATCTCATATTTCTGGGAGATCTCCTCCAGGTCTCCGAGTTTTGCCTCAAGCCTACCCAAGTCCGCATGGCTCCAGGTATGGGACTCCTGAGCACTGGTCCCTATCCCCCATCCCTCGTTGTCCTGGTGGGCAGCCTTGCCTGATCACCCTGGGCTATGCATCACTATTACCACCCCTGGGATATGCATCACTATTTGCCAGTTCCTTTTGTCCACACCAGGGGCTTCTGTGCAAGCTGTGGTCATACAATAGAAAAGGGAAGCTGGCAGGGGAGACCTTCTGAGTGCAGGTCACCATGGATCAGGCCTGGGAAGCCCATATCCTAAGCATTAAGGAATACCTTATGAGAGCATCAGCCCAGTGGGGCTTCCCATGTTATTTTCCCTTGGTGTTAGCCAAGTACCTTCAAAACGAGCCCAGCTAGCTGTTTAAAATAGTCATTTAAAGGTTTCCAGATGTGGATAAACATGGCAAAGATACCAGGACTTCTATGAGCATACGAAAAATTCAGGCATAACCTTCAAACTGGGATTAACATATCCTTCTTTTTCCTATGGCTCATGCTTAGTATATATAGTCTGAGGGTGCTAATAGATGCTATGAAGCTCTGTGGACCAGTGGGAATCCATGGCCAAAGCTGTTTGCAGAGTGCTGGATTAAACGTGTTTCTCCGATGGAAGACTTTTTGTAGCCTTAATATAATGTCCACCACTGAAACTCTCTAGAGGGCATATTGCTTGCAGCATTTCCAAACATGTTGAACCCTGGAGTTTTTCTTTTTTTCCCACAGAGCATCCAATAAAGCAAGTCTTCCAACAGACTGAGAGGTGGGAGACTGGGGCTTGGTCCTGTTGGCCTCCAGCAGCTGTGTGACCTGAATGAGCCATTGACCCGGTACAAGCTGCAACATCCTCAGCCACATTAATAAACATGTGAGGCCACTAAATGTGCTTTGATTTCTTCCACATATTCATCTTTGGGTTACATTAGAATATCTACTTTTTGCATGTGTTTTCTGGGATGGTGGGATGGAAGCGAGTTAAGGAGGGAGAGAAAAGGGCCCATAAGGAGGGAGAGAAAAGGGCCCAGGTTGACCATTCTTAAGCAAACGCAGTCTGCTGATTTGTTTGATTGCCCACTTTCCTTGCTTGGAACCCAGTATACTTGCGCTCCCCCGTTTTCACCACCTGCACGCAGGTTATACCTTTCCTGACCCCGCACTTCCTTCACACCCCTTTGCCTGTGACTAGTCATCATCAAGTCCTGGTGGCTCAGACTCTGAGATCCATCCTGAAATTTACCTCCTTCTCTCCATTTCCACCACCATCACTCTAGTTCCCACCACCATCACTCTAGTTCCCACCATCATCATCGCTCAGCCAGACCACTGCAACACTCTCCTACCTGGTCTTCCAATTTCTAACTTGTCCCCTATAATGGATTCTCTATTCTGAAGCCTGCTTAGAACTCCACCATTGGAAGCCAAGTTTCTGTGAGATTTCTCTTTCAAATAGAGCTCTTGTAAGTATACTAGGATGGGATACTGGTTGGGAAATGTGAATTGCTTGCCTCATGGGACTCACTTATCTATTTATTTGAGGAAAATGTTACCAAGTATCTACTATATGCCCAAATCTAGGAGCTAGGAGCTGGGCATATAATGATGGAAAAGACAGATGCAGTTTTTACACCCGTGGTGGTTACAGTCCAGTGCAGTGGTTCTCAAACTTCAGCATCCACCAACTTACTAGGACACATTGAGAAAACAGCAGTGGGCTCTACCCTCAGAGTTTCCCAAGTGATGCTGGTGCTGCTTGTCTGGGACCACATTTTGAGAATCAGTGTTATAATGGAAGAGAAAGACACAAACAAAGTAAAATCACTGCCAATTATAATATATGTTATAAAGGAAGAACGAGGGGCTGGAGAGGGATCTACTCAAGGTTAGGTGGGCAGGGAAGTTCTCTCTGGAAAGGTGATACTTAGGATTACACCTAAAGGAAGAGTGGGGCTCGCTATGTCTGGCAAAGAACAGAAAAATGAGCATGGACAAAGACATTGAGGTGAGAACAAACTTAGTGTATTTGAGAAACTAAAGAAAACTGGTGTAGCTGGAGCACAGAGAGAGAAAGATGAGGTTCAAGAAAGATGTAGGGATGAGATCCTGTTGGGCTTTCGCAGCTTCAGTGATGATTTTATTCTGAATGCAAAGAGAAGCTTCTGAAGAACTTCTAGGCTAGCTGTGGAATAGACAATGGATGTTAGGGGTCAAGACAGAAATTGGGACACCAGCTAGGAAACAGTTGCTGTGGCCCAGGTGAGAGAAGGTAACAGCTAGGACTAGGATGATGGCATTGGGAATGGGAGAAGGAGATGCATGAGAGGATGGATCTTGGAGGCTGAGCCAACAGGACTTGGTAATGGGATGTGGGCAGAAGGTGTGAGGGAGAACAAGCAGAGTGAAAATGGCTCGTAAAATTATTCCATTAAATAAAACAGTGTAATGGGATTTGTTTTAAGAAAAAAAAAATCTACTCAGGCAGATGTACTCCTTAGGTATCTTTGCTTGCCCTAAAGCATGCACTGGATGCCCCAAAGGGAGGGTTCCTGGTGCTGTTTTCTGTTTGTGGACTCGCTCTTGAACTCCCAGATGATAGCCACTCCCCACACCTCCTCACGTCACTCTCAGTTCTGCTGGTTAACTTGTTGCTCACCTTCTTGTCTTATAATTATGTGGATAACTTTATTATAAATTCTGAAGAATGTGCCTGGCATTTGGAAGAGTAGGCATAAAAATCAACTGGAGAGTGGCTGGGCGTGGTGGCTCATGCCTGTAATCCTAGCACTTTGGGAGGCCGAGGCAGGTGGATCACCTGAGGTCAGGAGTTTGAGACCACCCTGACCAATATGGTGAAACCCCATCTCTACTTACTAAAAATACAAAAAAATTAGCTGGGCATGGTGGCATGCACCTGTAATCCCAGCTACCTGGGAGGCTGAGACAGGAGAATTGCTTGAACCCGAGAGGGGGAGGTTGCAGTGAGCTGAGATTGCGCCACTGCACTCCAGCCTGGGTGACAGAGCAGGATCCTGTCTAAAAAACAAAACAAAACAAACAAACAAACAAAAAACTGGAGAGCTCAAAAAATGTGCATATCCCCAAGTGCTGTCCCTAGGGATGCGTTGTCTGGATGGAGCTCAGGAGTCTGAGTTTTCACTGGGCAAAGAGTGATGCTGATGCAGGTGAGCAAAGCAGCTTTATATCTCACCACCCAAAGTGTGATCCCTGAAACAGCTGTATCAGCATCACTTGCAAACTTGCTAGCAATGCAGACTCTCAGGCCCACCTCTAACCTTCAAAATCAGAATCTGCATTTTAATAAGACTTGAGTTCAGTTGCACAGTAAATTTGAGAAGCCCTGCTCTAATTGGTACAGCAAAACTCGTCTCCATTGTCTCTCATCATGAATTTTGGAGAAGTCAAGGGCCTGCCTTGGGTCCTTGGGTACTCTGGCTATTTCTTTTTATAATATTGTTCAGTTTTATTTGCATAAACCAGTTCAGGCTCTGCTTCTCCTTTCTCCTGTGCCCTGGGTAGGATGGGCACATCCTGGGCACAGTCCCAGGGAGGGACTGATGGATTCCTCTTTCTCTGGGCAGTGAGAGAGCGCCTCAACAGTCCTGCTTCTTCTTGACCCTCAGGAGACCCCTCCACCTGCTGCAGTTTTATTGCTTTTAAAATCTATTTTATATTCCATTATGTGATTCCACTGTCCTCCCTCTCATTCAGCTGTTTTACACGCTACATTCTAATCTAGGTTCAGAACATTTCATCAGATGGTCTCCGATTAAAATCCAATAAAATTTAAAGCAGGGGAAAGTCCAGAATAAAGGAGATGCCATCTAACATGCAGGGTCTGAATTTAATTCTGTTTCAAGCCTTCTGAACACATTTTGGGTACTGCCTCTGAGGCCTGTATTCAAAATGAAACAAAACAATAAAACCACCTCCCCCTGCCTCTTGTCCAACAACTTCTTTTGTGTCTTTAACCTTAGGAACCAAATGTTGTCTCTGAGGACCTCAAGTGCTTAGTACATTTATTAAATACTTATTATGCGCTACGTGTGTATAACAAATATTCTTTCTTTTATCTGCATATCTATCACCAGCACTCCTCCCACCACCACTATCTATCTATCTGTTATCCGTTTTGTAGCACAACTGCAGTTTCCAGGCCCTTGGAATCAATCTTTTTTTATTTTTTATTTTTATTTTGAGATGGAGTCTGGCTCTGTTGACCAGTCTGGAGTGCAATGGTGTGATCTCGACTAACTGCAACCTCTGCCTTCCAGGTTCAAGAGATTCTCCTGCCTCAGCCTCCTGAGTAGCTGGGATTACAGGCATGCACCACCACTACTCCTGGCTAATTTTTGTATTTTTAGTAGAGATGGGGTTTCTCCATGGTGGCCAGGCTGGTCTCGAACTCCTGACCTCAGGTGATCTGCCCGTCTCAGCCTCCCAAAGTGCTGGGATTACAGGAGTGAGCCACCGTGCCCAGCCTGGGATCAATCTCTATGCCCTATGCACCAGCTTGTTCCCTGACCACCTCCTTCCCTCCCTGTTCTCCTCATAGCTGTCCCCACTGCGTAACTCTGCCTCTGCGGATGGTGCTTTCTCTGCTTGGCACCATTTCTCTCCTCTCACAGGCAGCATCACTGCAGCCTCTAACACTTAGGCAAAAACCAGAATTAGGGAGTTAGAAGAGCTCTATTCTGTTTATCCACAACAAATGCCTATTATGGAAGATAGATTGTCAACCCATTTGCAATAAATGTTTTCTCGTCACATTTCTAAATATATGTAATTAGATGCATCCAATTTATATTTACTCTCTGCCCCTTCATAATTATGCTCCCTCCCATTTTGGGAAGAAGAATGCATCCTCCACATAATTTGCTTTCCTTTATAATAGCAAAAAATGCTGCACCCAAGCACACTGTGACGTGCACGCTGACACCTTCACTCAGAATCTCCATTATAATTCTTAGCATAAAGAATTTTTGCTTTATGCAGCATTTCTTTTTCTAGGAACTTAAGGAATTGTCATAATTGCCAGGGACAAAGCATGAGCAATGTGGTAGGAGAGACAGAGTGCAATTAATTTTGTCATTGATTTGGGGATGGTCTCTCTTCCCTGGTAAAGTAGGCTAGCACATTCCTCCATCTTGCCTTAACATACATTAAAATGAGAGTGTTGAGAGGTGGGGGTGGGAAGGAGGCCTAAGTGCATGAATACAGTCATACTATTTATGTGTAATTATTTTCTGTATAGGCTACCAGAGTGGGCGTGAGGGAAGGGAGCTGAGTTAAACCTCAGCATGGTTGCTTTTGTTGTTTGCTAAACTGGAGGAGGGGAAGAACTACAGGGAGGTTCTGTATTATCTGTTATTCAGTTTTAAATATTTCAATTATACTTCTCCATTCGTACGGAAAATTGAGAGTTGGCTATAAAATGCTTGTAAAAATAACCATACTTGGAGCAGTTTAATTACTTTAATGAAATGGAGACAAATATTTGTAAGTGAAGAGCATGCTTATAGATAATGCAAGTAGAGTACATGTATTATGCAGCAAATGACTTAATTAGTTTTTAATTAGCAGAAATTACAATAATTTTTTAGCATATCTTTTATTGGAATGGTTTTTAATAATAAAAAAGCGTGTGGGTGTCCTTCATAGAAAGCCATTTACTGCAAAGTAGGATAACAGATTTGTTGTTTCAACTAGAAAAATTTCAGTTCTATTATAAGCTAATTATAGTTCAACTTGTCTTAGGAATGCTCAACATACTGTTTCCTGTATGTCGTTTGTAGTATGTACACATCCAAATACAGGAAACAACTTGAAGATGCCTTAGCTTCTAGATTCTATCACCTTTTGAAAATTTGTAGGTTTCCCTCTATCCATCCATTGTTCCATACATTTATCATTCACTCATGCATGTATTTAATATTTATGGCTTGCTAGGAATAGTACCAGATATTGGAGATTTAAGGGTTTCTAAGACCCAGGGCTTTTGAAGAGTTCAAAGTCCAACAGGGGGAGCACACACATAAATGAATAATTATAATTAATTTAGTAAATGGCATCCTACAGCCAAGTATCAAGTGGTTTTAAAATAAAAATGAAGAAACAACCAATTCTTACTCAGGGCTTCAAAGAATGTCACCTAGAAGAACTGATTTTCAAGTTCCTGTAAGGCCTTCCAAGCAGTCAGATATTAAGCAGAAAAAAAAGGGGATCTGGAAATGCCTGATGTATTTAGGAAACAATCCGGGCTAGAGCAAGGGTTTTCCAGGGCCGTGAATGGAATGTAGTTTAAATTAATATATCTCTAATTATTAAAGTAATAATGATCATTATGGAAAGTTTGGAAAAACAAGTTTTATAAAGAGTGAAATAAAAATCACTTATAATCTTATATATTGTTCACAGTTTCATACTTTTTAATTATTTTTCTTTGCTACAAACTCACTTTAAAAATGATGATTGTGCTATATAAATAGCTGTATATTCTGCTTCTTTTATTGAGTGCATTGTAAGCATTTCCCCATGTCATTCCAATTCCTTGTGAATGTAATTTTTAATGACTGTGTAACAGTCCATGATATGCATGTATGTATGGCCTCTAATTTATTTAAGCAGTCCTCTATCATGAGCATTTTTATTGCTTCCATTTATTACTATAATAAATAATGCTATAATAAACATATTTGCACATAAATTTGCCTGCATTTCTGATGATTTCCTTAGGGTAGTTATCTAGAATTGAAATTACTAAATCAAAGAGTATAAAAATTTTAAGATGTTTAATGCATATTGTCTTAGTGTTTTCACAATGGGTGGCGTGGGCAATTGCAGTATAAAATATATACGTGCTATTGGACAATAGGGCATTTTTATAATGTTTTCATGGTTTTAATATTTTCCAGCCTGATAGAGACAAAAAAGTATTTCGTTGCTGATATAGTTTCCATTACCTTAATTATAATTATTTTTATTTAGCATATTTTTAGCAGCTACTAGTGATGGGCGCTGTGGTTTTAGCAGTCACTTTTATTTGTTTGTTGGAATTGTCTATGTTTTTTTCTCTATTTTCCTGTGGCATTTTCATATATTCATTATTGATTTCTTATTTGTTGACATATAAACTAGAAACAAATATATCAAAAATATTCTTTGAGATGTCTTCCATTCATTCATGTTCTTAATATTGTTTGACCTGGAGTTCTCAGGATCCCTCAGGTAGTCTTGCTACCATATGCCAATAGGTTTCTCAGTCTTTGCTATGGGAAAACATATACTTCATCTGTGAACAGTGTGGTCTAATTTATTATTTAGAAATATATATATATACACACATATATATGTGTGTGTGATATGTGTTGTGTGTATATGTATACATATATATGAGTTATAACAGTGGAAAAGAGAATGAGTTCTTAAGATGTTCACTAGCTTTATATTATGTCATCAAAATGTTTGCATATTGACTACTTTGTAAAATCTTGTTTAGAGATTGGGAAGCCCACTTCGTGGAGATCTAGATGACAAAAGGAAAAAGTGATTGAATGTGATAACTGTCAATCATCTGGAGTATAATGGGGGCTATGATTTCTCAAGGGAGAGATGAAGGGACCAGGTCATATCACTTGAATATAGTTGCACCTAAACAACTATCATGTGGCGTATGTGGGGTGTGTGTGTGTGTGTGCGCGCAGATATGTCTTCACTTTGGCTCAGGTCTGTGCAACAGTTCAAGGAGAAGTGATATCTGATGACTTCTTAATGTTATCTTGAGTAGAGAATAAAGGAACTTTGTTAAAAATATGTCTGATAGGTATCTGGGCCTTTCAATCACTGCCTTTAAAAAAGAACCTATTAATTAATTTGGGGCAAAGCAAGGAAAAAAGAATATTGATCTTTAGCCAAAAATTATCCTAAATCCTCTGATTCTAGTAATCTGTGTCAAATAACTTCACCAGCAAATTAAAAGGCAAATAATAAACAGGAAAAATATTTGGAATAACTAATATCCTGAAGAAAAAGTTCCCCATTCTTCTTTTAAGGTATTTAAAAAATATGTTCTTATCTGTTCATTTTTCCAAATAAAATTTAGAATAATTTGTCAAGCTCTACACCTTTTCCTTCAAAAAAATCTAATAAGAAATAATTAGAAATGCAGAAAAGATTAACGTATGAATTTTTTATAGTACGTATGTTTATCATAGATTTGGTGAAT
Source organism: Homo sapiens (assembly GCF_000001405.40). Lineage (NCBI taxonomy): Eukaryota > Metazoa > Chordata > Mammalia > Primates > Hominidae > Homo > Homo sapiens. Next base: position 118,819,053 of record NC_000003.12, on the reverse strand, counting down.
TGACATTTGAGATCAATGAGTTAATGCTTAATGAACACACGAGCCTCCAAATGTCTCATGATATCACACAAAAATAAGACATCAAGTAAGCCCTCTCTCAAATGGGACAGGTGAGCACCCCATCCCTGACACAGCTCTCACTAAAAGCATAGTCAAAAAAAATTGCCAAATGCATGTCATTCCACCATGAACCAGGCCACAGGCCTAGCAGGAAGATTGCATATAGAACTATTCTTTGCTAAATGAGGTTCCTTGGCTCAGTCCAAACAGAGGAATGAAAATAAGGTCTCCGATGTTTTGTGGACAGGAGCTCACACAAGAAATTACAAGCAGATTTTGGACAGTTTGGGGATGGGGTGAGGTGGTCTGATTTGGATGATGTAATTATTTCAACTGCAGTGTGATGAGGCCAGCTTGGCAAAAGTATTTTCTATGTAAACATGTTGTCCCTGAAGGACTTAGTGATGAATCAACACATGGGCATGGCATGGGCCTGGCTCAGTGGTCCAGACAATTGTGGCTGCCTATTTCATCAGGCATTTGGTGCCACGATTCTATTTACTTTTGAACTCTAGCACACTTTTGCTGAGAAATCAACTGCTTAGAAGTTATTTAGAAGTGAATGGATCATTTGTTTGACTGACTCTTGATTCTAACTCTTTTACCTTTTCAGCATACTCATCTTTACAATATTCTCAGTTCCTGAGAAGGCTTAGTAACTACTGAGCTTTCTCTGGAAGCTTCACAATTAACTTCACATTAATGCTTATCACAAATGAACCTCTCTCCTTGTCTGTGAAATGGGATCAATATATTGTCTGCCTAACTCATAGTGTTGTTTTGATAATAAAATAAAATTATGTATGTGAAAAATGCTACACAAATGTGAGATATTCTCATACCTCAATATTAGGTTTTCGCATTCATCAATAAAGATACCCTTGAAATGCACCAGAGGACTGGCCTCATTTTGCATTTTGCCCTCTCTGGGATAAAACAAACATGCTCTTTCAAAAGTAGTCTATTTTAGTCAAAGTAGCCATCATCACTCTGGTGATGAAATTCTGGAGCCTTGTGATTTGTATCCAACATTGTTTACCTCCACAGCAAGGGTATGTTTTACTATACGTGGTGCCAAACAGGTAGTACTTTGTGAGTTCCTGCTTCTCACCACAAGGTGGTGCCAGTGTATCCAATAAGACAGTTTACTCAGCGACTGAATCAAAAATCCTCTTCCTTTCAGCCCTAATTTATGATCAGGATTTACAACCCGTTTCCGTAACTTTACCTTTCCTAAGCCATCAATTCTGTTTCTCTTTTAAAGATTCTCTTCTTATGAAACTTCTTTTTTTTTTTGAGGATTAAGTTGGCTTAGTGACAAATTCATGCCTACATTTTGAATTATTGACTGTGGATATCCTCAGGGGTCAGTGCTGGCCTTTCTTCCCTGAGATTCAACAACACCCAATGTTGAACTTATTTGCAGAATGTCACCGTCAGGGTCTGATCTTAAATGTGTTGTGACGAATGGTCAAATGGGAGGAGGGTGTGAAGGCATTTTCTGGGCTGCTGAGTTATGCACTGTGAAGGAGCTGCAGGCTCCATATCAGAAGACCCGTGTGACCATGGGCAAGCCACTTGACCTTTCTGAGCCTCAGTTCATCATCTCTAAAATGGCAATCATGGTAACAGCAATCTTTTTGGACTATTATGAAAATTAAGGGTAAGCAATAATGTCTTTTCTCATCTGTAGAATGCTATGATAATAGTTCCTTTTTAGGGTGGTAGATAGTAAACAAGAGAAAACATACAAAACTCCTAAGAAAAATACCTGCAACTTAGAGGGCGCTCAGTGAACATTTTAGTGACGATTGTAGTCACTAATGTCATCACATGCCAGAGGTTCTGTGCGTGGAGCTGGGGTCGAGCTGGAGGAACACTGAGACCTCTGCTCTTAGATTCCTTAGCTCTCTATAATTGTAGATAACTATTTCCCTGTTAGGCATGAAGCTGGTCATCTTGCTGCATTTGAAGTGGTAGGAGGTTTTGTCTTTTTATTTTCCTACTCCTTTTTTCCTTGTTTTACTTAAAGGGAGAATAAATTATTTCCATGTCAACTTCCCTCCTTTTTAAGGATGTGAATTTCAGCTGTAAAAACACCCGAATAAGAAGGCAGGGGACCTAGTTTTCCTCCTAGCAGTGTTGTCAAGGAGGATTGTGAGGTTAGAGAGAGCTGGCCTGGAAGCCAGGAGACTCCAGATTTAGAGACTTGGAAATAAAATTGCATATATATTTAATGACTGGCATTCTCTGATTTATTGATTACTCAAAATGGGAATGGTAACATTTTTTACTCCTATCAGATAGGAATGTTATAAAGGTTAAAATGAACATGCAAGATGTGAATGATAATATTGAGGTTCTAGATGTCAGTGCTACAGATAGAGGTTATTGGTATATGATAGTAGGTGTGTGTTGGGTGAGAGAGGTCATGCTTTGTGAATGCTGATTGAACAAAATATGATTGACCTGGCAATTTCCATGATAAAATCAGGAAATGAGGTTTTTGCATGTTCTCTCTTTCTTTCTCTCACTCACACACACATATACACCCTCCACACCCTAGTTCCAGTTTTAAATATAGGACAATTGTTTGTCCCAATGGAGTTGAAAATGGAACAAACACTAAAATTTGGGTCATTTCCAACTGTATTTGGGATACCTAGCAGTTTTGCTCTTGGAGGAACATGAACATTATTTTCTAAGGCAGGGATCAGCCCATAGCCTCTCCTTAAGAAATCTAGTGGCACAAAACCTGCCTAAACCTGAATAGGTATGAGGCATGGAATAATTCAAAGAGCAGATAATAAAAAAGGAAAGAAAGTGGGAATGAGAGAAAGAGAAGAGGAAGGCAGAGAAAGGACAAAGAGAGAGTGGTGCATTGTGGGGAGTGAAGACAGTCCCCGGCTGTGTTCAGATGTGCGGTAGAGGAAAGACTAGAAGCTTGGGAGTTAGGAGACCCAGGGCAGGAATCCCAGTTGTGCTGCCTGGTGACCCTGTGGCCCTAAGCAATTTACTTAACCATTCTGATGATCAGTTCCCTTAATTCTAACGTAGGGTTAATAATATCGATCTTTGCATGGTTGTAGTAAGTTTAACAGGACACAATGTCCTGGTACTAATTTGTGGGTGTGTGTGTATGTCTGTGTGCTCTTACCACACTGGTGGTCTCCCACTATGAGGAAAGCAGTAGTAGGCTTCCATTACATTGCTCAGTGGTCTGTTTCCCATTGCCAGCTGTTCTTTGTCTTATTGCCATCATAGAAAAGTAATCCTGGGAGCTGGGGTGTGGTGTGATGGCGGACTTGGGGATTACGGAAAGTCATCCCAAGGAGAATGTACAGGTGAGGCTAAACAAGATGGAGGTGAATGCCTGCCCTACCCATCTGGAGAGTGTCCCTTCAAAGGCCAGCTCTGCTGAAGCTTAAGTGAATTGCTATATGTTGTTGTCATATGCAAAGACTTCCCTTGAGAGCATCCATTCTTGTCAAAATATGCAAAATAAATAGTCCAAGGACAATAGTCTCCAGAGTCCCTTTCAAGCTAACTTTGAACACAAAATTAATACTACCTTGGGGTAATTTTTCAAACACACATGAGTAGACCTAATCATGCCGTTAGTCTCTGATATAGCTTGGACGTTTGTCTCCTCCAAATCTCATGTTGAAATGTGATCCTCAGTATTGGAGGTGGGGCCTGGTAGGAGGAGTCTGGGTCATGGAGGTGGATCCTTCATGAATGGCTTGGTGCCATCCCCTTGGTAATAAGTGAGTTCTCGTTTAATTAGTTTATGTGAGAATTGATTGTTTAAAAAGTGTGGCATTTCCCTTCTCTCTCCTGTTCCCTCTTGCTGTGTGACATGCCTGCTCCCTGTTAACCTTTCACCGTGAGCAAATGTTTTCTGAGGCCTCACCAGAAGCCAAGCAGATGCTGGTGCTGTGCTTGCATAGCCTGCAGAGCCATGAGCCAAATAAACCTCTTTTATTTATAAACTACTTGGTCTCAGGTCTTGGTCTTTATAACAATGCAAAATGGACTAATACAGTCCCCATCTCACCATTCAAACAATAAGGGTATATTGGAGGGTATTAAATATCTTGCTTAAATCAAGGCATACTATGTTTGCAATTTCCCTAAAGTTTTTTAGCTTAGTGAGTAATTCTTTTTTGCCTTTATTTTTATTTTTTATTTTTTAAATTATTTGGTCTGCAGATGAATAGCCTATTAAGTAAGTCTAACAAATACATTGTGTCTTGAATATTTTGAAATCATTTTTTATAAAGTATGCACTAAATTTTCTGAGAATTGATAAGTAATGTGTTGTTCTATAGTTTAGTAGAACCATTTTTTTCTTCCTTTTAAAAACTTAAGAGTTATTCCATATTCAGTCTTCTTATACAATGTCTGTTCTTTGTGATTTTATCATACTAACAGAGTAGCTCTGAAATACAGATGCAAATTCCTTTAGCACCTGAGATATAATGAGTCTGGGTTCTGCTACAAGCTTTTTTCCTTTTAAAATACAATAGTAATTCTTTATTAGAATAGGAATAGCACTAGATAAATTTAAATTTTGTCTAAAAAATTTGAAAGTACTTCTAGATGCATTATCTCGTGTGATCCTACAACCACTTGTGAGGTTTGTGGCACTGGTGTTATTCTCTATTTTAAAGACAAGGAAGCAGACTCAGGGAGGCTAGGTAGCTTGCTCAAAGATCCCACTGTGACCAGTTGGAAGAACCTGGTTCTGCAAACCATGGATCTCTAACTTGACTTTTGAACGTCTTGTTATAAATGTGTTTTATTGTGTGTCTGTTATTTTCAAAAGAAACTAAACTATAGATAGACAAGAATACACACATAACACCCAGACACCCAGACACCCAGACACACACACACACACACACACACACACACAGTGTTGTCCAATAGAATATTCTGTGATGACACAAATTGTTCTATGTCTGTACTATTCAATTCTGGTAGCCATTAGCCACACGTGGCTATAAAGCACTTAAAATGTGGCCAGTGTGACTGAGAAACTGATTTTTCATTTATTTAATTTTAATTGAAATATTGACAGGCTAAAGAAGCTTTTCCCCAGGAGTAAGTGGGGCAGGACTCCTCACCCAGAACTCCTTTCCCCAGGGTTAGGACAATAGCTAAGTCCACCCTCTGGGGGAAGGGAGGGAGAACAATAAAGGGGATACCCCTGACGGCCCTGAACATCCACCTGAAGGAGACTGTTTTAAACCACAAGTGATTGATTGGTGGCTTTATAGGGGCAGGCAAATGGAAATGGGGGCTCGAGAGTATGGGGAATTAAGCTCCATTTCTTCACATCTGAGTCATAATGCGCAAATTTTAAATTCACTGCATGAGCAAACCTCAGGTCCTTTGGGGCTTTTTCCCTGCTGAATTGTTCTTATAGGGTTGTGCAGTCCTGCGTATGAGTCTTTGGTTCTGTGCTCCACTGCTTTCTAATTCTGCACATCTGAAAGTGTGGTTCTCATCAAGGAATTCTCCGTATAGGCAATTGGATTCATTGAAACTGCTTAGAAAGTACAGGCTGGGCGCGGTGGCTCACGCCTGTAATCCCAGCACTTTGGGAGGCCGAGGCAGGCGGATCACGAGGTCAGGAGATTGAGACCACGGTGAAACCCCGTCTCTACTAAAAATACAAAAAATTAGCCGGGCGTGGTGGCGGGCACCTGTAGTCCCAGCTACTCGGGAGGCTGAGGCAGGAGAATGGCGTGAACCCGGGAGGCTGAGCTTGCAGTGAGCCGAGATCGCGCCACTGCACTCCAGCCTAGGCGACAGAGCCAGACTCCGTCTCCACACACAAAAAAGAAAGTACAGAAGGCTTTCTGACCACCCCCATCAGCATCCCCCAGCCAGGGGTCCTACAAGGAAGCAGATGTGGTGTGAAGAACATGGGCTCTGGCACCAGGCTGCCTAGGTTCACATTCCTGCTGTGCCATTTATTAGCTGCATGACCTTGGGCAAGCACTGAAGGGCTCTGTGCCTCCATTTCCTCATCTGTAAAATGGAGGTGATTAATAATAGTGCCCACCTCATAGGGTGAATATATTTAATAGTACCCAGCACAGTGACTACCATATCAGTATTTATTGTTAATATGGTTGTTTTAGGTTCAGCTCCACTTTGGTCTCAAGGGCCAATTATGTTTCCAGGAAAGGCAGGGAGATTTAAGGAACACTATCTTTTCTTTCAGCAGCTGTACAATGAGAGCTTTACTCCAAGTCCTGGCCTACACAGCAGGGTGCTTACCTAGTTCCTGGAGTCTTATCCCGGGTGCTCAGACACCATGAGGCAGCCTCTAGCTGCAGTGAGTCTTTTTCAGGCCTGACCCCTGTCTGACTGCTGGTGGCCCATGCCAAACTCTTATGATGCTCACAACACCTGCATACACTTCTGCTGTCGAATTCTAAAAGCTTGGTCCACTGCCCCACTCTGGTGGGTTTGTCCATTTCCTAGGTTCCAACATCTTGGTTGTCTGCTCCCTCTGGCCTCTCAGCATGTTTCCTTTTTATTTTAAACAGGCATTATTTTGGGGGTCTCCAATGTACCAGACACTGTACTAAATGCTGGAGATACAGATTTTCATAATTTTTGGAGTCTCCAAAAATGGTTGCTAATTTGTACTCTAAAGGATGAAATACTGAGTGTCACCACTCCCTTGACGGCTACTTTACCTTTAGAGAGACATACCTCAATAGCCATAGGTGGGAAGGAAAAGGGAAGCTAAAATTCAAAGAGCTGACATCACCAGGACTTCTATCTCTTATTTCACATTTGTCCTGCTTCCTGACTCCATCCACCTACCCTTTGCAAAGGATGGTGTGTGGTCAGGATGAGATGAATGGAATCCCGAATCTTATCTACAGCAATCCACCAAAATGGGAATAGTATGGTGTAGTGGAACTCCCAAATTTTGAAATGTGTATGTAACTCTCCAGTTTTGAAATGTGTATGTAAAATCTTGAATTTATACATTAGATCCTTGTTTCAGATCTACGACTCTGCTTGTTTGTGGTCTAATCAGTTATTCAATAAAAATTTACAGAGAGAATCATGAAGACACACACCCACAAACATGCCTTTTTGGCTTATTTGCTTTTTTAAATATAAGCAGTTTAACCTGGGCATTATTTACCAGGTACTGTCTTTGAGGAAAGAGATGTAGGTTCGAAAAATTTATTGGCTCTGGAAGTTCAGTCCCCGCTGGAGGAACCCAAGAGGGCAGTGGTGAAAACTTCAAGGTTGGGAGATGATTGTGGATGAAGGAAAATGTAAACTCTAGTGGATATTTACACTACTAAGAAATGCCAGTACTTGGAACAGAGCAGAGAAACAAACAGAAGGGGTAAGAACAAAAGGAAAAAAAACCAACCCTGCTTGTTAATATGTATATTTTACATGGCATCTTTGAAGATGAAGCTACCGCTTACATTGCTTTACTCCAATTCACTGAGTTTTACAAGACCACAGGGGGACGTGTTCCAGTTTGAACAAGCTGAAAATGTCTTAAAGCTGACAGAATAATGAGTATTTTTTCTTTGTTTAATATTTTTGATCCAGATCGGATAACTGTGGTTTCTGTCATTTCTATCCAACATGCCTTTTGCTATTTTTCAGCTGTGTTTCTTTGACTTACTAGAACATTTAATTTCTTGCATGTATAAAAAGAAAGCCAAATAAAAGTAATTATTTCAAGTTATTATTAAACAATTTCCAAAATCATGCATTGAATATTTGATTCTCGGGCTAGCTAGTTAATGTTAAAACTGATGGTTCTGATGGAATATTTTTTCTCTTTCTTTTTCACTTTGTTCTAGCTGTATTTCTATTCTTGATTTGAAGATTAAACTGTCACTGATATTTGGTCTTCCACACCTGGATAGTCAGAAGGGGACAGAGGGAAATCTTTTCAGGACAAAGGTGTATCTAGATAAGCCCATTTGGGATTGGATTTGAAATAGGTAACTGATATGGCTTGGCTCTGTGTCCCCCGCAAATCTCATCTTGAATTGTAATCCCCACGTGTGAGGGCAGGACCTGGTGGGAGGTGATTGGATCATGGGGGCGGTTCCCCCATGCTGTTCTCGTTATAGGGAGGGAGTTCTCACGAGATCTGATGATTTTAAAAATGGCAGTTTCCCCTGCGCTTTTTCTCTCTCCTGTGCCTTGTGAAGAAAGTGCCTGCTTCGCCTTCACCTTCGGCCATGATTGTAAGTTTCCTGAGGCCTTCTCCGCCTGCAGAGCTGTGAGTCAATTAAACTTCTTTTGTTTCTAAATTACTCAGTCTCAGGTAGTATCTTTATAGCAGTGTGAAAGCGGACTAATACAGTAACAGAGTCAACACATGGAAAATGATTTTTTATTTTTGCTGGCCCTGAGATGACTGGTTTTCAGAGAGAGCTTTATTCATAGCATATTTATTATTATTATTATTCATTGTTGCAATTTATTAATTTCCTAATGTGTGCTATGAAACGAGGTTCAGAGAAGTTAGGTAATTTGTCTAAGGTCACTCAGCTGCTGTGAAAACCCAGCTTTATTTGTTTCCAAAGCTTGTTCTTGTTTCACAGCGCACTTTCTCTGTTTTTAAACTTGGGGACTTTATATCAGAAATCCCCTAAAGGCCTAGATATTTTTGCCTTTCAGTGTAGGACTTTGGGAGGGATTAGGTCATGAGAGTGCAGGGTTTTTTTTTTTGTTTTGTTCTGTTTTTTTTTTTTTTTTGACAGTGATATGGTTTCGCTGTGTCCCCCCACCCAAATCTCATCTTGAATTGTAGCTCTTGTAACTCCCACGTGTTGTGGGAGGTACCCAGTGGGAGATAATTGAATCATGGAGGCTGTTTCCCTCATATAGTTCTTGTGGTAGTGAATAAGTCTCATGAGATCTGATGGTTTTATAAGGGGAAATCCCTTTTGTTTGGTTCTCATTCTCTTTCTTGCCTGCCACAATGTAAGACGTGCCTTTCACCTTTACCATGATTGTGAGGCCTCCCTAGCCACGTGGAACTGTGAGTCCATTAAACCTCTTTTTCTTTATTGATTATCCAGTCTCAGGTATGTTTTTATCAGCAGTGTGAAAATGGACTAATACAGACAGGGCGTGGTTCTGTTGCCGAGGCTGGAGTGCAGTGGAACCATCATAGCTCACTACAATCTTCCCCTCCCGGGCTCAAGCCAGTTTCTGACCTCAGCCTTCCAAGTAGCTGGGACTACAGGCATGTACCACTATGCCTGGCTAATTTTTGTATTTTTTGCAAATACAAATGGGGTCTCACCATGTTGCCCAGGCTGGTCTCAAACTCCTGAGCTCAAGTGATCCTCCCACCTCAGCCTCCCAAAGTGTTAGGACTACATACATGAGCCACAGTGGCTTGGCCTAGGGTGGAGCTTTGATGAACGGGATTTGTGCCCTAAAAAAAAGGGACCCATGAGAGCTCTATATAGCCCTCTTTCTTCCAAGTAAGGATACAATGAGAAGTCAGCAGCCTGCAACCCGAAGCGGCCCCTCACCAGAATCTGACCATGCTGGAACCCTGATGATGGGTGCTCCAGCCTCTAGGACTGTGAGGAATACATGTCTGTTGTTTATAAGCCACCTAGTTTATGGTACTTTCTTATAGAAGTCCTAACTGACAAAGACAAGTGCTATTTTGCCCTTCTTTGTAATTTACAAAGAAGTTCATCTGTCTCACTTCATTTTTGCTTGGCAGGAGTATTTGATTCAATTTTACAGATGAGGACAGAGAAGCTAGAATATATTCTAGAATCTGTTGTCCTTTCCACCTCTCTGGGTGCAAGAACACATGTGCCAGGCCTTGTACCTTGGACTTATCTAGGAGCATCAAACCAGGAGACAGGCAAGAGGGTCTCTGCCCTGGGCCTGGCCCTCACCTGCATCCTCTGGAGCTTCCTGTGCAATCTCATTTGGCTTCTCTGTCCCTGCTATTGCTCTCTGCTTGTGTTGCTTGCCTGTGAGTCAAGACCTATTGCAGTTCCACTGGTTGCCTCCTGTGTATGCATCAACATTCCACACTTGTCAAGTGTCAAGTCTTCGTTCCTATCCTTCCCATCTCGTTAGGCTTTGTTCTGTTTCCTTTATCATTGTTTGCTGGTTGCAACAGCAGCTTGCAGCCCAGTTATGCTCTGTGGCATTTCAGGGGCGTGATGAGGTAGATTGCGGGGCGGGGTGGGGGTGGGGGTGGGAAGAAAACTAACTCAGCGACTGGGACTCTGGTCTCACTGGCTGTGTGGTCCTGAGAGTTCATTTTTTTCTCTCTGTGCCCCATTCTTTTATTGTTAGAATAGGGTCACTGAGTTTCTCCCTGGTACTAACATGCTCTGGCTCAAATGTGATGTTTGTGGAAGGTTAGAGGCTCACCTCCTCAACTTTCTGGGTATGCTTATTTTGTTGCTTAGAACAGGTAATGCTAAGGATAGTTAGGAGCTTTATATATATATATATATTTTTTTTCCGACGGAAAAGACAGAAATTGCATTTACATAAAATATTGATACACCAAAGGGATGCTGCACTTATCTGTGCCGCCATCTGCCCTCAATGGAACACAACAGAAGTGAGAAGTCCCCAAAATGCAGTGCAGCGTGCCACTGCTAAAGCAAAAGTTAAATAAAAAACACCCCACAAGGCCAATTCCACAAGCTCAAACTTGGTTGTGAAGAAGAAAAAGCTAGGAGACAGGGACAACTCTATGGGGAATTTTATTACCTTTTTTTTTTCTTTTTTTAATGTAAAAGCTCTGAAAAGCAGAGTTCTATTTTTCACCTGGAGTATAGCAGAAAGACTGGACAATAGACCCTTTGGGTGTTATAAATGTGTAAATGTGGCACAAAAATTCTGTATAAAATGTTGACAATATTTCCTTGAGGTTGTAATCCTGATTTGGATTTTTGTCACTCATTCTCCACTCTCTACTCTCATTCCTGTGAAAGAGGGTGGGAATGCCCTGTTTTCTCAAGCTTTTACCTTATATATGTTTACAAGTTTTTCCCTGGAATCCCAATTTCAACACTTTTACACTTTTAAAAAAATTCTATTTTACAATTTTTTATTTCCATAAGTTTTTGGGTAGCAGGTGGTATTCAGTTACATGAGTAAGTTCTTTAGTGGTGATGCCTGAGATTTTCGTGCACCCATCACATCAGCAGTATGTACTGAACCCAATTTGTGGTCTTTTATCCCTCACCCCCCTCCCATCCTTTCCCCCAAGTCACCAAAGTCCATTGTATCATTCTTATGCCTTTACATCCTCATAGCTTAGCTCCCAGTTATGAGTGAGAACATACAATGTTCAGTTTTCCATTCCTGAGTTACTTCACTTAGAATAATAGTCTCCAGTTCCACCCAGGTTGCTGTGAATGCCATTAATTCACTCCTTTTCATGGCTGAGTAGTATTCCATTGTATGTATATGTACCACAATTTTTTTTATCCACTCGTTGATTGATGGGCATTTGGGCTGATTCCATAATTTTGCAATTGTGAATTGTGGTCCCATAAACATGCATGTACAAGTATCTTTTTAGTATAATGACTTCTTTTCCTCTGGGTAGATACGCAGTAGTGGGATTGCTGGATCAAATGGTAGTTCTACTTTTAGTTCTTTAAGGAACCTCCACACTGTTTTCCATAGTGGTTATATTAGCTTATATTCCCACCAGCAGTGTAGAAGTGTTCCCTTTTCAATGCATCCATGCTAACATCTATTATTTTTTGGTTTTTTAATTATGGCCATTCTTGCAGGAGTAAGGTGGCATCTCATTGTGGTTTTGATTGGCATTTCCTTGATCATCAGTGACTCAACTCTATTTCTTTTTTGCTTCTTGCTGGGTTTCCTTGTGTCTCTACCACTAAGTTCTGACCTGCTCCCATCATCGTCCTCCCAGAGACAGATATATGCACCTGGAACTAGTCCCAAAGTCAGGTCTCATTTAGAAAGACAAGGGGTTAACTTTATTGTTATTAATACTTTGGAGGTGTCCTGAATGTCTCCCATAGTAGAATCATATGTATCAATCTATCAATCATATCAAATAGGGAATAGCTCCTTTCTCTTTATGGAGTATTGGAGTCTGAGATAATCCAAAGAATGAACAGTGGTTGAAGGAGAGGAGATATTGAGATACTAATAACTGTTTTTGAACAAATGCATAGAAGAGGTCTCTTTATTTATTTATATTTTTCTTTCTTCCATAATAATTTCAGGCAGTTTTCAATAAGGCTCATATATACAATGTTCGCGTCTTTTCAACTTGCCTAGTGCGGTGCTCCTAATGGCAGAGGAGAATAGGTGGGCACTGTTCTTAGGAGGCTTTGTGGGGATAACCCAGAATGATCGAATGTTGCCTTCCAATTCACAATGTTTGTATGAATATTACAAAGTTTTAAATTACCTAGCTTTGAATACATTGGAGTTGCCAGATATATGAGCAACCTTTAACCCGTGGCTTCCTGGATCCTACAGCACACCATGGCATAACCTGGCCACATGTGTACTTTAGTGTGAGAAGCATGGCCACAGAACTTTCAAATAGATATAAAAGGCAGGAGTTGGGCACTTTAAAAAGGGGAGACAAAATTCCTAAAGACAAAATTAACCTCTGAGCTCCCTACCAGCAAAAACAAAACATGAATTCTCAAATTATACTTAAATCAAGCCTAAGACTTTGTGGGCAAATTTATTTTCTCTTTTGATGAAGTATACTCAAGGAAAATCATGGTTGAGTTGCTCAGTATAGCTTTTCTAGTACTCTTTATAATCGGTGGCTCTGAATATCTGTTGACTATCTATCTGTTTTTTGACCGAGGTATGACAAGTTGGCTGTTCACTTTCATTTTCTGAGTATGTTCTGGTAGTTTTCATGCTTTCTTACACATTAGAATCACCTGGAGAGTTAAGAAAAATTAAACATCTAAGGTGCACCTGGTGCCAATTAAATTAGAATCTCTGGAGGTGGGAGAGGAATTAGGAACCAGCCATCAGCATTAAAAAAGGGTTTTATAGAAGATTACAATATGCAGCTAAGTGTGAGATCCAGTGTTACAGACCAGTGCTTCTCAAACTTGAGCATGTATAAGAATCACCTGGAAGGCTTGTTGAACTACAGATTCTGGGTTCTACCTCCAAGATTTTCTGGAGGCTTGAGATTGTGCTCAAGAATTTGGAGTTCTCACAAGTTCCCAGGTGATGCTGATGTTACTGACCTGGGGATTATAGTTGGAGAAACATCATTTTAGAGTTTCAGCTTTGTTATTACCACTAGAATGAGTGGGATGGAAATATTCAGTCTATAAAGATGAATTTGGGTTAGTTGGTAAAACCAGGTGATGTAATGGGGCTTGGGAAAGATTTGTAGAACCATGCTCTTCTGCTACAATGGCCATATTTAAATTCGATTGACAACATGTTTTGTTTCAGTTGGATTTAGCCCAGGTCTTGGACACCCAGCCTATTTCCTATTGGTTAAAACTGTTTCATAAATTCAAATGAAGAAAAACCTTAGTCTACTGCTTGTTACTCAGCACAGGTGTCCTGTGAGATGTCATGGTGCCCCGTGAATGTTGCCTTATTACTCTCTCTGTTTGTCAGCTACAGTGGATGTAATGGAACACTTCAAAGGAGTGATAAATGTCCTTTCTCTAGGACTACAGCTTTTTCTTTATTGGGCTTAACAGTTCCCAGCCAGGCTGGCCAGCTCCTGTTTCCGCTTAGTGCATAGTTTCTTTTTTCTTCTATTATAAATATTATCTGCACAACTCTCTTAGCTTTACTAGTCCCATTAAAGTGTCATTAGGTTTCCCATTAGCAGCTACTGTTGATGGTTTCCTGCAGAGGCCTCAGCATGGGCCTTCTTGCTATGAATTTGAGCTGGGGGAGAACAAGAGAAGAGGGAAGTGTGGAGACTCCACTAATATCTACCTTCCAACTTCAAAACACAAATACTAGGCTGGAACCAAAGTCTTCATTTGTCAGGCAAGGTTGGGGGCAGGTAAAACAAAATTTGTGTATTTGTTCCCCAGTCCCCAAACAGCAACTTCTGTTTCATTTCTTTGCTTCTTTTAGTATTTTTTAAATATAAAAACAAATCAACAAAGTATCCAGTTCAATTTGAGTCACTTTTTACATCTCCTACCTTCTGTCAGTTAGCAATACTCCATATAGTTTTCAGTCTGCTGCCGGTTTACCTGCAGTGCTAGGTCTCTGATTAAACTGATTCAGGCACGGAGGACTAGAAGGCCCATATGTGAGGGGCAGAGTACCAGAACCAATGGGATATTTATTTTACTCAATTTGGCCCTTATAAAAAAATAATCTTTTGTACTAAATTCCCCACTATGTGGAATTTATTAAACACTCTATGAAGAATACATATGATCAGTAAAATTTAAAGACACATGAAACCTAGGTACAGCTATAAAACTTGCTTATTAACTACTTATATTGATTCATATCAGTCCTTTAAAAGTCCATAACTTGAAAGAAATAGTGTTATCACTTTAGAATTTGACATCAGAAATCCCTTTAAATGGCCCTTCCCCAGGCTGTAGGTATCTTCAGTTTTCTTTACCAAGACAATTATCAAGGCTTAACCTGTCCTCAGTTAAGAAACAAAGTCATCTTCTGGAAGTCTTAGCTTCCTTTTCCTCAGATGCCCACCTTTTCTTTCTCATAGTTTGCAGGAAAAGAAAAACGATCCCAATTACACACACTAGCTCCATTTACCTGCTCTACTTCACCATGATTGTGCTTTTCCGATTAGGAGAAAATTTGCTTTGACTGCTTCTTAGATTTAGCTCTCTGCCCTTTCCAGCTGAAGAAGAGAGTCTTAATTTACACTGAATACATACGTTTAGTCATTACCACTAAATGTTACAACTTTTTGTTGAGAATCTCCTGGAACTCTTCTGTCTGGCTTTTGGTACAGCCTAGCTTCTTTTATGGGGCTTCACTGAAATTTGAGCCTCTGTCAAAGCCTGTCACTGAGTATGATCATTCAGTTAGGATTGGGAGTGAATTTTTTCCACGAGGAGAGGTGGTTCTCTGGCCTCTGGACCCACTGAATGGAGATCACAGGGATCTGGAAGGTGGCTCATGCCTATAATCCCAGCACTTTGGGAGGCCGAGGCGGGTGGATCACGAGGTCAGGAGTTCAAGACCAGCCTGGCCAATATGGTGAAACCCCGTCTCTACTAAAAACACAAAATTAGCTAGGCATGGTGGCACATGCCTGTAATCTCAGCTACCCGGGAGGCAGGCTGAGGCAGGAGAATCGCTTGAACCCAGGAGGTGGAGGTTGCAGTGAGCCAAGTTGTGCCACTGCACTCCAGCCTGGGCAACAGAGCGAGACTCCGTCTCAAAAAACAAACAAACAAACAAACAAAAGTGATGCATTTGCTAGAGGGAGCAAGGCAGGGCCAGAGTTCCATGTACTTTGCAATGGCAAGCTGTTTAATCCTTCAGGAAAATTATGTGTAGACCCAAAGGAAGCTTTTTAGAAGGTGACCTCCACTTACCAAGCTCCCAAGAATAACAGAGCTTGCTCTTTCCTCTGTAAAAAATGGGGCACTGTGAAAAACATGGCTGTGCTGCAGCCAAGCAGGTATAGGGCAGCAGGCATGGCCAAGGTAAACAGCCTAGATGACTCAGCGGGTTTGGGGTGCAAGAGCCAGTCCCGTGTCTTATATAACCATAGCCATGTAGACATAACATAGAGAAGCTCACCACCTGGCTCTCAGCCACTACTGTCTGTGTAGTGTATAAATGTAATATTGACCTTGTGAAGGGGCTGCTGAATAAAGCCGTGTCTCATCTACCTGCTGTCTCTTGAGTGTTCTTCCAGCTCCCTGCCCCACATCCACCCACTCTCCTCAGCTCTCAGCTGGAACTGGAGCCTGACCCTGAGCATGACATTTGGCATAGTCGTTGGCAGGATGAGGTGAGTGGGTCTTCAGCCCTTGGGGCTCCCAGGTTGGCTGTGTGGCTGCAACATGGGCTGTGGTACCCAGTGGCAGAAGTGCTGCTTGGGTGGGCCCCAGTGGAAATGTGGGAGGCAGTGGACGGGTCTCCCACGAGTGTGGAGAAGGCACTGAAGCAGCTGGAAGCTCATAGCACCAAGAAGAAATGCACCTTCGCCGGCAGAGTTGGATAGGCGTTTCTGACCATACTACATGAAGTACATGCTCAGTCTCTGTGGGACATGGCACAGGTAAGGGACCTTCAGGCATAAGTTGAGTGCCTGGGAGCCCAAATGCACAGCTTGGAGCAAAACCTGGGGGTGAAGGACCTCCAGGCGCAAGCAGGGCACTTAGAGGCTCAGATAAACAGCCTGGAGCAGGCGTTGGAAACAGCTCCGAATGCAACCTTGAGCCTGTCCTCCAGGCCGGGCACTCCCGTTTGGTCTGATGCTGAGAAGGAGGAGGCTGCTCCACTTCCGGCTCACCCTGTGATCTGTCAGAAGGTAGAACATGAGCAGCCGATGGGACCCCAGAGGAGAGCCCAGGGGCCCCCCACAGTGGTGGAACACACCTCTTATAGTGTTTATACCCCCCATGAGTTGTGGGAATTAGGTAGGCAATGCAGGCAGCACCCAGGGGAGCCCCTCCCAGCCCTGATTACTCTGTCTTTGGGATGAGGGGGCTGACAGCATTTCTTGCTCTGCCTCCGAGATGGAGAAGCTGGCCTCTATCACAACTCACCCCTCCCTTCGTCAGCAGCTGCAGCTGTGCCAATGCTTGGCACAAGGGCAAGGTGAGCACATGTTAATCAAGTGGCTGATGGCAGCCATACAGACTGTTTGGCATGATGCCGGTGAGACACCAGAAACTGTGAGTAAATGGCAGTCATACACTGATTTGGTGCAGGTACTCTGGGAGATGGGTGTGCAGCCAAGCAGGCTATTTAGCAGGCACAAGCCCCATGGTAGTGGGCCAGGGGTGCCCGTTTAAACTAGATGTGCGTGTGACCACAGATAGTTTCTGTGAGGGCCTATGGTAGCACACGGAGCACCCGAGTACGTCAGTAGGCTTTTGGTGCCAATTATGGAAGGGAGCTGAGCTCTGTAAACTTCCTCTAAATAGATGGGATATTAATGCAAGAAAAAAGCATTTCTATGAAAGCTAAGCTTCTTTGGAAAGATTTAAATACAAGTTGTTAATAAGCATTGTTATCAAATTAGGAATGGACAGAACATCTGCAAAAAGTTAAATCATAAAAGTCTAGGAGAATTCTGCATTAAGATTTTTTTTTGTTTCATCTAAAGAAATCAGATGTTACATGATGGCTGTGGTTTATACAAGAAAGACAATAGAGGACTCTTAACAACAGGCTCATGGTAGAAGCAGCACCCTGGACTCCAGATTAATACATTGGTGAATACATTTATACTTATAGGTTTAACTTTGAATAAAATTAAGGAACACTGACTGTCTTTTATGATTAAGCAACAACTGTCAATCCCTATTGCATTCACTATTTATGAAGCCCAAGCATGAGCTGGGTGTTTCTGCTCCTTCAGAATTATAGGACATTGTCCTTAAAGTTCCACACCAGGCCAAGGAATCTGAGAATTCCTGGGGGACTTACATGTTTGTGGTCACCTTTGGCTCTAACCTTCTGGTTCCCTGTATTTTAGTTTTTGCATTATCATTTGTCGTTTGTGTATTCTTTTTGTTCTCTGTCACTTAGCCCTGGCTGTGATCTCAGGTTTCCTTAATTTCTATGTATTAAAAAAAATCTTACATAAAGCAGTTGCATATATGGTAGACTTGACTGAAGAGGGAGAAAGGGAGGGCTTTATATTGTAGCAACAAAAATAATTTTAAATTGAAAATCATATATCCTTGTTCTTAAAAGTCCTTTGGCCACCTTGCTACTGGGAAGAGAATTTGACCATTAATCCCAACATAGTACCCCAGCCATGCATTATCTGCCTACTTTCTTTGAATTTTACTTGTTTCTTTTCTCTCTTCTGTTCTTCTTTCTATTCATGTTTATATGAAAGGCAGAGCTGTTTGGCTAATCGCTACTCTTGGGTAGGATCTCACCTTCCTACTTGCCTCTACTCAGGTAGCTTATATGTGGGGTGTGTATGTGTGTGTGGAGGGATAGAGAGAGAGAGAGAGAGAGAGAGTCAGTCAGTAGGGTGACTATATCCTAGGAACTGGAACAATTTTGAAAGTTAAAGTGGACAGTATTAATAATTTCCCTCGGATAAAAGGCAAAATTTTGAATTATTCTGGATAAATCAAAATCTGCTATTTCATAAATAGGTATTTTTCTAACCATGGGCCATTTTCTCCATAAGGAGAATTGTGTTGTTAGCTGATAAAACTTTTTTCACCCCATTACATATATATACTTCCCAAATCTGGTTAATTGCAAATAGCCAATTCCTTGCTTCCTTAGGGGAATATGTTGTTAACTGAAACAAAGCGTGCTCTTTTACCTGCTCTCACTGTTAACTGTTCTGTGTATTTTACCCTCTTCGAGCTCAGTTTTTCCATCTATGAAATGGAGGTGATTGCCTGCTAAGGGACTTGAATGAAAAAAATAGACAATAAGACAATTTAAGGGGATTAAATTATAGAAATGTTTGTTTGTTTTAGATGATAGCAAGGATCAAAAGTCACAGGAAGTGTGAGTGATGTGGAGCTACATCAGCCCTGATCGCTTTTCTGGGATTTGAGCCTCTGCGCGTCTTACTTGGTGCCCTTTTATTCTTGCTCCATGACTCTACCCCTGGTCCTTTGAAACAACTCTGCCAATAGTCCTGGATCCTAACCTTCCACCTCCTTATTAGTTCAGTCCTGGGCCTCTACTCAGCAAATTCATCCAATCACCCTGAATTGTATGTAGTTGAGTCAGGTTATTGTGATGCTGATAAATCAAAACTAAATTGAAGACATCAGCCTCATTTTCCTTACCTTATTTCCAGATGTGAAAGTTAATGGGCTTGGATTGGCTGCTAACACTGACACTCATCAAAGAACATTTTCCCTAAGGACATTAACTGCAATTTATTGATTGGGTGGAGACCTGAGGCATTTGGGGTGTGGAATTGTATTATGGCCTACAAAAATGGTTGGAGATGAAATCTAAGCCTGCCACAGATGAGTTTGTCAAATTGAGCAGAAATACTGTGACTTAGATTCGGAGGCCAGGTAGGCTGACAAGATGAAGCAGTTTAAAAATGAATCACCTTATGAGAAAGAGATGAGCAGCTCTTTCCTTCCTCTAAGAGTAGGAATATGGAGCCCATTTTATGTGTGCTGAGTTCAACTGCTTTAATTGGGGGATACATCCATTTAGTTCTTCATTGTCTCCTGCACTCTGTGATGGCTACTTGGATCATTTCTGCCTGCTCTCTATACTTCCTCTTCTTCTGTCTCAAATCCGTTCCATTCAGGACTTTCACTCCCTCCACTGCAGCCAGATTACTCTCATAATGACCACCAATGCCCTCCCCACAGCTAAAAACAGAGATCAGTTCCCAGCTCCCATTCTAATTGTGCTATCATCACATTTAACACGTTGGGTTATACTTTTCTACTTGAAACCATTTCTTCACTTGGCTTCGAGGACATCACACTCTTCTGGTTTCCTTGCACCTCAGTG
Source organism: Homo sapiens (assembly GCF_000001405.40). Taxonomy (NCBI): domain Eukaryota; kingdom Metazoa; phylum Chordata; class Mammalia; order Primates; family Hominidae; genus Homo; species Homo sapiens. Next base: position 118,799,319 of record NC_000003.12, on the reverse strand, counting down.
ACTGCTCCATCTCTCTCCCATTGATTGATGCAGCCTAATCTTCCTGACTTCTAAATATTGGGTCCCCTAGGGTTCAGTCCTTGGATGTCTTTCCTATTTTGTCTATACTCATGCCCATCCCATCTCATGGATTTAAATTCAATTTATCTACTGAAGATGCCAAAATGTATATATCTGGCCTGAAACTGTCCTGCGGACTAGAGATACATATAACCGTGTGCTTGCTGAACTCTCCACTTGAATTGGTAACAGGCATGTTGAAAAATTAATGTCTCAGTGAACTTCTCCCCCAAACATGTGCCTCCTAGTCTTCCCTTATCAGTAAATGGCAACTCTTTCCTCCTAGTTGCTTGAGCCCAAACCCTTGAAGTCATTCTTATCTTTTGATCTCACATTTTACTTCAGTGCATCAGCATAGCTTAATGGTTTTATCTTCCCAATATCTGTACATCCAGAATTGACCATGGCTTATCATTTCTCAGCTGTCACTGTGGTGGTCCCAGCCACCATATTCTTTCACCTGGTTTGTTGCAATACCCTTCCTGAATGTCTTCCTGCTTCTGCCCTGGCCCCTTGTAGTAGAGCTTCAATGTGGCAGCCAGGATTATGCTTTAAAAACAAAATTCAGATTACGCTACTCCTCTGCTGAAAATCTTGAATGGATCCACATTTCTCTCAGAGTAATTGCCAGTCCTTACAGAGGTCTAGAAGGCTCTTTAAACCCATTTCTGAGCTAATGTCCTAATAGTCTCTTTCTCTCTGTGTGTCATCAGTGACAACACTGACTTCCAATACTCCAGCCACATTCCTACTCAGAAGATTTTCATTTGCAGCTCCTTCTGCTTAGAACTTTCTTTCTCCATATATGTTGCATGACTAATTCCCTCACCTACTTAGGTTCTTTTCCCAAAATGTCACCTTCTCAGTAAGGCCTTCTCTGATCATCCTATTTAAAATTGGAAAACCCACTCATCCCAGAGGCTCCTACCTTTTCTCTTGCTGTACTATAGACTTATTAAAAATGAAATAGAATTTTTAAAAGACAATGGTTTTATAAAGAAAATTATTTGATCATGAATCTTATTAAAAATTACCATGTAGAAATTTCATTCTTGAAGGTAATAATGTTTTCAATTTCTGAACCTTTTTACCCAGAATATAGTGATCACTCTCCAAAAACTCTGTTCAAACATACTGTTTAAAAGTGCAGTGTTGGCCGGGTATGGTGCGCCTCATGCCTGTAGTCCCAGCACTTTGGAAGGCTGAGGTGGGTAGTTTGCTTGAGCCCATGAGTTTGAGACTAGCCTGAGCAACATGGTGAAACCCATCTCTACAAAAAGTAGCTTGGTGTGGTGGTGCACTCCTGTAGTCCCAGCTACTTGGTTGGCTAAGGCAGAAGAACCACGTGAGTCTGGGAGGCGGAGGTTGCAGTGAGCCATGATCATGCCATTGCACTCCAGCCTGGGTGATGGAGTGAGACTTTGTCTTAAAAAAAAAAAGTGCAGTGTCTGTATTTTTTTAATAGATAGTATTATATACCTGTCTGCTTGAAGAGCTGACCTTCTGTTGCTGCACTTAGAGTGTTGAGACTTTATGGATATGGCATTGTGCCTTCTTACCACCCAACTGTCTTTACTGGAAGTTAATTGTATATTTGTTTCAATGTGTTTTTAAGACTTTTGTATTTTGATAATATGATACATTTATTCTAAAATTATGATCTCTTCTAAGGGCGCAGGTGTAGATAAGTTAAGTCCTCAATTATTGGGAACCACAGGTAACTGAACAGACTCAGTCAACCTAGTCAGGATCTTGGGAGCCAAATCAAAGGAAACCAGAAACTAGAGGAGGTATTAAATGGAATTTTCCTCTAGTTATTGGATGAAAGGAAAGAATGAAATGCTCATCCGTTTTCTATTTTCCTAGAAATTCAGGTGATCAGTTTCTTCTGTCTAGGGCCCCAAACCACTTCTCAACCTATTAAAAAGTGATAAATTATATAAATATATCTTACCGCACTTTCAAATATGAAACATTTAAAATGCATTTGAGATACATAAGTGAATTATTCATTTACCAAAGAGCAGACTTTTACTAAAATAGTTTAGGATAAAAAGCAGCATATGCAATTATCTAATTGTCATCTACTTGCATTCTAACAACCATATGTACTCTCCCATTCACTTTCTATATTTTCAGCCCTCAGGCTGAAAGGTCTCAAACAGTGTTTTGAGATTTGAGAATTCTGAGGTCTTTGATTAAATCCACACCTACTGGGATCCAACTGCTGAGGTTCCATATCAGGAAACTTCAGGAGAAGAAATTTACATGTTTGTACAGCCAGCACTTTCTAAAATTTTGATAAAGTGCAAATCCAATTATTTAGAATTTGCAAACTACAAATCAAGATATGTTTTTTAATACAGCACACACTCACTGTCTTTTCCTCTCTCTCTGTCTATCCAATTTTCTATTCTGTTTGGAATATCTGGAATATTGTTTGGAATATTGCTGGAGATGCCTTATTTATTTAACAAATGTTAAATCTAATGAATGAGGCAGTCAGTCAAAATTGGGGTGTTTTAAATGGACACTCCTATTTCTTCAGATGTAGAGTCACAGGGTATCAGGTTTAGAAGGAACCTTAAAGTTTCATCTAGACTAGTGCTTCTCACTCCTGGTTAGACTCATCTGGAGAGCTTTTAGAAATACTCATGCCCTAGACCAGTTGAAACCAAGCTTCTGGGGCATTGTGCTGACCATCTGCATAAAAACAAAATGAACTCTCAGATTACTGGGTAGCAAAGATTTAGAACTATGATCTAGGTAAACCCACTTGATGCTCAAATCTCCCATGCATTATTATGACTGGCCCAAATTTGGTTGGTCTTTGTTAGTTACCTCCAAGGAAAATGCTCATCCTTTCTAACGAGCTCTATAGGAAGTTCTTCTTCATATTGACACAAAGATATTTCCTTATACCTTCTATCCATTGCTCCTGATTGTGTTACTTGAGACCACAAAGTACAAAATCTAGTATTTCCTTATAGTAGTTCTTTGAAAATTTGAAGGCAATTTTCACTTATCTACTTTTTTAAAACCAAATATTTACTGAGTACCTATTATAGGCCCAGGCCTGTAGTGAGACTCTAACACAAATAAGATATGGTCATTGTACTCACCAGGCTCACAGTCTTGTGGGGAAGATGGAAAAAGCAATGAAAACAGTACATTTTAACAATGCATTGGTGTCCCCTGCCTCCCTGCCCTGCACCGACTCTGCCTTACTCTTCTCTACACCAGGGCAGTGTAGCCCCGATTCCTTCACTTTGTCTTCATATGATATTGTTTTGAAGCTCTCTGTTTACCATAGTTTGAACTTACTTCAGTTTTTCTGCATCCCTAATAAGATGTCGCTCCCAGCATGGATTACAGATATCAGATGTGGTCTGAATATACCAAAGAAAGAGACCGCTATCTATTTCCTTCTATTTCTAGATGATACATTGCTAGCTCATCACGAAGTTATGGACAATTAAAGTCATTAGGACTTATTGATATATCCAGGGCTACTTGTAAGAGCAAATCTATGCTTTGGGTGAACAGGAGGACAGGAAAGGCAATGCTGATGTCAGAGCAAAGGGTTGGAGGAATTTAACTTCCCTTTCCCTTGTCTGCCTTCTCTTTGGGCTTAGTTTTGGGTCCCTAAGGTCACATGTAAACATTCTGAGAATTGACCCATTATGCCATTGATCGTGGAGGCCATGGATGGGCCCAGCCAAAGGTGGGCACACTTGCTAAGTGAAGTGGACCTGAAAGAGACACAGAGGTGAGTGTGAAGCACTACATTCAAAATAGGAAGCAGTATTTGGTAAAACTCTTTCTGTAACCAGATTTTCACATTTCTGCTTATCAATGCTGGAAGAAATTGACTTTCCTGGTTCTGGTGTCCAGTTCTGGATACAAACTGGCCAAGTCCATATTTCACCTCTTTTTTTAAAATCTGTGCTGTGAGCTAGATGGTAGAGTACATGCATTAATTTCCAGTATTACCTTATGGCTTTATGGGAACTCTTAAATTAGTGACCTCTTTGACCTTTTACACACTTTTTTTTTGAGACGGAGTCTCGCACTGTCGCCCATGCTGTAGTGCAGTGGCACGACTCGGCTTACTGCAAGCTCCGCCTCCCAGGTTCACGCCATTCTCCCACCTCATCCTCCCGAGTAGCTGGGACTACAGGTGCCCGCCACCACGTCTGGCTAATTTGTTGTATTTTTAGTAGAGATGGGGTTTCACCATGTTAGCCAGGATGGTCTCGATCTCCTGACCTCGTGATCTGCCCGCCGTGGCCTCCCAAAGTGCTGGGAGACCTTTTACACACTTTAAGGTGTCAGTGTTGTTATGGACCAGTCGGAACCCCCATCGGCGGATGATTTCAATGTTTGCCCCAATCCACCCTCCCTTTATGTTTGCCAATTAGCATCTCAAGAAGGAATGCCACTGTGTCTTTGAATTTTTATAATGATATTTAATAAAATATTTCACAAATATTTGATAACAAAATAAGCTCTGTTATGCTAAAAAAAAAAGTGGGTACAATCAAAGACCATAACATTGCCATCAGAATCAGTAAATACTCACTGAGGGTATGTGACGTAATTGGTTCAGATGGGAACAAGTTGGGGTTCTAATCTGGGGGAGATTTGGGCAAGGCCCTTCATTGTTGGTGCTTCTTTAGTACCCTTTTAATAAGAACAAAATAGCACCATCCAGAAAGCCCTAGGAAAGCATGATGAATGACCACACCTGAAAAGATGTGTGTTCTAGGTCAGCAAACATTCAGGAGAGTCAGAGATGCTTTTGAACAGAGGGAAGGTAGATCCCAGGCATCTGACTAAGACTGGAAGAAGAGTGAGGGAGGAATGTTGGGTTTATTTATGCTATCCGAAGAGCCTTTAATCTGTCTGCTGCTGGACATAGTGACCTATTCAAGATGTTGGAGTTACATTTGCAGATAAACATGTGGGTGATGCTTGAATATAGGCTTTTGTCTACTGCTTAACTTGCTTACCTGTCATTCATGATAGAGTTTCCAGTGCTCAGCTCTTTAAGGGGCAGACTTTCGCCAATACCAGTGGTCTGTTGGATCCTTACCATCCTTATCTTCTCTGCAGCATTTGACCATCTTAATGATGCCGATCGGAAAACCCCCTTCCTTGTGCTGTTTCACTACACCATCCTGATTGGTCTTACGTCTTTCCGGTCCATCCTTCTCTCATGTAGCTCTCTCACCAGCTCACCATGGACATTCCCTGAGATTCAGCATCTGGTTCTTGGACATTATTGTCTATGTGTCCGTTTTCATTTGGATTTCTCAGGATTTCATTACCACTTACGTGATATGTTTCAAAACATTATAGTCAGCCCTAAACCACAACGTGCATGATCTATTATCCATTTAAGTAAAATGTCACTGTAATTATTATTATCTTTACATATCTACACCTGAACTTGCTTCTGTCAGCTTATTGTCAATCCTTGAAATCCAACATTTTGTTTTTTTCTTTCCTGGTTTCTCTGTGTTTTCAGTGGTATTCTTATTCTCCCAGCCATCCAAGTTTTTTTGTTTTTTCCACCCCCCACCAACCAACAAATACAAGTATCTATTTTAGTTCAGACACTGTGCTAGATTCTGGGTAGATTATGTACTAAGAGATATGGTCCCTACTTCAGTGGAGTTTGCATTCATGTGGAAGGGTTATATTATTATTTCTATTGTCACAAAAATATAGGTTACCACACACCTGAGAGGAGGAATAAAGGAAAAGTACTGGGAGCCATGCAAATGTATAATAGGGGCCTGACCTAGACTGGAGGGGAGAGAAAGCTTCTCTGAGAAGAATGTTTGCCCTGAGATCTGATTGATGAGTCAGGGCTGGAGAAGGACAATTTAGGCACAAAAATAGCATTCCTGAAAGTCTTGGGATGTGGGTGGTAGTGGGAGGAAACTGTACAGGTCAAAGTAACAAGGAAAACAACATAGGTAGAAAAGGGAAAGGAGATGGGCAAGAGTGGACCTAGGGACACCAGTCTGGTCTGGAGGCTGTAACAATAATGCAAATTAGGGCAAGGGAGGTGGTTGTGGAGGTCGAGAGAAGATGCTGGTTCTCAGACACAAAGTCAAACCTCAGTATCACTATATTTGAACACATTTAGTATTCAACCAGCCAACACATTCCATTCAATGTTTCTGTATAATACCTGCATTTATGTTTTTCTTTCCATTCATGGCCTTGCCACTTAATTCCAGGGCTGTGGCTTCATGTCTGAATTATAGCTATCTCTGATTAGGGTTTGCTTACTGAAAACTGCTAGTCCTCTGCCCTTCAATTCCCCATTTTAATGAGGGCCTCATCCCACCCCAGGATCTGCATCAGCACTGAGGAAACTGGCTTCTACTAGGATAAAGCAGCATACATTTCTGTGTCGTGTAAGGTTCCAAACACAAATAAGTTCCATCGTCTGGAGCTTATTTGTACACTTTAAAAATGTACAGATCCCTAGGCTCAATATCCAGAGGTTTTGATTCAGCAATTTTTTTGGGTGGGACCCACAAATCTGTATTTGATGATGATCAGGTTTCTAAGCACCGGGCAGGTTTGGTTTGGTCTAAGGCATCACTTACTGTGGATTTCCCCCTGGAGTGAAGAGGGCAATCCTTTTCCAGGTCTATCTAGTCCCTGTCTTCTCTGTAACCTTCCCCAATCTCCTTCCTCCCTGAAGGAAAACACCCTTTCTCACTTAATTCTTTATTTGACTTTTAAGCCGTCTGTTTTGTGTTTTTTCTTCCCTCTGGGGAATTTCTGATGTCTTCTTCGCAGGCGTAGCCACCTGTGAAGGGACGTGCCATGCCATAGAAGACTGCTCCTGGCTGGCTGAGTGACAGGGAGGATTTCCTAAGATTCATTACAAAGCAAACCCTGTATTTTCAAAGATGAGGCATTGGATAGAGCATGAGAAGAAAGTCAGCAGCAAGAAAATAATCTGTTTGAGAAAGCAGCCCTGTTTCATGTATCTGCCAATTACATTTGCTTCCTTTTGGTCTTTAGATTAAAAAAAAAACTCAAGTAAACGTGACTGTGGTGCATCTGTTTTAATGCTTCTAATCTTCTGACTACTAGAGCAAAAAATTAATATCTTCCTTCCTCAGTAAGAATAAAAGCTTAGGTACCAATGGAAGGAGGGAAATGAAGAACAGCTGCAGTTTATTTCAGGGTAGGGGACATGCATTGCTGTGTGTATGTGTGTGTGTGTGTATTCACATATCTATATGATTAGTATCAGTTTAATATTTTTATGGAACTGTAGCAATAGATAATGTTAGATATGTGAAAAAATATCAAAATTGAATCCTTGACCTAATATACTTAACTTTGTAGGCATAAGTGCATTATCAGATATCCGTGAGCCAAAGAAATAACACGAAGGGAAGTTTACTTGGTGTCCAATCATGGATTCATTACTTTTTAATATTCTCTGATGTCTATTCTTAGAATCATGAGTCTTTTCGGATGTCCTTTAATTTCATGTATTGTCAGTGTACTGACAAGTGGTTATTGAGCTAGGGCAGGTAACAAGAGAACACCTATTTGCATTCCCTAATCTTGAGTCACTGAAACCCGAAAGAAACCCGAATGAAGAGGAACACAGAGGAATTATAAATTTAAATTGGAGAGTGTCTGTTGTGTGTGTGTGTGTTGAAATGGGAGAGGAGGTGAAATTGAGAGGAGGAGGGAGATGGACTTGTTTCCACCCATAGCACAGAGGAAGATAAATCAACACAGGAGATTAAAAAAAAATGTAAAAAAGCTTTTCCTGTTCGCCTCGCTTCCTTGTGGTGTCTTTGAATGTGTTTGGCAGCAGTGGGCCATGTCAGGCCACCTGTGCAGTTAGCAAATTGCTCATGGTATTTAAAGGGCTCCTTTATTAATCTCCTCAAGCATCCTTTGGGAAATTGGATGCTTGCTTTGGAAGGTCCACTGTATTTTTACTTTTCTCGAAGCATTATGGTATTTTATTTAATGGTTAATAGGTATTTTATTTATCCTCAGAAAGAATAGACCATAGGCTTCTGTAAGGAAAAGACTGTCTGCCTTACTTTTGTATCTTATACAAGGCCTTGTGCAATGGTAGAGAGCGTCTGTAAGTTTTGCAGTTCCAGGAGCACTAGCCACATCGTTGTGCTAGTGGGGAGAGCCTAATATGAGATACATTGTGAGGGGTACCTCTGAAGTTGTGCAACACAGCAGTAGGCACTTAATAAAAATAAATTGATATTTATGAATGAACAATTAAGTGATTGAATATCTTTCTTTTCATTTGTTTCAGAGGCTGTTTAGTGTAGTTTTATGTTCAGTCCAAGTGAAATAGAAATATATGAATTATGGATTAAGAGAGACTTGGGTTCAGTCTTGATACTGTCATTGATTTATTGTGTGATTTAGACAAATTATCTAATTTCTTTAAACCTCAATTTGCTTATCTGTAAAATAGGTAGAGTAATACCTGCCCTATAGAATTGGAAAGATAATTTTATTTGTCATATATATATTTATATATGTCACCTGACAGTCTTTGGCACACAGTAGATATTGAATATTACTAATGATAATTATGATTCTATGTCTTTCAATCCAACTTTAGTTACATTAGTAACAGTGAATGGAGAAATTAGAGCATGAACATCGGATTAGTTCAAACCTATCTCAACTAACAACAGGGATTGGATCTCCCAGTCATAGGCATAGTTGATAGGACAGAAATAAACATTGTTTTGAATGCATAGATTATAAATTATCTGAACCTATATTTCTTTTCTGAAAATATAAAAAATAGTTGAGAATGACTGATTCTATATTGTGCAATGTGAAGGACATGCATTTCATCATATATTAGCTTTGATGCATGGTTATACAACCAACAAGAACTAATGCATAATGGGTTTTTGATATTAACTCCTGGGTGCTACACACAAGTAGGGCAGAGAGAAAGGACTCTATTCAGGCTGGCACAGATTCCTCCTCTAGGTTTTGTGAATCTCCAACCAAGTTCTACTTTCTTAGTTCTACTATAATAAATTCTTACCAAGTCTGCAGCCTATCCTGCAGAATTTACCATAGTTATTCTTTTTTATTATTATTGCCTCATTCTTACTGCCTTTTTTTGTTATTTGTGCCTTTGCTCTTTCCACATATTTATTAACTGAATTAGCACATTTCTAATGTTTCTTCACATTTAATGAGGTGTTGGTATTTTGATGGCAGGAATGAAGAAGTGAGACCCTTGGGTAAGAATTTTATTGAACTTCAATGTATTTTATTTTCCAAGATGTATAATTTGCAAAGCCATAATATATTGTGCAACACAAAGTGATATGTGTCCCTACAGTATCTGATATTGTTACGGTTGAAAATATAATGCTCTTAAGGAAAGTTCCTTAGACAAGCTAACCATATCCTGAAGAGTCAAATTTATTTAATAGAAAAAGAAAAAAAAATCCCATCATCTGTAAAACACTTCAAATGTGTTAAAAATGATTAGAAATACAAAACTGAATTGGAAATGCCTCTGGATTAATTTGATTAAACAGTCTTAGTCAAGATTCTTTTGGTGGAAAATAACAAAAACCTATTCACACTGGCTGGCACAGGGAGTGGGAGTTTATTAATAAGGACACATGGGTGTCTCAGAGTTCCCAAGGGCAGAAAATGGGATTGCAACCTGAAGCTAACAACCCACCCAAACCTAGGCATAAGCACGTTTTAAGCCTCAAGATTTCTCTCTACTTCAGTTTTCTCTCTCTGCAGTCATTATTTGTGCTTCTTTCTGCCCAGCTGAAGATGGCTTTCTCTAAGGCAAACTCAGTTCATGAGCTCAAACGAAGAGCTCAGACCACCTGGTATCTCTGAGTCCCAAGGGGAAAGAATATGATTCGCCTCGGATGCAGGAGTCCTGTGGTGAAGGCATGGCTGCCTGGATGCCCGATTTGGGGTGGAATGGGATGGGGCAGGGAGGAGAGATTCCATCTTGTTTGATCCTCTTACAGTGCCACTGCATAAAGCCAGTTTAGTGTGAGCACAAAACAGTTGAAGCTGAAGTATTTTATGACATTCACTTACTGTTAAAAGACTGAATCTAGATTTGAACAGCAAAGTGACCTATGAAGGAAACCTCCTGAAGAATTTAAGTTCTAATAATTTTTACCTGAAATTATGGAGAGGTTGTGTATAATTGATTTTATATTTATTTTGCTTTCTTTGGGGGTGAATTACATTGCGCCTAATCATAATTTCAAGACCATGACAGTGGTATCCTTTATACGATTGCTCAAAAATGTTTCTTATTTTTTCTCATGTTTATCTTTTTCCTTTGCTCCTTTTTCTCCTGTATTCCACTCTTAGGGTATTCTTTCTCTCTCTTCCCCTGTTTCTATTCTCATTTTCTTTCTCTCAAGGAATGAAAAGATGTGTGTGGGTGTTGTAACAAGAGGAAGAGAGGAAAAATTGAGCAATGACAAGTTTGAGAGTAGCAAAATTATTTTAGTAACTGACTGTCTTAGGAGGATACATATTGATGTATAATTTATACACAAATGCAAATAGTCATGTAAATTGGGTGTGTATTTTAGCTCTTAGAAAATGACTGCCCACACGTTGCTGTGTAGTCCTGCCCTATACTTCGGCCTCAGAAGGCCAATTTGGAGTCGATAAGAGTTAGAATTAAGGAGGGTCTGGTGTAATTGTAAGATGAAATGCGTTGTCCTTGTATTCCCATAAAATGACCAAGGCATGTGAAAGGGTTGAAAGGAGAATAGAGAGGAGAATAAATGGAAGAGAAGAGCAGACAAAAAGACAGCTGGGGTGATGAGGGGAGGGCAAGAGAAGGGAAGGAGGGGGCTCTGAGCAGGTGATGGGTCCTGAGCAGGCATTATGTAAATGGTCGTCTGGAGCACATTTAATCAGAAAAAGGGCCACTGCTGGCCCATCCAGTATCTTTGTGTGATTTAGGAAAAGACACCCATTTGCAATTATGTGGCTGCATGAGTGCATCCCTTGACTGGGTTGGGCACATCTGTGCAGGACAAACTTATATAATCTTATGCAGCATCCTTGAGGGGTGAGAGAGAAGTGAGAATTGGGAAGTCAGGGTGAAAATGTAAGGTTTGCAAAGAGCCTTTCCCTTGCTCATGACCCCTTTCCCTAGCTTGTGGCTGTGTGAGTCACAGTTACACTTTGGGGTATTATTGCTTGCAAACCTTGGGTCAGGGAGAATAAAGGGGAGACTGATCAGAAGAGAGAAGGGATAGAGTGTGGGCCATATCTCCTCATGAAGGTGGTATAGAAACATATGTGACTGATGGCAGAAGGAGGTCTTCAGGTATAGAAGGCCAAGAGTATCTATTAATATTTTCTTTCTGCATTAGGCATTGGTAGGTGACCAACTTCATTGGCTAGGAGACCTCCTGCCTCTATTTCACCCCTTGGTGGAAGAGGAAAAGCACTGAGATGGGCCAAGACAAGCTACTGTGCTAGGCAGTTACTCAGTTAGTAAGTGAGAGAGATGGAATTAGAATGAGGCCTGGCTGGCTGTAAAGCCCATGCATTGTACATTCTGCCTCATTACCTTTATTACTGCTTCTGCCCTTCCTGAGGGCAATGCTGATAGCTTCCAGTTTTCACCTAATGTGCTGCACACTCATGACAAACATGCAGCTCCTGTTTCCAGAGTAGCCATGGAGAAGAAAACTTGTTGCACCAAATGTTAAGGTGTACAAATTGTAGGAGACAAGACCCATGAAGCAGGTAACAAAAATTGTGACAGATGATCTAACAAAAGAATTTTGTGCAGCTTCATGCTGTGAATCAGACTGGAATACATAGATTGAAGATGAAACATTCAAACTTCAGAGACTTTGAAGGTTTAGAGAACAATAGAATAGAGTGTTTAAAATAAAAATTGTCCCAGAAAATCCTGGGTGTAAGCTCATGCTACCTATGAAAACCCACATAGTCAGTATACCATCTCTGACAGGTCCTACAGGGGCAACCAAAAAGTCATTTGGAATGAGTAACACATCTTGCACTAACATACACATGCTAGGGAGCTACTTCAAACAATTGAGCTAAGACATTAGCTTAGGAGTATAAGAAAAGAAGGGGACGGGTGCGGTGGCTCACGCCTGCAATCCCAGCACTTTGGGAGGCCGAGGCAGGCTGATCACCTGAGGTCAGGAGTTCAAGATCAGCCTAGCCAACATGGCAAAACCCCATCTCTACTAAAAAAATATGAAAATTAGCCAGGTGTGGTGGTGCATGCCTGTAATCCCAGCTATCGGGAGGCTGATGCAAGAGAATCGCTTGAACCAGGGAGGTGGAGTTTGCAGTGAGCCGAGATCGCGCCACTGCACTCCAGCCTGGGTGACAGAGTAAGACTCTGTCTCAGATAAATAAATAAATAAATAAATAAATAAATAAATAAAAATATTTTAAAAAGGGAAAGAAAAGAAAAGAGGGGCTAGTATTTGGAAGAATTAATACACCTTTGAGGGACCAATTTTGTCGAAGAGGCATAGAGGAACAGGAGACAACCCAATGATAAGTATAGGCAAAACCATAAAGGGGAAAAAGAAACCAAGATACTGAGCTACACATAAAAGAAAGTGGTTTCTCCTTCCTCCTGGTAATATGAGAGATGGCTTTCTGAGTGATGTGTGCTGCCTTGACATTGAGGCACTTGCAGTTTTTGAGTGTCCAGTGATCTCCGTCACCTCTGTACTTCGATACATAGTTTCTCCTACCTGGAATGCTGTTTTCCATCCTTGCCTTACTATAAAACATCCATTCTTCTTGAAGTCCCAGTTTAAATATCTTGTCCTCATTGATGCCCTTGCTGATTTGCTCTTTCCAACTCCCTCCATAGCAGAGTGGATCACTCGACAGCTTAGCAACAAATATTTGTTGTGTGTCTGATGTAAGTGGGGCTCTGAGCTAGACACTGGAGATGAAACAGACCCAGTTTCTGCTCTTGTGAAGATTTCCCCAGGGGGTGCCACTGCTGAGCCTTAAAAAAGATACATTCTACCATTATTTATATAATACTTACACATTGTTTTGAAATTATTTACGTGTTTGTATCCCCTATTAGACTGTGAATCCTTGAGGGCAAGCACTGTCTTAATCCAGTTTTTATCTTCAATACCTAGCAGATTGCCTGGAATATAACAGTAACTAAATGTATGTATATATAATGAATGAATCTTCTTAGCATGTTTATCTTTTGTAAATTTTCAAACCTTAAGCATGTACTCATTCATCCTTCATCTTCCAACGCTTCCATTTTCCTATAGAAGAGTCTCCAGGGGGAATCATCTAGTACCTTCTACAGACTTTTATTTTCAGATTTAATATCTATCTTGAGGTGATCAACCAAAACTGTGGCAGAATGATTGTGGCAGGTGGCATTACAATGAATTTGTTTTATTTTACATGGCCATTATCTGAAACTTTAGATGCACAAAAAATATGCATTATTGGGAATTGTTTTAATTTTTCATCACATGATTCTTTTATCTAGCAAGTTCTTCCAGTATATTTGAAACATGATTCAGTTTACAGAACATTGATTTACAAATAGCTTTATCAGCAATATGTCTATTGTTTGAAATATACAACAGCAAGATATGGGAGAAGGATGAATGCTAAGTTAATTAAGAAGAGGGAACATAAAGCTTTAATCAATAGACATAACAAATAAAATGTACTTTAGACTAACATTATGGCCAGGTAAGTGGTGGGGAGAGGGACAGATGAAAATGGATGGGCATGTGCAGTAAGGGGTGGGATGAAGAGATACCCAGGGGGAAAGCAAAGATGAAGAAAACGGATGGCAGGGAATGAGAGAGAGTTGGATGTGTGGGCTGTCAGCAGCAAGGGAGGACATTCAGAGACTGGAAATACAAAGCCATCACACCTCAGAGCAAACAGAAGCAATGCAGGTGTGTGGAAGGACCCAGCCATTGCCAGGCAAAGGCCAGTGAAGGCCACAGGTTTAGGAGAGCCATGAAGAGCTGGGGAGCCATGAGAAAGGAGGGCAGACAGGCAGTAGATGGCACCAGGATGACCTTGGTTCCTGGCCAAAATCTGTCTTAACTAGATACTGCACACATGAGGGTATTGATGGAATTGGAAAATTAGTAAGAAACGTCAATAATTGTGCCTTTATGCTTGTATTTCTTTAAAAATTTTTTTTTTTTGAGATGGAGTCTTGCTGTGTTGCCCAAGCTGGCGTGCAGTGGCACGATCTAGGCTCACTGTAACCTTCACTTCCTGGGTTCAAATGATTATCGTAGTGATTCTCCTGCCTCAGCATCCCGAGTAGCTGGGAGTACAGGCACCTACCACCATGCCGGGCTAATTTTTTAATATTTTTAGTAGAGACAGGGTTTCACCATGTTGGCCAGGCTGGTTTCGAACTCCTGACCTGATCTGCCTGCCTTGGCCTCCCAACGTACTAGGATTACAGGTGTGAGCCACCACACCCAGCCTATTTCTTTAAAATTTTTACAAATACTTTAAAAAATTACACTAAGAAGAAAAGCACTGTGCTAATTAATACAGGAAATACTAGACAAGTTTTCAAAGAGTTTATGGAGGTAAGACAAATATATAAATAACCATAATAAGGATCAAATATATTTGTCAAGAACTCTCCATCCTGTTTCATTGTTATTTAATACTTAAGCTATATTTAACATATTATTAAAGTAATCATAATAAACATGTTTAAGCCACACAGAGAGGCTACCCACCTACCCCACACAGGTAACTACCCTTTAAAAAAATTAAGTCTTTACTTTTAGAGCAGTTTAGGTTTACAGAAAAATTGAGCAGAAGGTACAAATAGTTTCCATATACCTCTATAACTGATTTTTAAATTTTTTGATATTTAGTTGTTCTGATGTTCATCATTACAACCTTAAATGGTCACTAATACTTTCTTTTCTTGATTTATTAATGCTAGATTGTATTTATTGACTTCCTGACATGAAGGATGACCTATTTGTTTCACTTATATTTTCTCCCAGCCTCTCTTCTTTTTTTCTTGTTTCAATTTTTGTTACATTCATATTTTTTATTTGAATTTATACTTCTGCAATGAAACTTTTCTTGTTTTGACTATATGCTTATTCAAAAAATTTAAACCTACAAACAGCATTTTCTATGTTATGATTATGTGAAGATTATCCAGTCGTATCAGACTTAGTGCCTGGTCATACAGAAGGAAATATCATCTGGTGTCACTAAACCATTGATGCTAAAAGAGAATATCTCAAGCGTCAAGGTCCACTGAATCATTGTTTAATTTATTTTCAACTTTCTTCATTTCTTTTAGGTCATATTCAGCCACCACAGTCTTATATCTTATATTGTATTTTTATATCTCTTTTTAATTTTGTTGCATTAGCTTCTAGCATCTTTTTTTTTTTTCTACATGAAACATAAGTTTTCCAAATTCTACATGACCAAAAAATGCCTTATTTTGCTCACATTTGACTTAATGATTTGAACATAGGTGGGTTTTAAGGATTAAAAATACTTCCTCACAACTTTAAAAACACTATTTGATTGTGTTCTAGTACCCAGACTTGTTGCTGAGAATGAATGTGACACTTTACTTCACTAAATACATGTATTCTTTAAATTACCTAGAAAAGGGCCTGGCATGAAATAAGTGCTGTATTCGTGGTTGATAAATAAAATCACCAAGACTTTTGTCTGATCTTTCTCTTATAGGTGATTACATATTTTCTGTTTGCAAACTTTTAGGATTTTTTTCTTTATCGTTGGAATTTTGAAATTTGGTCAGAGACATCCATTGTCTCTGTCTTCTATTTTTGGAATGTTTATTAAACAGCTGTTGGACTCCTTGACTCTATCCTCCATATCACCTAACTTTTCCCTCTACATTTTCCATTTTGCTTTGTCTTCTGGATCAACACCTGAGTTGTTTTATAGAAATGAAACTATGTGACTGCTGGGTATATTAATTAGATTTCTTAAAATTTCATTCTGTGTTCTCTGGACCTTGAAATACTTCTTTCTTCTTGAGTCAGCTATTTGGTTTAGTCACTGTGTTAAAGCTTCTTTCTCTAGTTCTTGCTCAAATGTCTAGTGAGTCCTGGTTATTGGTTAATACACATGAATGCATGAAGAGCTAGATTGATTAGTGTATATTGCTGTTATGGTTTCTTATTTCGTTGGGCTGGTGTGTGCCTGCAGGACTTCCTCTCATGGGAGGGAAAGTAAGTGAGTGAGTCACATGAAGGGCACTTTGAGGTGAAGCAGGCATTTGTCTTCAGCTGCCACAGCAGCTCAAGTCAGAAAGGGCTTGCTCCAGGGAAGGATACCTGAAGAAGAGCTCTCTCCTCCTCTTGTACTTCCTCCTCCTCCCTCCTCATTTTCTTGTTCGAGCTTTTCCTCCTCATCCTCCTCCCCCTTTCCTTTATGATTTGAGGTGGAGTATGGAAGTGCATGAACCTTTGCCCTCCTTCTCCCTCTGCCCCAAGCATCCACACATTGATCCTCACTTAGACAATTGTCCATTTTGTTAAGGAGTATTTGTAAAGCTTCCTCCAAGTAGACAAAAGTTCTGCTATTTGTATTCTGTATACCTTGAAGAGGAGTCAACACTTTCCTGTCTCAGTTGATCTAAAAAGAATTATTCAGTGAACTTGTCTGATGGCCTCAGAGCCTATTTCTGCTTTTTGTTGTTTATCGACACCAAGTTGCTTGTCTTGTTTCCAGCTTCTCCTGGGAGAAACACCTCCTACTTCTGGTGTTTTGGATGGTGATGTCCCTTCTATTTCATCTTTCTTCTGTCTTTCAGTATTTCTTCAAACTTTCTGATGCCCGAATTGCTCTCTTTCTTATGTGATATCCTTGTTATGATTTCACCCTTTAACCAATATCCTTTTAGTTATGTCACTGGGAACTTGGGTTGGAAAAGAGGTAGTTGTGTATGCTCATTAGGCCTTCTTGAAATGGGAGCTTCTATTTAAAGGTACTATATGAATAGAAAAATCATGCTAAGTACTGCTTCTCACTTGACTACACTAATGGGAAACAGTGCTTCCTGGACTTTTTTTTTCCCCTTAAGAGGGAATTAGCTGGTGACAAATTTGAATCCTGGCCAAATGCTTGAGGAAGAGGGAAGCTTCATTATTAGTAGCCCTGGAAACCCAGATATCTACAAAAGTGTAGCCAACACAACTGTCACTTGCTGTTCCTGACAGCTTCCATACTTGCTGGAAAGTGCAACCACCATTTCTTCTACCACCTTGACGGCTGCTGCTCTGGGAATATGGAAAAACATGAAGCCTAAACAGTTTTATTCTCTAAAGTGGGAATGGCTCATAAAGATGTGAGGAGGAAGCATTCTTTATGAGGCCTTTTGAAAATGTCCTCCTTCCTTGTGACTTAGAGTAACACATCTCTCCTCCTAAAGTATTCAGCTGGTGGGTGATGGAGAACAGGGATGCTCTTAAGATTCCGGAAATTTTCAACACAGCAAACACTATTTCCAGTTTTTCTCAAAACCTTTTGATTACCAACTTGTGCTTGGAGCCATCCTGAAAAAAATCCAAGTTGGTATATTTTATGGGTTTTATTATAGTGCTATTTATTCTCCATTTCTGATAGATAAAACCAGTGTTAAATATGCAGGCTGCAGCTCTGAAACTCCAAAACAGACTGGGTCTGTGTACTCTGCTTTCAGAGAATCAGAGGGTGGGTGAGGGGTGGGCAGCTGTAAGAGCCAATTCACAGCCTTCCACTGTGCCGCAGGGTGTATGGCTCGTGGATGCTAGCGAAAGCTGGCTTGGGAGTCAGGACACCTGGGGCTTCTGACTCAGCTTACAGGCTGTAGTAATTGGCTTGTGTCTCTGAGCAAGTCATTGAACCCCTCTGGACCTCAGTCTCCTCCTTCATAAAATGTTTAGGGTTTACTACCACCTCCTCAGGCAACTTCATGCTGGGTGATCTCCAAGGTTTATTTTGAATATTCTGTCTCTTTTGATGAGACTGCCTTTAACAACACACCAAGCATTTCTGTAAGCAAAAAGAATACAAGGAAATAGAATGCAGTGTTAGTCTGTTTAGGAAACAATATTCTCCATGCCATAGATTTATTCAGCCTAAGAAGGAGTGGAATGTCCTTCAGTGGTAAATGATTTAAGTGAGGTAGTCTTACTATAATAGTATTTCAACTAAAGAGTGTACTTAAGGGAAACTGTTGTGAGTATGTGGAATGACACATCCATAAAATATATCTCCAGTATTCTGTGTTTTTTTAGTGGCTGGGGCAATGTTCAGATTGAATACCTCAGTTTAAAAGGGACATGGATAAAGAGGAGTACATGTAAAACAATAAATTGAGGAAGATTTAGGGGTGTGCAGGAGGAGTGGTAGGGGAAGGTATAGAGAAACCACAGTGCAAAAGAAAAAAGTAAGAGGTGTGCATAGCAACATGTGTAGCTCCTAAAGACCACATTTGATAAAACATCTGTGATATTACACACTTCCATTTACATGAACTAAAAATACATGCACCAAAACAATAATATATATTATGTAAGACCACACACATACAAACATAATTTTAAGGCAATTTAGTAAAAAGAAAAAGCTAGAGGACATGGGATTATTCAGCTTGATGAACAAAAGATTTGAGAGGGATGTGATATGTATTTGTAAGTAATTAAAGACTGTCCTGTGGAAAAGAGAAGATTCACTCTGGATAGCCCTTGAAGGGAGATATGGCACTGTCTACTCTGTAGTTTGGGGTGTTGGTCAATACCAAGTACCTTTTGTCTGTCAGTGAAACCTTGCCAAATAGGCCAATTGGACATATTTAGGAGGGAGAAAAGGTAACTTGTGTTCGCTTACGTGAAAGTGACCTGCATATTGGACACATTTGATTATACGATGTCTAATGTCCATTACATGGCTAATAGTCTACATACTAAGATATGAGTAGAACAACCTCCAATTAACTCCAGAGTAGATAGGAAAGACAGAGTTATGAAGATATGTGTTGTTCAAGGGGAAAATGCCAGATGGCTAGCCACCAGAACATCCCAAGAGTGATGCTAGCTTGGTGAATTTGCCCCTGCCTAGCACTGGGCTAGAAGTACCTAATAGAACTATCATAATAGCTGTTTTCAAACTTTAATGTGCATGCAGATCACTTGGGGAACCTATTTTTTAAAGCACCATTCCCAGATGATGGCAATGTGGGAGGTTTGGGCTGGGATTAGAAGTTACTGCAGCTTAAACAACCTGGGTGATTTATATATAGGTGGTGGTTCGAGTCGGGCCAGATGTTGTAGGCAGAAGTCAGGTTTTGAAAGAGGGCTTTAATTCCTGACTTCTGGGGACCTTTTAACCCTGAGCTCCTGAGATTCTCTGCCAACAGCTTGTAAGAGACCCCTAGCTGCACTCTTTCTCCATTCTGCCTTGGTGGGTCTTGGGTTTCTCGCTTCCGGTTTCCCTGACTGTTGCAGATAGTTCCTGTCTCTCTTAACATGGACACTTGACAAGAGTTCCAGAATAATGACTAGTGAATGTCGATATTCCTGGAGATAAAAATGTTGATTTAGAAACAGATACAAATATTTAGTACAGAGTTCTTGCTTTTTGGCTGCTAATGATTCTTTGATACATCAGTGATCTTGAGTACTAATTGCATTTTTTCACATTTAAAGCCGGTTGATAAGGTTGGCTTTAGAAATGAAAGTAGTTTTCTGAAATTCTGTATTTTTTATTTGCTTACTAGTCACTTCTTCCTAACCTATATGCACAGGAGTCCAGTGGGCAGCCCTGTGGACAGGTGCATATTTCCCTGTAAAGCAGAGTCTCCATGCCTGGCTGAGCATCAGCATCAGCTGGAAGTTTCTTAAAACAGGCATTCTCAACGGCTTTCAAGTTCTGGTGTCTGAGTCTGACCCCCAGACGTTTCAATTTAATTGCTCTGAGATCTGGCCTTGGCATCAGGATTTTAAAAAAATCCCAGAGGTGGCTGGGCGCGGTGGCTCACGCCTGTAATCCCAGCACTTTGGGAGGCAGAGGCGGGTGGATCATGAGGTCAGGAGATCAAGACCATCCTGGCTAACACGGTGAAGCCCCGTCTCTACTAAAAATACAAAAAAAAAAAAAAAAAAATTAGCCGGGCGTAGTGGCGGCCCCTCTAGTCCCAGCTACTCAGGAGGCTAAGGCAGGAGAATGGCGTGAACCTGGGAGGCGGAGCTTGCAGTGAGCCGAGATCACGCCACTGTGCTCCAGCCTGGGCGACTGAGACTCCTTCTCAAAAAAAAAAAAAAAAAAAAAAAAAAAAAAGAAAAGAAAAAAATCCCAGAGGTAGTGTTACTGTGCATTCAAGTTTGAGAACCACTGTTGTTAAGTATATTTTCAAGCCTCAACCTAGAGATTTTGACTTGCTGTGTCTGGAGTGGGGCCGCAATCTGCATTTAAAACATTCTCTAATTATTTCTGATGTTCACTCTTATTTGGAAACTATCCGTACCAATGCAAACAGCTGAGATTGGGAACCAGGCAGATTTGCTTTTAATTCCTGTTTGGTTGTTCATTAGCTGGCAACTTACAACCTTGGGCAAGTCCATTAACCTCTCTAAGCTGTTTTTACATCTGTAAATGAGGGATAATATGGCATTGACTTCACGGTCCCACAGTTAAGTGTAGTGGTCACTCACCTCTACCCTGAAGTCAGACTGCTGGAGTTTGGATCCCAACTCCTCCATTGGATAATTGTGAATCATTGAGCAGATTATTCTAACCCTGTGCTTCTCAAACTTTCATGTGCACATGAATCATCTCAGGAACTTGTTAAAATGCGGGTTTTGATTTAATACATCTGAGGAGGGGCTGGGGTTTTGCATTTCTAAGGAGCTCCCAGTTCATATTGATGGTACAGACAGGGTGGGGACTGCCAGGCCCAGTGCAAAACGAGGGGCCCCTGGTTCAAAAAGCGAGAAGAAAATATTGTTAAAGGTACTAAAATATAAAGCTTTTTTCTTTCTTCCAGTCTCACTCAGCTTGTTATGCTGTGTTTTGTTATTTAATGTTGTAAAGAAATGCTGGAATTTTAAATTATTAGTATGGTTTATAATTTATCTTTATGTTGTTCAATATCATTTTTAAATGCAAATATAAGAGCATTTAACTCATATATGGATTCACTGAAATTATACAATTCATATATAATTATATAATTCGTATTTTGTAGCTGGTGCATCCATATATAATTCTTTCTTACCAAAATAGTGGTCGCACTACACAAAACAGCTGTTTTCATTTCACTTTTTTAAAAAGTATTTTATTTTTCAATTTTTTTTTAAACTTCTTTAAACTTTTGTTTTAGGTTCGAGGTACATGCACAGGTTTGATATATAGGTAAATTGCATGTCATGGGGATTTGGCATATAGATTATTTCATCAACAAGGTAATCAGCATAGTATCTAATAGGTAGTTTTTTGAACCTCTTCCTCCTCCCACTTTCTACCCTCAAGAATGAATGCCGTGGTGTCTGTTGTTCCTTTCTTTGTGTTCATGTATACTCAATGTTTAGCTCCCACTTCTAAGTGAGAACATGTGGTATTTGGTTTTCTGTTCCTGTGTTAGTTTGCTTAGGATAATGGTCTCCAGCTCCATCCACGTTGCTGCAAAGAACATGATCTCATTCCTTTTATGGATGCATAGTTTTCCATGGTGTTTGTCACATTTTCTTTATCCAGTCTACCATTGATGGGTGTTTGGGTTAATTCCTTGTCTTTGATATTGTGAATAGTGCTGCAATGAACATATGCATGCATATGTCTTTATGGCAGAATGATTTATACTTCCTTGGGTAAATACCCAATAGTGGGATTGCTGGGTTGAATGGTAATTCTGTTTTAGGAACTTAAGCAAATTTACAAGCAAAAAACAAACAACAACAAACAACACCATTAAAAAGTGGGCAAAGAACATGAACAGACACTTTTCAAAAGAAGAAATACATGCAGCCAACAAGCATATGAAAAAATGCTCAGCATCATTAATCATTAGAGAAATGCAAATCAAAACCACAGTAAGGTACCATCTTACACCAATCAGAATGGCTATTACTAAAAAGTCAAAAAATAACAGTTACTGGTGAGGCTTTGGAGAAAAGGGAATGCATATACACTGTTGGTGGGGATGTAAGTTAGTTCAGCTGTTGTGAAAAGCAGTTTGGTGATTTCTCAAAGAACTTTATTTTAGATTCAGGAGTTACATGTACAGGTTTGTTATCTGGGTATATTGTGTAATGTTCAGGTTTAAGCTTCTGTGAACCCATCACCCAAATACTGAATGTAGTACCCAACAGGTAGTTTTTCAGTCCATATCCCTGCCCCCAGTGACTATTATTTCCATCTTTATGTCCATGTGTACCCATTATTTAGCTCCCACTTATAAGTAAGAACATATAATATTAGATTTTCTGTTTCTGATTTAGTTCCCTTAGGATAATGACTTCCAGTTCCATCTATGTTGCTAAAAAGGACATGATTTCATTCTTTTTTATGGTTGCATAATGCACAGTGTGTGTGTGTGTGTGTGTGTGTGTGTATGTGTGTATATATATATATATATATATGCATATATAATATTTTCTTTAGTCAACCATTGATGGACAGTAGGTTGATTCTCTAACTTTACTGTTGTGAATAGTGCTGTGATAAACAAAAGCAGGTGTCTTTCTTATATAATGATTTCTTTTCCTTTGGGTAGATGCCAAGTAGTGGGATTGCTGTGTCCAATGGTAGTTCTATTTTTGTTCTTTGAGAAATCTCCATTGTATTAGTCTGTTCGTAGCTGCTAATAAAGACATACCTGAGGCTGGGTAATTTATAAAGGGAAGAGGTTTAATTGACTCACAGTTCCACATGGCTGGGGAGGCTTCACAATCATGGTGGAAAAGCAAGGGATGTCTTATGTGGCGGCAGGAAAGAGAGAATGAGAATCAAGCGAAAGGGGAAAACCTTTATAAAATCATCAGATCTCCTGAGGCTTATTCATTACCATGAGAACAGTGTGGGGGAAACCGCCACCATGATTCAATTATCTCCCACCGGGTTCCTCCCACAACACATGGGAATTATGGGAGCGACAATTCAAGATGAGATTTGGGTGGGGGACTCAGCCAAGCTATATCATCCCTATTATTTTCCCTAGAGTTGTACTAATTTACATTCCCACCAACAATGTATAAGCATTCCCTTTTCTCTTCATCCTTGCCAACATCTCTTATATTTTTTACTTTTTAATAATAACCATTCTGACTGGTTTGAGATAATATCTCACTGTGGTTTTAATTTGCATTTCTCTGATGATTAGTGATGTTTAGCATTTTTCTCATATATTTGTTGGCCGCATATGTGTCTTCTTTTGAAGTGTCTGTTCATGTCTTTTGCCCACTTTTTAATGGGATTGTTTTTTACTTGTTGATTTGTGTTAGTTTCTTATCGATTCTGGGTATTAGTCTTTTGTCAGATGCATAGTTTGCAAATATATCTCCCACTTTGTAGGTTGTCTGTTTACTCTGTTGATTGTTTCTTTACTGTGCAGAAACTCTTTAGTTTAATTAAGTCCCATTTATCTAGTTTTGTTGCATTTGCTCTTGAGGTGTTAGTCATAAATTCTTTACCTAGGCCAATGTCCAGAAGGTTTTCCTAGGTTTTCTTATAACATTCTTATAGTTTCAGGTCTTATATTTAAGTCTTGAATCCATCTTGGTTAATTTTTCTATATGATGAGAGATAGGGATCCAGTTTCCTTCCTCTGCATATGGCTAGCTAGTTTTCCCAGCACCATTTATTGAATAGGGTGTCCTCTCTTTATTGTTTATTTTTGTCAGCTTTGTTGAAGATCAGTTGGTTATAGGTATGTGGCTTTGCTGCAGGTTTCTCTATTCTGTTCCACTGATACATGTGTATATTTTTGTCTATTTTTATATGACACATGTGTCTATTTTTGTATTAGTACCATGCTGTTTGGTTACTATAGATTTGCAGAATAGTTTGCAGTCAGGTAATGTGATGTCTCCAGCTTTGTTATTTTTGCTTAGGATTGCTTTTGCCATTCAGGCTCTTTTTTGGTTCCATATGAATTTTAGAATTGTTTTTTCCAATTCTGTGAAAAATAAAACTGGTAATGTGCTGAGAATTGCATTGAATCTATAGATTGCTTTGAACAGCATGGTCATTTTCACAATATTGATTCTTCCTATCCATGAGCATAGGATATTTTTCCATGGCTATTGTAAATGGGATTGAGTTCTTAATTTGGTTCTCAGCATGAGCATTGTTAGCATATAGAAATGGAACTAATTTTTATACAATGATTTTGTATCCTTATTCTTTATTGAAGATGCTTTTCAAGTTAGGAGTCTTCTGTGGTAGTCTTTGGGGTTTTCTAGGTGTACAATCATGTCATCAACAAACAGAGATAATTTGACTCGCTCTTTCCCAATTTGGATGCTGGTCCTCTGCGGTTGCCAAAGTCAGAGAAGTTTCTAGGGTATGTTGGTGGGGGTATCTGGTGATGTAGTAACTCAAGGTGTAAGGTTCCCCAGGCAGAGAGCAGTGGCCCACAATAATTACACAACCACTCTGGTGCTTGCCATCTCAGTTCAGGCCTGAGGGGAGTACAGGTGCCCCTGCGTGAGCTGGCCCCTGGTTCTCTGTCCCCGGGAAGTCCTCAAATCACTACTAACAGCATTGCACTGGGTTGTGAGGGCAGAGGTACTCCTTGACAATTTAGCAGTCAGGAGATTGTTCCAGGGGTGAGGGGAGCACAGAAGCACCCCCACCTACCCTTTCCATGTGGCTTCGAGTTCCTCAGGGGTCCATCTTTGCCAGATGCCTGCTGCTTTGCTTTTCTGCATCCCAGCTTCTTCCCGTGGGCACTCTGACAGAGCCTGGCTCTCTTCCTTTAGTTTTCCATTCAGATGATGACCATTCACCTGGAACATTGAACTTCTTTGAGGAGAACTGACATCTGATGTTCCTAGTCAGCCATCATGAAAAAGAAATTATTTCACTTCTTGATACACACATACATAGTCTATAATATTTTCTACCTTCAGGTTATTTATGAGTAGGGAAGAATTCAAAGAAAAGGAGCTGTGAGTTTCTCTTATCTTTTCCTCCTGTGTCATTTTCAGCATGTGTCTGACTAACACAGGGATGAAAGGATTCCTTGGTAGCTTGTGCTTCTTAGAATGCCATTTTCTTCTTTCTGTATTCAAAGCATGTGCCGTTGCAAAAGGAAGGTATGGTTTCTTGGAGCTGCCACCACTCTCGCTTACTAAGTCATGGACTTAACATGCTTACCTTGTACTTGCTTTGAGTCTTACTGAACTCCCACATATCATGAGTCCAATGGAATTCTGTGATTATGGACATTGCAAATGCTATTTGTGAATGGGGTGTCAAGGAATGGTAAATATATATGTTGCCTGCATCGCCTTTGTGTGTGTGTGTGTTTCAGTGCATTTTTACTTACAAAACGCAAGTTGAAAGATAAAATTGTTAAAAAATTCAAGACAACAGAACATTAAACAAAGTGTGGCCATCCTAAGCGAATGACCCCATGTGACTGTAGAAGTTGTACACCCAGGCCAGGCGCAGTGGCTCATGCCTGTAATCCCAGGACTTTGGGAGGCCGAGGCAGGCAGATCACCTGAGGTCAGGAGTTCGAGACCAGCCTGGCCAACATGGTGAAACCCCCTCTCTACTAAAAATACAAAAATTAGCTGGGTGTGGTGGCAGGTGCCTGTAGTCCTAGCTACTTGGGAGGCTGAGGCAGGAGAATTGCTTGAACCTGGGAGGCAGATGTTGCAGTGAGCCGAGATCGTGCCATTGCACTCCAGCCTGGCTGGGGGACAAGAGCGAGACTTCATCTCAAAAAAAAAAAAAAAAAAAAAAAGAAGTTGCACACCCATGAAGCCAACCCATGCCATATTTGAGTAGCAAGGATCTAGTCTCTCCAGGATTGCTATGAACTGAGAGTAGAGAAACGGTACGTACCTTGCAGGCAGATCCCATCATGTAGTAGGACTTAGCAAATGTTGATTCCTTTGTTTTCTTGTTTTCCCACTTCTCCCCTCTGAAGAAATAGTTGCTCCATAGAAAATCCTCCACAGTACTGAAATGAGGCTGCCTCACCATTGGGGATAGTGAAAAGGACAATTTCCTTTGAACACACTCATTTTCTGATTGAAGAGTAAGTAACCCAGGGCTGGGCTGGGCTTTTTCTCCAGCCCTGAGAAGAGATATATGACTCATCATGGCCAAGTGTGGTCAGGGGCCTAGGAACTCCTGTATTAGAGTTCTAGGGAAGAAAAAGAGAACTAGTTTCTCAATCACTGAGTGGGAGGACTGCAGCATTTGCCTGTGTTTGTCCCTTGTCTTCCTGCTGCTTTTGTTCTCTGAGCTAATTCCTGTTTGAAGAGCTGATATTTAATTCAACAGCCCCCCATGGAGCCTTGTGCCTGTGATAGAAGTTTCTAAAAATCTCTCAGTCAACAACATGATAACAGCTGCTCTTTGAAACTCTGGGAGCTCTAGATTGGGGAGGTGCTGGGGGAGGGAGAACTAAGGGAGCCAGGGATTGGGGCTGGGGAATGCACTATTTGTTAAGGATAATGAGGCAAAAATGTGACAGAGGTTTTTATTACAAATAATAGACAGAAGTCTTCAAACAACAGCAGAGAGTCATTAAAAAAAGAAACAGAGTTAAATAATTGTCTAATTAGCAGGCACCAAGAAGGAAAAATTTATTCCATTAGAACTTCTTAAGGGAGAGTCAATAAATTCACAGCTGGGTGTTCGCTTTCTCAGGAATACAGAGAATGTGGATTTTCCTGGTGCCAAGTTGTTCTTCCATTCCTCGGCCAAGTTTCCATTCTGATTAACTCAAGGTGAGCCTTACCTCAGAGAACTGCTAGGTTCAATTGCTTTACTCAATCATGTTATTAAGCTCTGGCCCAACTAGTGGGACTTAAAGTCAGGAACTGCAGGTACTGCTACTATTAACAATTCTATCAGCTGATATGCACATAGTGCTTCCCAGCTTATGAAACATGTTGACATAGATTATTTCATCAAATTCTTACAGCCAGTCAGTAAGCGTGGCTGAGCTTGTATGAATGTTGAGCATGGGTAGCAACCACCTGGTGGGAACCCAAACCATCTGGAGCCATGCAGATCACTGTCTGCATTAATATGACTTATTTCAAGAAATTCTTGCCCAGGAATACGATGTTGCGAATTATTATTTGGCTATAAGACTTCCTGGAACCCATTTATCTGAATGAAAGATGATCCAACTATCCCTTGTTAGAATAAATAACTCACTTTTGGGACAAGAGGTCACTTCAGACTTACCATGCCACTGTTTACTCTTCCAGATTCACTTGGAACCCTTTCCTTGCTATGGCCATTAATCCTAAACTGCTTTATCAGGAACTTGGCCCAATCTGAGTTAGTTTCCTTCCTTGGATACCTGCCTTAAACCAGATCCTCAAACCTCATAAATATCCCTCCTAGAAAATAAGACTCTGTCAAGGGAGTATTCTTTCTTATTTCAGTAGGCAATGAACTTGATGCTGTTTTATCAACAAGTTGATTAAGTGATGATTAGGGTATCAGTAATCAACATTGATTTGAACCCTGGCTAGCTACAACACTTCCTAGCTGTGTGATCTTGGGAAACATTTCTGAGATGGTTAATACTGAGTGTCAACTTGATTGGACTGAAGGATGTAAAGTATTGTTCCTGGGTGTGTCTGTAAGGGTGTTGCCAAAGGAGATCAATGGACTGGGAGAGGCAGACCCACCCTCAATCTGGGTGGGCACCATCTAACCAACTGCTAGCGTGGCTAGAATAAAGCAGGCAGAAGGACGTGGAAGGACTTGACTTCCTGAATCTTCTGGTCCTCATCTTTTCCCCGTGCTGGATGCTTGCTGCCCTCAAACATCGGACTCCAAGTTCTTCAGCTTTGGGACTCTTGGACTTACAAGCTCTCTGGCCTTCGGCAACAGACTGAAGGCTGCACTTTCGGATTCCCTACTTTTGAGATTTTGGGACTCAGACTGGCTTCCTGGTTCCTCAGCTTGCAGACGGCCTATTGTAGGACTTCACAAGGTGATGTCAATTCTCCTAATAAATGCCCCTTCATCATATATACATCTATCCTATTTGTTCTGTCCCTCTAGAGAAACCTAATACAATTTCTTAACCTGTCTGTGCCTCATTTTTTGCGTATTTAAAATGAGTGCCAACCACAGTGGGTTATTATAAGTTTTAAATGAGTTAATACAGGAGAAGCCCTCATGTACTTGGCATATAACAGGATCTCAATAAATATGGGAAACGTTGCTCAAAGGGCAGAAACTTTTCATTATAAATTATGGAGATCTCATGTGCAGCCTGGTGACTGTAGTAAATAATACTGTATAATACTGTATCGTTTACTTGAAATTTGATAAGAGAGTAGATTTTTGTGTCCTTAACACACACACACACACACACACACACATATGTAACTATGCATGGTGATGGATGTGTT
Organism: Homo sapiens; assembly: GCF_000001405.40. Classification (NCBI taxonomy): domain Eukaryota; kingdom Metazoa; phylum Chordata; class Mammalia; order Primates; family Hominidae; genus Homo; species Homo sapiens. Next base: position 118,770,592 of record NC_000003.12, on the reverse strand, counting down.
AGTTTTACTGCAGTAATCATTATATAGTATATATGTACATCAGATTATCATGTAATAACTGAATATATACACTTTTTCTCAAATATGTTGCAATAAAAAATACACATGTAGCCATATATATAATCTACCTTTATATTTATTGCTTATATATTATTTATATATTATTTAAATCTGTCAAATGGGCTGACCAATGCTCTCATCCATTTTCCTGATATACACTTCCCTAAAGCAAAGCTGCCTAAGGGAAATAAAATACCATATGCTTTTGATTCACAATGACATTACATACTTAATTTCCTCCATTTCTAAAATGGCATCAGCTAGAAAATATCAATTTAAACATAGTTGAGGGCAAAAAAAGGTAACACTACCATACTAAGTGTATACATTAGTTATAACGTGCATACCATTTTCAGAAATTATAAAATGTAGGACAAACTATCTAAGGATTAAGTGAAATTGCAGTTCTCTCCTGAAGCCTTCAGAGAACTCATGGGGAAAATGGAAGTTTCTTTGAGGTGCTTTCAAACCCATCACTATAGCTAAGTGCTTTATGAGTCCCTCCTGGGGGCAGGAGAGGCCAGCTTGGAGAAAAGGGCAGTGAGTGTAAATTCATTCACACATTTGAGTACCTCACAGATTTGGTCTTGGGGCCCTATGTTTGCAGATACTTGGAGTGTGTTTGTTGCAGGCTGGAGCTAATGTTAGCCTAAGGGAGGCCTAGGAGAGGAACCCTCCTCCCACAGAGCTGGCACTCTGCTTGGCTGTGCTGACAGAAAGTATTGATGCAGCCATCATTTGCTGTCTCATAGAGAACATTTGCTTCATGTCTACTCATTGGTCTCTTCCTCCTTAGTCTCACCTCATAGCCTATTCATTACCGCTGAAAGTGATTCAGATTGTCAAGGCCCATCTTCTATACAGCGCTTCCCAAAGTGACGTCGGTAGACCAGTACCAGTAAGAAAACTGTTTCTAGTCTGATAAGGTGAGTAGAGAAATTGAGAGTGTTTAGACATTTTATAGCCATTTAACCTAGCCATGAAATCCTAGTAGATGATCAATGACCTTATCTCACTGAATAGGGTATGGGAAATTTCAGGTATTGTGTTCTGCCCATGGTGAGGTGCATAGAGGGCAAGCTACATACTGCTCATGTGCAGTGGCACTACATTCTAGCCTGCAGTGGGCTGAACATTAAACAATCAAACAGAGCAAACAATTAAAAAGACTGGCCCATCACCACAGATAGACTGAGAATACTGTTCTAAAAGGTAGTCATTTTTATATGGACGTATATATTGTACCTGGCCTTTCAGCAGCTGCCACCGTATCATGGAAAGGCCTTGGAACACTAACCTGGGACCAAGAGTTCCCAGCCCAAATAGCTGAGAATGATTAATGTTTATAGTTCATTTGTATTTGACATTGTTCTATAAACCAAAATGTAATGCTGTATTAAAGCTGTCTAGATGTGGACAAGTATGGATTGCCTACTTCTTTACTACATGAAAATTATGGTTTGAAGCAAGTTTTAAAGAAACTGTGGAATGTAGACATACATCAGCATACTTCTGCGGTGTTCAGTATTAATCAGAACATGATGTTGGCTTGTGGCATCACTGGTCTCACTTCCAGTGTGAAGCCTTTCTGAGCTGTCCTTCCTATAGTTCAGGAATACTTTTGGTGTTAGGAAAATAAGTATTTCCTTCCAGAGGCTCTAGAAGTTTTTCTTTATCAAAGCAAAGTGATAAGATGCTCTCTTAACAGTCATTCATTTCAAAGGGCAATTTCTTAATGACTTGACCCTCTAACTCTCTCATAGTTAGACCATGAGAATGTACCTTAATTAAAACAAAAGTTTACTTGATTTAGATTAAGCAACTATATCAAAGGTCTTCCCCTTCTTTCTCTTCAATAATCCTCTAACATTCCTTAAGTTTCTAACTATAGCTGACAAAATTGTTTTTAATGTAAAATTTATACATTTCTTCCCTATGGAATTATGTGTGTGTGTGTGTGTGTGTGTGTGTGTGTGTGTGTGTATATATATATAGTTTGAATAGACAGACTGTTTTAACATTGTTTTTCAGAGTCACTTGCAGTATCTATCTGTTTCTGAACCCTCTCTGTTGTATGTTAACTTGAAAGTTACAAGTTGAGCATCCCTAATCAGAAGATCTTCAAACCATAATGCTCAACAATCCCAAACATTTTGAGTGACAACGTGATGCTCAGAGGAAATGCTCATTGCAGCGTACTGGATTTCAAATTTTAAGATCAGAGATGCTCAATCGGTATGCATTTCTGCAAATACAGTCATGTGTCACTTAATGAAGGGGCTGCATTCTGGGAAATGTGTCATCAGGTGATTTCATCATTATGTAAAAACCATAGGGTGTACTTATACAAACCTAGATTTTATAGCCTACTACACACCTAGCCAATATTATTCCCTACCCCTAAACCTTCCATTACCTTCTCACTTCCTACAGAAGAAGCTCTAGACTCTTCAGGGACTGGGCTCCCCTAAATGGCTTTTCTAATTTTGTTTTCCACCAAATCCCCCATTGTCCTATGTTCTAGTCCTATAAATAATGAATATGTGTCTTTCTCTTTCACATTCTAGGCCTTCAGTTATATTCACCCGTCAACCTACAATGCCTTTTCCTTTATTCTCACCCTTTTGTGCTCCAGTCCTACATCCTTCTTAAATCCTTCTTGGTTCCTCCCATGTAGAATGAGCTGTACCTCTGTGGGGCCTCCATAGACATTCCTTGTACCTCAGGCTAGTGCTTTTTTAAATTCTGTCATATTTTCTAATTAGTCGTTCTGAGACTGTCCTGATGAAATTATATGCATTTTTGAGAGCAGGGGAAGTGTTGCATTCTTCCCTTCTCCAACACAAGCATGATGTCTTGGTGACATCCGGCTTTCAATGTTGGTAGAATGATTGAATATGGGTGACACAGGAGCAACTAAGGAGATACAGCCCAAGCTGTAACATATTGTTTTTTCCATACTACTCTGTTTGCTACCTGGTTCTTCACTGCAGTGGCAGCCTGCTCAACAGTGGGGACCCTAGTCCTTTCCTGACTATCAAACACCTGTGCTTTTAAAAATCATGATGAATTGCCTGCGTTTTCTCATGTTAGGTTTATAGCAATACTTTTCTTAGAGCTTCTTCTGATGTCTCTTCAATCCCTTCCTCAGTTTTAGTAAACATGTAGTCTTTTATAATATTTGAAAATACTGTATGTTTGTAGAACTTATAGTAGTAAAGTGAATAAATTTCAGCCAAAGAGCAGGAATTCCACGTTGAGGTCAGAGAAAGTATGGAATGTTGTTCATTATCCATATATCACTGCGGCAAGAATCCAAGATATTTTGTAAATGGCCCAAGATCAATAGTGATAAGTGGCCTGAGAGATCATACACCAAGACTTTCTAGAGGCAGTTGCAAAATGTGATGTTGCTAGTTATAATCAGACTTTTTCCAATTTCCTATTATAGGTAGTTACGTTATTAATATGTTTTTCATTCAGTGGCTTTTCTTTTGTGTTTATAATTTAGAATGAACACATTCAAAAGCTTCCTAATAATGTTTTTGAATTATTTTTACAGGTGTGATGTTAAACTGAGAAACTACATTTTCTTTTGTTTGGCTTCAAATGCGTTGATTTCCTTGTGTGAGATGGGTTTGCTTTATCTATCATATTTTACACTTTTATTCTTGTATTTGTTTCACACTGTACGTTTCCTTCATGAAAATTGTTACACACTTATAGGATTCTTGGTTTAATATCTGTCTCCCCTGCTAGACCGTAAGCTCTATGAGGACAGGACAATGTGTGGCCTGTTCATCCCTGTATTAGTAACTAGCCAGTGCCAGGCACACATGTATCAGTGCTCAATAAATATTTGTTGATTAAATAAATGAATCTATTATTTATTCATTATATATTTTCTACTTTCTACCATTGTTCCCCCATGTAATTTTGAACAGAAATGAAGAAAACTGGCCACTTATCTATGTGAATCTTGTGTCCCCCCTGATGTTTTGTTTTGAATCTGCAAAAACAAAGGTACTTTAGTCAGTTTCAGTCTGGGGGCAGAGCCATTTTGAGTCATAAAGAACAGTTTTACAATAGGATGACCCAACACAGTTGAAGGGTTAAATTACAGGGAAGAAAATCACTCAGCTACATGCTAATGTAGCAATGGGTGAGGGATTGATTTAAAAAGTGTTTACATTCAATCCTTTATTTCCTCCTTTGCTATAACTCTCTATCCTCCTTTACTTATTTATTTCATGACTCCCTGGGTTATTATTTCAGCTTTACCCCAGATTAGGGGTAGAGACTAGGATCATAACAGCTATCTTTTTCTTCTCCTAAGTGTAAGAGGTGCTCATTGGAGCTACCTTATGGGTACAGCAGAATAGAGACTAGGAATGCAGGTTGGGTCTCTTTTCTTAGCAATATGGACTCAGGACACCATAAAGTAAATGGAAGGATAAAATGAGAGCAAAATACTTTCAAAACTCCTTATAGTTTATGTGTTCAATAAATATTAAGTTGCTATTATACGCAAGGCATTGTTCTAAATACTTATAGTTTATTGCTTATGATTAACTTTAGTTAACCGCAGATTAAAAATACTTATCAGTGTAGATACTGAATGGGTTTTAGTGTGAATTACTAATCCCTCTTCCTAGTGGACACTGAAGCTAAGAATGGCTACTCATTTTCTCTCCTGCTGTGCATCCTCTTGTTTTTTACCTTCCAGTTCTTCTTCCTTGGCCAGAGCTAAAAAGTGTTGGTCCATGCCAAATTGGGTAGTTATTGGTAGCAAAATTGGTTGTGCTCCCTGGAGAAATCTCTTGCTCCTTATGTTACTACTCAAAGGCCAGTCCCTTGTATACTCAGAGCTCAAGCCCGGTGCAGCTCATATTCCTTCTGTTGTTATGCTGTTGTTACCAGCTGATTGTATACCACTTTCTGTAACACAGTACATTAGAAGTTATGGCTACTTTTTATGCAACTCTTCCTAGAAATAAAAAGATTATCTTTATAATAAAGGAGCTATCTTGAAGATAGTGTTTTTTAATTTTTAAACTTAAATTTCTTTTTATAGTTTTAAGGCAAAAAACAAAAGAGCTCTTTCTGTGGAGAGCTGCATGAAAAACTATTTCTCCATTTCTCTAAAGCCCTTTCATACTGAACATTTCTAATCTTTCAGTGCAAGTGCATTCTTTCTGAGAGATGGCTCATCTCTTGGACTATTTGTCTGGGAGATTTGTGAGAGATTTCTGCTGCTGACTGAGGCAAAAATTTGCTTTTGAGCTTTTTCCCACTCCCCATGTAAATACCAATTTTCTGTCACTTTGTGAATTATGTTTCCTCTCTCTCTCTCTCTCTCTCTCTCTCTCTCTACCATAGTGATATACATGCCACATAGATAAGTTCTTCAAACCTTTACATTCCAGGTCAAAAATTATCCTTGGCCCATATGGTTGTTTCCCTTCTTTCCTGTGTTTGAAAATAAAGCATAATGTAAAGGGGATCATTTGGGAAGTAGACCCAGTGTCTGGTGTCATTATAGACAAAATATCAACCTAGGTCTTCATCTATTTCATTAGGGAGTGTGACATTAATTTTGTGTGTCAATCTGACCAGGCTGTGGAGTGCTGAGATGTTTGGTTAAACATTACTCTGGATGTGCCTGTGAGGGTGTTTCTGGATGAGATTAACATTTGAGTCACTAGACTGAGTAAAGCACATTTCCCCCACCCCATGTAGGTAGGCCTCACCCAATCGTTGAAGGCCAGAATATAACAAAAGTCTGAATGAGGAAGAATTTGCTCTCTCTGCCCATCTTTGAGTTGGGACATGGGTTTTGTCTTGCCTTTAGATTCTGACTTGGCCTGGGATGTCTACCATAAGCTCCCCTGGTTCTCAGGCTTTCGGGCTCAGGTTGGAAGTGTACCATTGGTTCTCCTGGGTCTTCAGCTTGCCAGCTGCAGAGCTGGGGACTTCCTAGCCTCCATAATTGCGTGAGTCAATTCCTTATAGTAAATTTCTCTCTCTCTATCAATCAATGTAACATATATCTATAATTCGTATCTACATTCTTTTGGTTCTGCTTCTGGAGAACCCCCATACAGGAAGCATATTTTAGAAAGTCACAGAAAGCATTATTGGTTCATTTTGATGAACTCATTTTGATGAATCAATTCAGTTCATCGGCTATTTATTAAGCATCTGCTAGATTCAAAGCAATGAAATGTGCTAAGTGCTGCAAGGACCATAACGATAAAGGAGTGTCCAGCTTTACAGCAAGTTTTTAAACTTGCTCTTAAATTATCATAAGGCAGGGGGTTTTAATAGCCTTGAAAGGGATGCTACCCAAATGTTTGGAAGTTTTGGTGGAAGGGAAAGAGACTTTGGTTATGTAGTGTGGGGAAAGCTTTATAAATTAGGAGGCAGCACAAGTAAAGCTCAGTTCTCTAATGTCACTCAATTTCCCAACTATTGTCCTCCTTCTCTTATTTATATGCAAACAACCCTGAACTCCCCTGGTTGGTATTGCAGGACATGTTAAAATCATGAAGATACTATTCTTAATAAAGATTTAATACTCATTCAATCAAATAACATAGCATCAAAAGAAATAGAGCAAAAACTATCAATGCGAAGTAGACTGAAACATATTAGTACAAGTAGACTTTAAATAGCTTTCCCCTCAGTGCATCAACAAATTAAGTGGACAAATGAGTAAGTAAAAATGCAGAAGAGCTAGAAAACATAATTAACAACGTAGCTCTAACTGATATAGCTACATCAATCTACAGTGCACCATACCCTGAAAATAGAGAAACAATCTTCTTAACAAGTACTGTGAAACATTTACAAAAGTAGAATTATATTAGGCCCTAAAGAAACATTCCAAAAAATTTTAAAACTATAGAAAGCCATCTCAGAATCTAACACAATAACATTAAAGATTAATTAACAAACCAGAAAACAAAGATTTCTGACATTAGTAAACTAAAATCTCTTTCTTAAACCCTTTTTAGGTTAAAAATGAACTCAAAACTGAAAGTGGAGAATATCCAGAAAATTAACATAATAAATTGTGTATCAGAATATGAGGAATGTAATTAAAGCTAAACTCATCAAATTAAAAGAAAGCAGTCTTAAATATTTATAGTAATGCTCTCTATGAAAGTAGAAAAACTGAAAATACTAAAAACTACTAAGTAAAACAGAAGAAAAGAACTAACAAAATAAGTTCAGAAATTAAGAAAGTCCTAAGTGGAAGAATTGCATGAGCCCAGGAGCTGCCGTGGGCTGTGATTGTGCCACTGCACTCCAGCGTGGGTGACAGAGTGAGACCCTATCTCAGAAAAAAAAAAAAAAAAGGAAGAAAAAGAAATTAAGAAAGTCATAAACAGAAAAACAATGGAACTAATAAATTCAAGAACTGTATTATAAATAAAAACATTAAAAATAACAATCAACTAACCTGATAAAGATACGCAGTAAAGAAAATACCATTTGCAAATATTTCCTTAAGGAAATACAAAAGCAGGTTCTGCAAAGAGTGATGCTGCAGGTTCAGTTTCTAGGGTCTGTTTTTTTGCGATGTTCATTACTATGGTTTCTTGTTTTGACTTGCAGCCTTTACATTGTCTTCCTTTCAAATAGGTGACACTATTTCCTCTTGTGAATGAAGAGATTGGTTGTTCATGCAGCACAGGAATTGAACTGTGGATCTTAGTCCCTGGGGGCTTCAGGAACCATTGTCTACACTCTCCTCCTGCCTGTTCCTCACCTCTAACACTCCATGGTGAGGGTGACATAGTGAGAAGGCCCTGGATTAGGGATCATGCTACCTGAGTTATATTAATAATTACATTTCTGCTATGAATTTGGGTATTCTCAGGCCAAAGCCTCTCGGAATCCCTGTTTTCTCTTCTGCAAGACAATGAGTTTGGATTTGATAATTTCTTCTGAAGTCTCTTACAGAGATAATATTTTGGATGCAATATCTTTTGATTGTTGGTGTCCTGTTCTCCATAACTTCTGTAGTTACTAATACTTGGTTGCCCTGCCCTCTACTGTCTTCCACCTAGGGTAGTGTCATGTCATCAGCTGGAGTATGCAGTGACTTCAGATTTTTTTGGCAACTTTGCCAATACTAGTTATCAAAATTTCAGCAATTCATTTTCTCCTTGAACATCTGTACCAAAACATTTTTTATTTGGTTTTGTTGTGGTGATTGACAGTTCAATAAGAACTAAGCCAAACTCTTAAGCACTTCTTTTTCAAACCAGGAAATATATATATATATATAATTTTTTTTTATTGAATCCTACTTTAGTCAGTCCATTTTCATCCAAGTTCAGAGCTACCGGGATTGATCAGAACAGCCATCCATTCCAGATTGTGTTTTTGCCATATCTAAAGGAAGGTATTAAATATATTATGTATTTGGGGTTTTCTCAAAGGTAGTTTACAGAGAGTAGATATGCTACCAAAAGGTTTATAAAAACAAAATAACCATGACCAAAAAAAAAAAAAAAAAAAACCCCAACCTTCCACAGCACCTTTTCTCTAATATCCATAAAAATGTTGGGTAATTCTTGGAGGAGGCAAATTTTGCTGACGTTGATCTACAAAGGAAGTAGTTCTTTACAAGGCCAGAATATGCAGTAATACATAACAGCTCTTCCCCACCGCCCCCCCCATAAGGTCTGCTTACTTGGATACTTGTTCATCTGCCTGTACTAAGCAGCCTGCAACCCTGTCCTATTATTATTACTGATGCTAATCAGTCTCTACTGAGCACAGGTCAGAACCAGGACAGAATGCCAGCTCCAGTCTGTAAGGCATCACATTTTGTGAGCCATTAATGAGCGTTCATGAATTTAAAAAAAGCAGAAAAAAGAAAGGAGAACTCAGTTTGCATTTGGAGAGTGAGATAGTAAATAGAGAATAGAAAAGAATTTACATACATAAGAAATTATAAAATTCATTCAAAACTTACATGCTGAAATTTTCCTTCCTTGTTCTTCCTGACTGGATACAATGTCAGGGAGTGAGTGATGAACTAGGCTTTGGGGTGAGGCTGTTGTTTGCTCAGTGTTGGAACTGCACTTTCCTTTTTCTTTTACTACCTGTGTAAGTGCAGCCACATAGCTACTTAGTGTGAGTGAAGAGGGGATGGGGAGACTCCTCCAATCAGTAATGTCCTGAGATTGTTGGTATTGATTTTTCCTCCTGAGTGACACAAGTTAAGTGGCTCTTGACAGGAATTTTCTTCTTGATGACAATTGACTTCTGATTGCCTGGACATCTCACAGCCATTGGCAGGAGAGACTGGCACCTGCAAGGAGAAGCTCAGAGTGTCTCCAGCTCCATTGCAAGCTTTCCCCACTAGGATGCTCTTACACTGCCTCCATGAGGGGCCAGGTGGCAGCAAAGGAGAAATGTTACAAAAGACGCAGGCCTGTTTGCTGTGGACCTTTGATCCAATCAGCTTGGCAACTCTGGAAATTCCTGATATGTTAATTGGCTTATCAGCATCATTATCATCATTATCCTTATTATTATACTTTGGGATGGGCCTGTATAATCCCAAAGATATACAGATGGAAAGTGAAAATGTTTTTAATCATCTGAAGAGTTTGCTTGCAGGTCACTAAACATGAGAATGACTGATGAATCATGCTTCATTCTGCCCATTTTCATCCAAATTTAGAGCTATTACGTTTAATAAATAAACATGAGAATAACTGATTCAAATGTCTGAGTGTTATGCAAAGTAGGTTTTAGATACAGATTTCTAGACTGGTGACTAACTGGGGAGAAGGAGCAGGGCTCTGAAGACTGATTTCCTTGACACTTGGTTAGGATAGAAAAGCAGAGATTAAACCATCGGGAACATCGGAGACGCTCTTTGCTTTACTTTTTTGGACAAGACAATGAAAATATTTACTTATAATGTGTACTTTACTTTCAAGGAAAACTTGAGGCAGCCCAAATTGAAACATGCAAAATAGTAGAGTTAAAATGTAGACAGAGAACTCAGAAATTTAGGTGAAGAACAGAGGGAATTTTACTAGAATAGTTAATGCAATTGAACACCAAACTTGGTTCTGATCAAAAGTCAACAATAATAGTAGCTATAAAGATATTAATAATAGTTACAATTACCTTGTAGCAAGTGTTTTTATGCATTATTTCTAATCTTTGCAACAACTTCACAAACAATAACAAAAAATCCAGAGGCTCAGAAAAGACAAATAATTTGACAAGAGCCACAGACACGGTAAGTGATGGAGCCAAGATTCAGATTCAGAACTCCCTGAGTTCAAAGCCCATATGTGATAAAACATATCTTTGCGGGACGTATTCCTGGCCTCTACAGGGCAAGATACTGAGATATAAAATGCCTGACAGCCCTAGTAAAGGCCCAGTATTGGAAAGAATTATGCAGTCCTACAGCCACTCATCAGTGAGTTGCCTTGGAATGTTGATTGTGTGTTTGTCAGAGGAGGATTTTTGGTATGCATACTGGTTCAATTTCTGAAAAGCCCCTTAGGAAACGAGCTTCCAGGGTCCATATTTCTATTGCAGAAACTGTTAGAGCCACCTAAAATATAGCCTTTTTTTTTTTTTTTTTTTGTTTAACCACTCCATAAAGGAAGTCTCAGTTGCTCTGTACTAAGATGGGAAGAAAGGCTCATAGTTTGACTCTAGCACAAAGACCTGAGCAAAAGGAAGCTGACCCTGGCCACCTGATGCCACCATCCAGATGGCATGGCAGACTCAAGCTCCTCATGCTAGAAACTAGGATTATGGTTAACTAGGAGTCTGGGACTCTTGGTGGCATCTTTTTTTGTGAACAAAAATATACATAAATGGTAAGTATATTTGTAGCCATAAGAGTCTCTACTCTGTAATAACCATGTTAATGTTCTCATAAAAAGATATGGGGCAAGAGCAAAGTGACAGAAAGGCTGATTAGCATTTTATGACAGAATTAAGCTGCATGACAAATAACTCACTGGTTTTATGCCCTAGCAAATTCTACTTTCAAATGCTGCAGGTGCTGGGATGTTTTTGTTCGTTTATTTGTTTTTTATATTTAACCATGAAGCCATTCAGAGCAATTTGTAGGAAAATGGAATACAATAGTAATAGTAAATATGATTAGTGCTAATATTTATTAATAATCTCTTTTAACATTTCTGTAAAAATTACTCTTTTTTTTTTGCTACTGGATTTCCGAGCATATATTGGTTTAGAAGTGGAGGAAAATGTTCAGACCACTACTTGTCAATCTTTTCATGTGATAGATTTTCCAAAATTCAACAATTTTGGCATTAGTTCTCCCTACCTTTGGGGAAACCACACTGAGGCCATTAATTCTGTGAGTGTTAAAGGGGAAGTGACTTCTACTTTGTCCAAAGTACCAGATTCTAGATTGAGAACTCCCTCTATACTTGCAGTTTTGTTACAGATAAAGAATGGGGGCTGGGCATGGCGGCTCACGCCTGTAAACCCAGCACTCTGGGAGGCCAAGGAAGGTGGATCACATGAGGTTGGGAATTCGAGACCAGCCTGACCAACATGGAGAAACCCCATCTCTACTAAAAATGCAAAATTAGCCAGGCGTGGTGGCATGCACCTGTAATCCCAGCTACTCGGGAGGCTGAGGCAGGAGAATCGCTTGAACCCGGGAGGCGGCGGAGGTTGCGGTGAGCCGAGATCGCGCCATTGCATTCCCGCTTGGGCAACAAGAGTGAAACTCCATCTATTAAAAAAAAAAAAAGAGTGGGGAAAGGTGGAAAGAGGCAGAAGAGACACCTTGCTCAATTCAACGAAGCATTAGTTATTGTTGCTTGGAAATGATTCAACAGCTGGTTTTCTCATCTACAGATGAGAAACGGCAGGTTTCCTTAATTGCTGGTGCTGGTGGTAGATGATAATATTCGTTCTCATTTACTTCATTAAGAGTATAATATTAATATATCAAAATTACCAACACAAAGTAAAAAGATGAAAAAGAAAAATAAAGAAATGTGCTGGGCAGCTGGAGATGCAAGAAGACAATCTAGTCCCTGACCTCCAACAATTCAATCCATTTGGAAAGCCAAGATGATTGAATGAAACTATTAATGAGCAATGCAGGGTGATATAATAAAGTGCTTTAGGATGTGGATAAAAATTATGTAGTCACTGTGGTCTTGATTGCATCTGTAATTTAGATTGATAACATTTTATACATTCTAACTACTGACAAACATTTGTTGGATTGAGAGTCAAGAGATGCTAGTCTGGTTGCCACTTTGTATGACTTTGAATAACCTATTTAACGTATATGAATATATGTGTAATAGATTATAATATATAAATGTATATTTTATTAAAATATATATATATTTCTGGATAAGACAAAGAAGATCAGATGATCTTCAAAGATCCTTTCTGTTCTAAAATTTTATGAGTTAATGATTCTGGCTACTATCACTAAGATGATTTCAGTTTTTTCCATAAAGCCTGGGAGGTTCAGAGACTTGCAAAGTGCTTCTCCTCCAAAGTAACAGCGTCTATCAATCTTTTCTGATAAGTGGGGTTCTGGGGCTCCAGTCCTAAGGGGTTTTAGAGCCTGGCCTGGATAAGGGTGGGGGCTGGAATGGCCCTTTGTTTCAGAGTGTACAGTGAAGGCACCATCCCAGGGCAACATTGGAATGAAGAGTCTAGGAGTTTGGTCAGCCGTAGTATCGATTTGCAGGGACTAGACAGAGATAAAAACTAAGTGAGGGGCAAACTCAGAGACAGCAAAACTGAGATGAGGGTCAGAAACAGAATCTGAAGAGATGATCTGAGCTTGAAAGTATAAGCACAGGGTGAAGAGGAAGCTATTAATTTAAGGACAGATGACAGATTCTCCTTCACAGGCTCACTATATAGCAGCCGTCTTCACCCACTACTTCATACGAACTTGGCTTTCTCCTGTAAGGGTAAGCCCATGAATTCCTTTATGTTCTCTTGCCTTATCTCTTCTGTGGGCAAAGGCAGGCCTTTGAAATGGTAGTTGGCTAGGGCTGAGGATATGGCTTTGGTATGAAAACTTCTCAACTGTCTACTGCAGGTCTCTTTTTTTACTCAATTCACCCTCCATTCTACTACTAGCATAGTGATTTTTCTACAGTATATTATCTCTGACCTTGCCACTCCTCTGCATGGGAACCTTGATAGCTATCTTTGTCAGAACTTAAAACTTTGAGATCTTCTACAATATGGCTTCAGCTTGCTTTTTCCACTGTATTGGTCACTTCTACCATAATTATGCCTCTTGATGTTTCTCAAATATACACTATCTTTCCCCACTATCGTGCCTTCATTCATGATGATTCTCTTTCCTGGAATACCTTTTCCCTGTCAAAATTCTACCTAAGCTCCAATCCAATCTCAGTTTACTATTAGAAATCTCTTCAGAACATCTTCCATCAGATATAATCTTTCTGTCCTTTGAATTTCCATGGCCAATTTCCTCCTCTTTTTTGAGTTTATTATTTCTACCTTATATTTTGCTTATTTCTATACTTATCATCCCTGTACTATGAGGTCGTGGCCTCTTTTGGGGAGGAACCACGTGTCCCCAGCACCTCACATAGTGTCTGATACATGATGAGCATTGATGAGCAGACTTAGTTGTCTGCTGAGATCCTGATACAGGCTGGGGAAGTGGGTAGACATTAAAAAAAAAAAAAGACAAAAAAAATCATGTAAAATCAAGAAGTGTTTCTACTCTTTTTACTTGGCATTATACATTAATTTATGCAACATACATCCCCTCTCCATCCCGCTGCCAAACATGCTATTGTTGCCTATGAAACATAAAGCAGTATAGGATAATGGATTTTATGATTTTTTTTACAATTATGAAACATATGCAAACAAGTGCAAGCCTATCTTGAATTGTTAATACTTTAATTGGAATAACTCATTTAAACTGCCTAAGCAATTGTATTAAAATCCATGTGCCCATTTCAAGCAAATTTCTGGAATGCAAGGGTTTCAAATGAATAAAAATATACCCTCCTTTCTTCTCTTTCTCCTCCAGGGAGATACTCCATTTTATTTTTTCAGCATAAATAAACCAACTTGTTTAAGTTAACCTCATAACTCTCATTTTAAAGACATCTTTTTTTTTTTTTTTCCTGAGATGGAGTTTCATGGGAGGCTGAGGCAGGAGAATTGCTTGAACCCAGGAGGCAGAGGTTGTGGTGAGCCGAGATCGTGCCACTGCACTCCAGCCTGGGCAACAAGAGCGAAACTCCATCTGTAGAAACAAAGAAAAAAAAAAAGAAAGAGATGGTTTCTTTTTACCTAGGCTGGAGTGCAGTGGTGCTATCTTGGCTGACTGCAACCTCCGCCTCCCAGGTTTAAGTGATTCTCCTGCCTCAGCCTCCTGAGTTGCTGGGATTACAGGTGCGTGCCACCATGCCTGGCTAATTTTGTATTTTTAGTAGAGACGGGGTTTCACCATGTTGGCCAGGCTGGTCTCAAACTCCTGACCTCAGGTGATCCACCTGCCTCGGCCTCCCAAAGTGCTGGGATTACAGGTGAGCCACCAAGCCCAGCCTTAAAGACATCTTTCCTTCATCTTTGTGGCTTTTATTTTTGGCCCCCATGCTGTACTCCCAAGTGTCCCAGGCAGTGTGATGTAACTATGGATAACTTCTTTAATCAGACTGGCTTCAAATCTTACTTCTGCAGGATTACTAGCCCCGTGACCCTCCACTAGTTTGTTAATCTCTCTCTGCTGTATTTCCCTATCTGTAAAATGAGGATGATGATAATTGGGTTGTAGTTGAATAATGAAGTGAGTTAATGTCTGCAAGGCACTTAGCACAGGGCCTGGTATGTAAGCATTGGCCATGAGAACTCTTGTTGATTGTTAAACTTGGAACTGAACTAGTCTTTTAAAGCTGTTTAAACTCAAGTGCCACGTGGCTATTTTCTGGTTAAACTGAGATCCATGCTTATCTCTAGACTGCCTTTTCCAGTTTTGCCTACACAGAGCCACCTCTCTATCTTGTATCTGTGCAAGGTTTTGTTTTGTATTTTCATTCCCTGATGTACCACTATCTCCTAGTTCACACAGAGACTTCATTAGGCTCTGGCGGGTAGCTTCCTTTATTGTCTTAGCTTGAGAATAGTAATGGCTAATATCCCATGTTGTACTTTGTTAGAGGCTGAGAGGAAAATTTCCACCATAAATGGCACTGTGCTGTTGGTTAGAGGCATATTGAAACCTTTTACCTTTCCCTATTGCATTCAGGGAGAAGAGGCAGGGCCTGGTGGAGGAGCAGTTTGATTTGAAAGAGCAAATTCTAACAACAGCAGAGAGACTGAGGGAAGAGCTGTTAGGCAGCCTTCCAAACATACCATACTGTTGATTCTAACAGTAAAGGGGCTTTCTTCTTAATCACTCACTTTATATTTCCGAGCCCTCTTGACAACGGCAGTGGAGATGAAGGCTGCTATTACAGATGTGACTTGTGCATTAGAGTTAGCCAACTTGTAAACTCTTGAGATTAAAAGCAAATTAGGAAAACATGTATGTGACTTGTGCTTCTTGGGAAGCTTTTTACTCCTGTCAAGAGATAAAACTAGTAAAGTTAATGCATACTCTTTTCTTTGATTCCAGTCAAGAGTGAAACCAAAGTAGATTGGAGGCTCTTTGTACCTTTGACCCAGCACAGAGCTGAGCCCATGCTGGGCACTGAATAAATGTTAGTTGACTCCGAGATGCCTTCCCATTAGCCAGTTGGATCGTCCAATGCAGAACAATTTTCTTTCTTTTATTTATTAATAGTTCCCAAGTTGTCACCAATTCAGTGTGCATTCTGGTACAGTTTAATCAGTTTTTAAAAGATAAATGATCATTTGCTTTTTCCTGGACACAGTCCCTTTTCTTATGTAATCAAAACAGCGACAAAAAAGCAATGGCCCTTTTTGTTAGAATATCATGTTGAGATTTCATTTCTTATTCATATTTATCACCGACGTTCATTCTTATCTATCACTCCCCAATCCCTTTCAGCCTATTTTTCATTTCCAATGAATGTTTGTGTTTTGGAATAAATTTTCCTGAGATGAGTATATCTTAGTTTGTATACAGTTGGCATTTTTTTCAAGTTCAAACTCTTCTTTTGTTTACACATTTAAAGCCTTAGGACTTTGTTTTCCCTTCCTAAGTTTTCATCATGTGCAATGTTTTCCCATTCAGTCTCGTCAGCATCACTGATTAATAATTTCTTCCTATTCCCAGATCATGTAACTCTGAGCACAATCATAGGCTCTGAGAAAGCACTTGGCAAATACTTATTAATTTATTGAGTCATAAGTTGAAGGTGTTATTAGATTATTTCCACAGTGAAAACAGTGCAAATTTTCAGATGCAAACTATTAAGAAGGTGGTACTCTGAGAACGGTACCATCTGCCTTTATTCATTAAAATTCATAGTATTATTCATTCTGATTCTTTTGCAGTGCCATGATGCCTGCTTCTGATTTCTGGGATTAGGAAGTGTGAAAAATGAGTGAAACTTGGTGGAAAGAAAGAAGGTTTGACATGAATCAAGGTGCACTCACAAAGAGATGAGGGGCCAGGACTAGGGTCAGTACTTCCAATCTAAAGACTGTTCAAACTAACAAACTCCACTCATTCAGATTGGCCTCAACAGCTTGGCCTCAACAGCTTGGCAGAGTAGGAAAGGAATGCTTTTTTTGTTTTTGTTTGTTTGTTGTTTTTTTGGAGACAAGGTCTCTCTCTGTTGCCCAGGCTGGGGAGCAGTGGCGCAATCTCAGCTCACTGCAACCTCCGCCTCTCAGGTTCAAATGATTCTTGTGCCTCAGCCTCCTGAGTAGGTACGATTACAGGCATGTGCCACCACACCTGGCTAACTTTTGTATTTTTAGTAGAGATGGGATTTTGCCAGGTTGCCCAGGCTGGTTTCGAACTCCTGACCTCAAATGATCCACCCACTTCGGCCTCCCAAAGTGCTGGGATTACAGGCATGAACCACCCCACCTGGCCCAAAGAAGGGGTTTTAGCTGGGCGTGGTGGCTCATGCCTGTAATCCCAGCACTTTGGGAGGCCGAGACGGGCGGATCATGAGGTCAGGAGATCGAGACCATCCTGGCTAACACGGTGAAACCCCGTCTCTACTAAAAATACAAAAAAATTAGCTGGGCGTGGTGGAGGGCGCCTGTAGTCCCAGCTACTTGGGAGGCTGAGGCAGGAGAATTGCTTCAACCTGGGAAATGGAGCTTGCAGTGAGCGGAGATCGTGCCACTGCATTCCAGCCTGGGTGACAGAGCGAGACTCTGTCTCAAAAGAAAAAAAAAAAAAAGAAGGGGTTTTAGAGCCAAACTGCTTGGATTGCTGTGTCAGCTCAGTAACCTATTAGCCATATGGTCTTGGACACACAGTTAAACTTGTTTTGCTCCTCCCTTGTCTCCTTCTCCTCTTCTTCCTTCTCCTTTCTCCTTCTCCTCATTTTCTTTTTCTTAGGAGGGGTTCTTGGGACCTAGCTCATTCATAAGCAGACTATATGTGAGTTGTTGTGTGTATTTTTAAAAATAATGAGATATTTCAACCATAAAGAAAAGTACACTGATACAATAAAATTCATGGGCACTCCAGCTACTTTGTTTAATTTTAACATTTTGTATGTTTGTTTCACATATTTTTTTAAAGGAAATAAGACATAACATATTCAGTTTTAGTCTACTGTGTCCTCCTCCCTGACCACATTTCCTCTTCCTTCCTGAACTTTGCATTTATCTCTTTTGTAGTATCCCTTCAGGATTCTATAAAAACACATAATGTTGTTTTACAAGTTTTAAGCTTTGTATAAATAATATCATATTGTACATATTCTGCTGAAACTTGACTTTGGCTCAACGTTTCTGAAATTTGTCTTTATGCATGTAATTGTAATTCATTCATGTTACCAGTTGCATAGTATTCCATCAAACCTTAATATGTCATTGCATGCTGCTGGTGCTGTACACTTGCTGCTTATAGTTTTACTTTTTAAATCATTACAAATTTGGGCTATCATAAGTATTTCTGAATATACGGGTATGTATACTTGTTCAACAGTTTCTCTGAGACATACACCTAGAAGTAATGTTGCTAAGTTGAAGGTACGAATATTTTTAACTTTATTAGATTTTGCCAAACTTTTTAAAGTGATTGTACCAGTTTGTACTTCTACCAATTATGTAAGAAGTTGTTATTGGTCCACAACAGTTGATAATAGTAAGAATTTTAAGGTTTTACCCATCTGATAGTTGTTAAATGGGATACCATTATTGTTTTAACTTTCAATTCCCTGAATACCAACAAGGCTGAGCACTTACTCATATCTTTATATATCTTTTGCCTTGCCTTTTTATGAATTATCTATTGATATAAACAATGTGCAATGGATTTTTTTTAGTGTAATGTGTTCATCTGTCTTTTCAGTTCTATTCCTTCTATAATTTTCTATATTAAAACTTTTTAAAGCACACAAACAATGTAGCATAACTCAGATACATTTATTGTGATTAATAAGGTAATTGGTTTTATTTCTTCCATCTTATTTTTTATTCTGCTTTCTCTATGCTTTTTTCTATTTTTACTGCCTTATGTTGATTATTATTTTTATTCATTTTTGTTCATTTACCATTTGAAATTCATGCCTTCTGCTTTCATCTTTTAAAGATCAGCCTTAACATTTTAACTTGCATGTTTGGCTTAACAAGGTCTTGATTGTGTTCTTCTAAAGTCTTCTTGTGTTCTCCTGAACAACAGAAGAAGCTTAGAATGTGTTTTTTCTCTTTTGTACATTTTTATTGTTGAATATTTAAGATTTGCCTGGATTTATAGTTATCAATTACCATCATTACTGTTGATTTTATAGTTAATTACTATCTAGATTCACCACACTTTAAACAATTTTATTTGATTATCATTCTTTCATGTGTTTTAGCCCTTTTTTTGGGTTAAAAATTCTTTCTAAAGTCCATTTTTTATGACTTTTTGAGCAAGTGGCTGTTAGTGAAAACTCTGCGACTGACTTTCCTTGAAGCGGTCTTTATTTCAGTCTGACTCGTGTAATGGTCTAGATTTGTAAAGAATTAAAGGTTGACCACTGTTTACTTTCAGGACTTCAAAGATATTATTCTTTTGTCTTCTTTTTCTATGGATGCTGTTGAGAAATCTATAGTTAATCTAATTATCATTCCTTAGTAGGTGGCCTGGATTTTCTCTCTGGATACTTTTAGATCTTCACTTTGGTGTTTTGGAGCTCTGCAATGGGTTTCTAGGTTTGGATTTATATTTACTTATTTTGCCCATAAAAATTGTATATTCTGAATTACAGCTTTGTTCAATACTTGTAAATCCTCTGCTGTTATCTTTTCAGCTAATGCATCTTCCAAACTTCTATTTTCATTTTTTGGAACTCCTATTAGACATATATTGGGCCTACTTATTCTATCTTACATATTCTTTGACACTGTTTCACATTTTTCATCTCTTCGATTTCTCTAAAAATTCTGGGTAATTTTCTCTCAAATATTTCCTTTTTTATTTTTAATCTTTAATTTTTGTGATTTCATAGTAGGTGTATATACTTATGGACTACATGAGATGTTTTGATACAGGAATGCAATGTGACATAAGCACATCATGGAGAACGGGGTATCCATCTCCTCAAGCATTTATCCTTTGAGTTACAAACAATCCCATTACACCTCTAAGTTATTTTAAAAGGTACAATTATTATTGACTATAGTCACCCAATTGTGTTATCAAATAGTAGATCTTATTCATTCTTTCTGATTTTTTATTCCCATTAACCATTCCCACCTCCCTCACATCCTTTTATGTCTATTATCTCTTTAGTTATGTCTAATATGTTTAACCTGAGTTTAATTTTCTATTTTTTTTATTAACTATTTTTAAAACACACAAACAATATAGAGAATACTGTAGTGAATGATTAGGAACTTACCATTAAGCTTCGGAAATAAAAACCTTATATCTTTTGTTGATTTTGTTTCATTTACTTCACTGAATTTTTATTAAAGAATGATGTTTCACTTTGTTCTTTTGAAACTTTTCTGTTACTCATTTGTAGTGTCTTGCTCATTTTTATAATTTCTATTCCTTTTATGATTAGCCATTTAAAATATTTATTCTGCAATTTTCCTGACAGTTTTATTATTGGAAAGTTTTAGGAGTTGAATACTACTATTTGTTTTATATGCCAACTCTTGTTTACTGAGGAGATTTTCCTGATGTGTTTTACAATTTTGGATTATAAGCTAATTTAGCAGTGCATTTTCTATCTGAATCATGGGTATCCCGAGTTGAGGGTGTGCCTCCCCTAGAAAGTTTATTTGTTTGTTTTTTCCAGGTATCCCAGAGGCATTGACAGGCCAGAACCCATTTTTATAATTCCTAGAGATTGATAGTGATAAATGCACATTCTACACAGAGTGTACTCTCTATTCACAGAGACACATTCCTAGTTGCAAGTTCCTAAAGTTAACTTTCTTTCTATCAGTGCCCAGAACATGTCAAAAAAATATTTTTTCCTGTTATTTTCCTTTGCTAGTAAATAGTTTTTTATTTTTGTTTACTTTTTCACTGAATTTATAGCCCTGTGAGATTTCTGGTTTGGTGAGATGTCTTAATTCCAACTCTGTTTGTTATTTCATCTCCTGGTCCTGTCCGGGCATAAAATTCAAGGACCCTGCATTATGGAAACCAGGAACCCTCCCCATGTTCAGGCTACTGCGGCTTCCGCTCTTGGGCTAACTCCACATACTCACTCCTCTGGATTCAGATCCCTCTTTGTTTTTGGTCTCAGGAGTTGTCTTTCAGTTTGTCAGATGCTTAGCGCTTTAGCAGGTGTTTATATTATTTTAGCCCATATTTCAATGTGGTTTTTGGTAGGAAGGTTTATTTGGTTTTCTGGTTTCCCAAACAAAACTCCCACTGAAGTTCTTTAAGGTACTTCTTTTTATTTTTAAAATTTCAGTAATAATACATACTTTGCAGCTTCGTATAAGAACTGAAAATAGTATGTGCAAACTATCTCTCTGTGTCTGGCAATGTCTAGCACATAGTAAATATTTGACTAAATAGTTGTTACTAATTTTATTTTTTGTTAGCACATGAATAAAACATGAAAAAATAAGCCATGAAGGAATATTTTGGATTACTTATTATCATTAAGGAAACACTTCTGGGAATTTTCTGTGGAGTAATAACTTGGATCAGGGCCCAAGTTTTGATTAGATTTTATAAAACATTTTTTGAAGGCCTACTGTGGGCTTAGGTCTTTGCTGTATTCTATGGGTTCCTCAGTTCTAGTGTGGGAGATAGTGCCATCTCTAAACCATGTGCTGCTTTTCTTGAAAAAAATTCCTCAAGTTTACACTGAATCACAAAGCCAATATTAGGGACACCAAAGGATTTAACTTCATCATCTCCCTATTATTTTATCTTTTAGCCATCTGGCAGCTGTATCATCCCCCACTCACTTCACACTTCCTTTTGCCAATTCAATAAAAAAATTGAGTATTTATAATGCCTGCTATGTACACATTGTCCACGGCATTCTGACAAATATAGATGTAGTATAAGAGCATGTTCTTATCCTTAGATTACTTAGAATCTGTTTAGAAACATAAGGTATCCGAAATTATAAACAAGAACAACAACAAAAGTCTGTGTAATAACTTCCCAGGATTAGCTATGTAAATAATAATGCTCTGGGATTTCAGAGAAGGGAAAAAGGCAAACCTAGGTTTGTGAGTAGAGCTTGAGTGAATTTACTTATGCAGGAAAGGAAGAGAGAGATCATATTAGGAAAGCTAAGAAAATACCATGAGCAAAGGCACAGAGGAAGGCACCATGATGCCAGAGAAAAGAGCTAAGAACCTGGTGATAGAATACTTAAGAGTTCTGGCTGAGTGACCTTCCGTGTCCTAATCTTCTGTATGAGAAGTTCATCTTCTTTGTCATTGGGACTATCTCGGGGTGGGACATACCAAATGTTTTGGGTGATACATCAGTTAAGATAAGAGAGAGAAAACCCAATTCAGCTTAAGAAAGAAAAAATATATTGTTTACTGAAAAAAGATAGAGGGTCACTTTTCATAGGTGTTTTGATCCAGAGACTCATAAAATTCCACCTGGATCTGGTTGTCCTCCATCCCTCAGCTCTTCTCTCCTTCATAGTTGGTTTCAATATCAGCTTCCATATGATGGCTGCTAGTACTACCAGGACTCCATCTTCTGAGGTTCAAATGTAGCAGAAAAAAGATCACCTCTTTCTTTCAGCAGATCCAACCATGTAGAAGAGCATCTCGTTAGTCCTCATTGGGTTACTCACATATCCCAAGGGAATGTGACACTCGGTAGGCAGGCCTCAGTCATGAACTAGAGATGGAGTTAACTCTACTTGGAGCACATGGATTGAGAGAAGAAGAGGGACTAGATGAAATATTTCCCAGATGAAATATTATATTTGATTACTTAAAAAAGAGGTAATTGGGTTCTGGCAGCCAAAATGGCAGAGTCCACTGTGAGAGAAGAGAAGTTAATATATGGACAGATATTAAAGCCAGATGGGTCATTTCACATCTTGGGCAAAAGTCTCAGTCTTTGGACAACTTGGTATTCATATCTGTAATGGTCCCTACCAATAGGATTACTTGGAGGACCAAGAGACCTAATGAGTGGGAAAATGCTTTGTAAATTATAAAGTACTATAAAATCATAAGATGTCTGCATGTTACATGAATAAAAATAAACATATAAGAAAATGAGGGGATTTGGCTGGACTTTGAAGGGATATGGGTGGACTGAGGCCATGCTAAATAAATGTTTTTTGAGGGGGTTTCTGGGGAGTCACTAAATATTTTCTATGTAAAAGACAGTGCTATATTTATGTCCCATGGTTAATCTCCTTAAACTTTGACCTGTTCTCCTTTCTAGAACCTCTGTGCACACTCTCCTCTTTCTCCCCATGCACAGATTTCTTTTTTTTCATGAGAGTATGCCCTAAACAATCATTAGGGGTCTAAACAATCTTTATAATTGCCCCAATTTCTCATAGCATCTTGGAATGAGTAAAGAACAGGAAGGGAATAGCCCTAGGTTTCCAAATTCCTGTATTCTTTTCTTGTTGAAGTTGAAGATGCTGACAATGTCGCCTATATTATTTTACGAAAAGCGGATTTTGTCCCGTCCTCTTCCTGGCTTTCTCTGCCCTATCTCTTCTTTGTATTGTCTGGATTATCAAGTATTTCTAGATATTCAGGGGGCTTAAACGGAATTATCTGGTTGACAACCGTTAACAAAATCAGGAAATCAGGTTATTTCTTTGAACAGTTTTCAGAGGAAACAAACCCGTGAGCCAGGTACTTCAGACCCTGAAGTCAGACAAGTTGGATATGTATTTTTTTCTGTCTTCAAACGTAAGGCAAAAGTTGGGATGATTCCATTGAAACAATATTTTTTCTCTGTGCTGTTAATATTTTATATTGTTATGCAGCTCTGCCTGTGGCCATTCTGATACTTTTTCTCAGTCTACAGTAGTGCTTCCTTCATTTTGCATCCTGTGTCCTCTGCTCTTTTAACCATCCCTTCCTCTCATCCAGATCAGCTCTTTATTCTGGTGAGAAGGGAAAGAATTCCACCTTTTCTACTCAAGAGTTAAGAAAAGCTAAAGGGCTGGCTTTGAGTGGTGAACACGTTTAAATCACAGGATGAGTTTTCAGGCTGATTCTAAGCCTCTGGTTTGGAAAACAAACACAACAGAATAATTTAATTCTTCACAATTGAAACAACATATGGATTTTTAAATGGAAAACTTTGCTTCAATTTTGCTTTATATGGCTAAATACTTGATTATATTGATGATACAAAATATTGCTGGTGTCCACTGACTCCCAAAACACTAACACTGATTGGCTCCATGAAGACAGAGCATGACCCCTCACTCATGGCTGATGTAGGCAAATAGAATATTAAGAAAGAAAATGGCACTGATCTATGGGTCTTAACATTGAGGTAAAGATCAAAATGCAATCAGAGTTTCCCGACTGCTGAGGTGGTGGCTTTAATCATGTGAGTTGGCAAATTAAAGCAATATACATGTATTGCCTCAGAAAGACAGATAGATAGATAAATTTTTGCCAAATTTCTATCCTAAGACCATCCACTTGCCTAGTATGTAGAAGGCTCATTGTTGATGCCCATCAGGCTTTCTTGCTAGAATTCTGAAAGTTCCTTGTTGGGCTTGGGGTCCCTTGAAGACAAGAAAACTAGGGATTTTATTGGTCCTCTACCACCTAGACCACAGACTTTGCTTTCTCAGTGATACGGTTTGGCTGTGTCCCTACCCAAATCTCATCTTGAATTGTAGCCCCCATAATTCCCATGTGTTGTGGGAGAGACCCCAGTGGGAGATAATTGAATCACAGGGGCAGTTTCCTCATACTGTTCTCGTGGTAGTGAATAAGTCTCATGAGATCTGATGGTTTTATAAGGGAAAACCCCCTTTGCTTGGCTCTCATTCTCTCTTGTCTGCCGCCATGTAAGATGTGCCTTTAGCCTTCCATCATGATTGTGAGGCCTCCCCAGCTACATGGAACTGTGAGCCCACTAAACCTCTTTTTCTTTATAAATTACCCAGACTTGGGTATGTCTTTATCAGCAGCATGAAAATGGAATTAATATACTCAGGTTTTCCTTTCTGTAGTTTCAGTTACCCACAGTCAACTGTGATGTGAAAATAGGTGAGCACAGATACTTTAAGAGAGAGGCAGAGAGAAGGAAAGAGAGAGGGAGACCACATTCACACAAATTTTATTACAGTATATTGTTATAATTGTTTTATTATTAGTTGCTGTTGGTAATCACTGACTCACTCATTCCACCCCTTCTCAGCTCCTGGAAACCACCATTCTACTTCCTGACTCTATGATTTTGACTACTCTAGGCACCTCATGTAAGTGGAATCATACAATATTTATCCTTTTATGACTGACTTAATTCACTTAGTATAATGTCCTCAAAGTTCTTTCATGTTGTTGCATGTGTCAGAATTTCTATCCTTCTTAAGGCTGAGTAACATTCCACTGTCTTAGGAGAATTTTGATTGCAAGAAGCAGAAACTAGCCTAAGAAAAAGAAAATTTATTTTGAGCTTGATCATACCAGGCATTCAATAATAGAAAACAGAGGCCACAAGAACACTGAGTCTAGACTGTTCTAGCATATCATGGAGGGTACTTCCTTTGTCTCTCATCTAACTGGACTCTTTCTGTCTCATTGTTTTAGAACTCCATATACAGGTCAAAAAGTCTGTGTGCTTTGGCTTACCCTGGGGTGGTTCCTCTTGGGTGGGGCATCCATTGGTTCAAATGTCTGGGGAAAGGTCAAACAGGTTACGGACATTTAAGTAAGGGCAGCTTCTCTGAAGTAAATTTCCTGATTACAGGCACCTTTGATGAAACTGGTAATCATCCAGATTTTACTATCAGGTGCCTAGTTTGCAGAGTTGTTAAGATTAAATTACTATATACATACAAAATTCTTAGAATGCAACACATAGTAAAAGCTCAGGGCCACTCACTTTCTTTGTGCCTTGGGCAAGTTAGTTCCTTCTTTCAAATCTCAGTGTTCCATTATCTGTAAATGAGGGTTTTAGACTAGGTCCTTTCTAGTTCTACCATAGAGCATGGTCTCACCTGAAGATCAGTGGATGGACTAAGTGACCAGGGGTTTCTTTGTTTCTTCCTTATCTTATTCAACTTCCTAGAGTAGGCTCCATTGCTGGGCTGCTCATTAAGTTTTTTTTCTTTTTAGTGGTGTGAATAATTAATTGCCACTATCATTAAGACTCCTAGCAACCAAGTTCTGTCCCACATCTCCTGTGGTGCAGCATGTACTTCCTGGGCAGATGAAGAAATAACAGTGTGTGAGAAATCTGTTAGCAATTAGCATGGCCAACTGGACTTTCTCAGGAGGATACACAGCATCCCCCTTCAAGAACAAGGATTCTGCTCCTCCACACCAAAGAGAACCAACTGATGTGTTCAATATTTAATAAATGAACTGAAGCTCTAATGAGGTGGAGGCATTATACATGGACAGTTGTCTCCTGAGGGATTAGTGGGGCAAGCCTCCTCCTGAGATCGCATCAACTGTGATCAACTGTGCCATTATGATTTAACCAGAGGCCTTGCCTCCTCCAGCAGGGGGGAGTTCACAGCTCATTTTTCACCTGTCTGGCATCGTCTAGGATTTGCTCACCTCTCCAGTCTCAGTTCTAGAGTCTGAGCATGAAAGATGCAGCAGGAACCATTAGCCTTTCTCCATGGTTGTTAACCTCTCTGTGTGAACTTGGTAATTCTCTCTCAGTGGGGAGTAAAAAATTCCATGTGGGTCAATGAGCACAGGGAAGTTAGGTTATTAAAAAACTTCAAAACCCTAGTAATGGTTTGGGGATGGGAACCACACAGGGTCATGGATAACTGGTGAGATTTCAGAAATTAGAATTTGAAGGGCAATGGCCATTCAAATGATATGGGTCAGCTTGCCTTACTGTAACTTGGTCACTTGACATCTTTTCCTACAGGGAGGGCTATGAGTTCCAGGGACATATTATTATACCTGCCACTTTCTACCTGCCTGTAAAGGCAAGTAAACATGCTGACTCTAGAACATTAAAACTTGAGGGACGCTGAGAAGGGGTCATGTGGCCCTTTCTAATTTTTCTTTTTCTTGGTTTTGTTCCATGTTCTATCTGTACTCTCCTGTCATGTCCAATTCTCTCAACTGCCTTTGTCTTTTTTTCTTCTTTTTAACCTTGGACTCAATCACTAAAGTCTCAAGACACATTTTACTATCGTACTAGCAATTGTCATTAAGAAACCATGACCTATTTTTCTGAGAGTTATAGCAGACAGTTGATTCTCTTGACATCAGAAATGGTGGGTATGAGAAAAAGGAATATTTTCTAAGCAAGTTTGAAGGATCACCTTTCTATGACTGATAGCTTCTGTCCAAGTCTTGAGGATTTTACATGAAATGCTTCATGCCAGTAATAGGAGAGGTAATGAGGAATATTCATGTGTGTGCAGTCAGGGCTGGTGGAAAGGAGGGTAGTTTGTGGACAGTGGGGGTGAAGGGATAGTGGAGTTTAAAGGTTGCTTATAAGCGTGGGAATTACCTAAGATAATAAACCTTTGTTATTGAAAGTTTGGGATTGAAAAGGGAATAATAAAGCAGTAATCAAAAATGTACTAAAATGAATTTGATGCAAATGAGATGCAGAGAGTGCCCTGGATGTGTTGGAAGAGGATGTCAGATAATTGGAAAGCGTACATTCTGGCCTATGCATGGCCAGTGCCAATCTCTTCAAGAATTCTCTGGAGCCTCTGATGCAAAACCATTTTAAGTTGAACAAGGACATTTTCTTTCCTGTCAGTTAGAGAGTTGTGAAATTTTATCTATTTTGGTATTTGTTCTATTGGGAAATGGACAAGTTCTGGAAAGAAATCAGGAACAAGCCTTGGCAGACACTCCATACTCATCCTGGGTTCAGCCAACTCACCTTATTCCAGCAACGCCTGGCATGAGAGAAGATGTGATGGTTTATGTAATAAGGAGAAGGGAGGTATGTCTAGCAAAGACCAAACTCAGGGCACCCAGTCCACCCAGAATCCTAACCTTTGCTCTGTGAATGAGAAGATGATTTCTTCAACAAAAGAGAGCACTGGGTGCACAGAGGCAAGCTGTTCAACCCCTCTACCCCTACTAGACCATTCTCTTTCTCCAGCTCCTTCCTGGTACTGCCCCATTAGCCCTATGGAAAAGGTACACCTAATCAGACTGGTCAGATTTCTAAACTTCTGCTCGCAGTAGGCAGGGCTCAAGCCATGCAGCTATGCACTCTTCTCTCTTCTCCTTCCTGCCATGAAGCTAGTTGGTAAATGGAGTTTGTCCTTTTCATGGGGCATTCCATCTCTTTCTGTCTCTGCACACATGCCATTGAGACAAGATCATCCATGTTTTCAGGTAGAAGTGTTTAGATTTTAGACGTGAGGACAAAGATTTTAGACATGAGGAGACTTCACTGGGCCCTAGTGCTCAGCCTCATGGTTCAGCCCTGTTTTTGCAGAAGGCTTGTTTTGCAGCACCAGGCTCTTACCATTACAATGCTTCTTATCTGTCTGCTGATCCTTAGGATCCTTTGAACCCTCCCAAGGGCTAGTGTGTACAGGTTTGGCAAAGCAGAATCTTTCACATAGCCCCCTTATTCTTCCTATAGGCCTGGCAAAATCACAATCCTACTCCTATTACCAAAGGACAGAAATGTTGTGAAATTTTCGTTCTCCAAAAGGATTAAGTCACCCTAACCTGAAATTAGAGAGGTT
This sequence comes from Homo sapiens, assembly GCF_000001405.40. Classification (NCBI taxonomy): domain Eukaryota; kingdom Metazoa; phylum Chordata; class Mammalia; order Primates; family Hominidae; genus Homo; species Homo sapiens. The sequence goes on along the minus strand of NC_000003.12, from coordinate 118,742,057 downwards.
GAAGTATGGTTGGGTTTTAGATACGATAATGTGCTATGCTAATGTTTATCTGGACAGAGATAATAAGCTGAATGGTAAAGCCCTGGGAATAGATTTGTGAGGGGAACAAAAAAGGGATCTGAGACTCAGAGGAAGGCTTGCGGTGCTGACTAGGGTGGTTGTGGACCAAGAAGAAGGAAAGCCTGGCTGAGGCAGATTTTATTGGCAGTGTCCAGGGTGGCTGCAGTCATGATTTGTTTGTACAGAGAAATGGAAGGTAAGTTTTACTGTAGAGGAGAGAATGTTCTTTTCTGATGACCAAAGAACCTGGGCCCCAAAGGAAAAGCTAGAAGAAGAAAGAAATAAGGAAGGGAAACTGGAAAAAAGATCTTTTTGGGTGTCTGAATCTTTAATAAACCAAGATCCCTCCCACTGAAAATAAAGTGCTTTGGGCACTTTAATCTTTAGGGAGCAATTAGTTAATATGTACAGAGTCAGGGATGTGTTATCCACAATAGTGGAGCAGCTTGCTGGGGTGAAGGATGGAAACCCCAGGAGCATGGTGTCGGGGAGTGAAAAACATACTTTTGGTGAGATTTCAGAAGATAACTCGAACTGCAACCACTGAGTGGTGGAAAGAATCTTAAATGGTTTATGGGTTCAAATTGTGACTATGCCAATGACTAACAATATGACCTTAGGAAGGTTTCATTCCCTCTGTGTTAATTAGTTCCTTGTCACCAAATGAAGAGCTGGTCCCATAACTGCTAAGGTTCCTTTCAGCTCTTTCTGTGCTCTTGTAATGTATGATTAGGAACTGTCCTGGGCTATGCTTTATCACAGGCATTCTGTGTCCACTAAGCACGCTATAGGCCCTCTTTTTCTATTGTCAATTCAGAAACATTTTTGCCCCTTCTGAACACTCACAATGTTAAATTAAATAAGCAAGAGGCCATTGACCTGAGGCTGTCTTCATACTTTGAGCCCTACTGAAAAAAAAGAAAGAAAAAAGCAACCTAACATGGTACATAAACAAACTGAAAACCTAATCATGGAGTATAAAAAACAACCACATCTCAGCCAATCACAAGCAACAGCTAAGCTTCGGCCAATCACAGGATGCCAACTGATCAGACCATGTCCAAATAAGGCAAACTCTGAGCTGTAACCTTTCAAGCTATTTCTGTACTTCTATGTTCTGTCTATAAATACTCACTGCCCACATTGCAGGGTGGAGCTCTCTGAACTTCTTCTGGCTCTAAGTGCTGCCCAATCCATGAATTGTTCTTTGCTTAAATAAACTTTGTTAAATTTAATTTGCCAAAAGCTTTTCTCCTAACAACAGCAACCCCTTGCTCCCTCTGCCCTGATCCATGATTCAATTTTTTTTACAATTACATTTCCCATATTCTCTTCTCAGCAGATTGTGTGTCTGATTTGGCTAATGATATCTACTTATATAGGACTTGGATGCCTAAAAGAAAAAAATAGCATGAGTTTCTGAGGCAGCTATGGGCAGGTGTATAGGCTATACCAAAGGGCAGGCATAGGGCCATGCCAGTGGCTTCTGCACATTCTCCTGAGAATCACCTTCTTCACTGCTGCAGGCAGCTGAGATCATTAGCAGTGACTTCCCTGTGATTCTTGTATTTCTAGATTTTCTGAGAGCCAGCAGCAGTCTCCTTGACCTTTGAAACTGCAAACTTTTAGAGCAGTTGTGTAAATTTCTAACTCTTTATATTAAATCTCTTCCTGCTTGAAATATCTAGAGTAGCTTCTGATTTTTTGACTGTGTTATTCAGGGTTCTCCACAAAAACAAAACACATAGGATATGTGTTTGTGTGTGTGTGTGTATGCAATAAAAAAAGGTTTTATTATAAAAAGCTCATGCAATTACGGAGGCTGGTGAGTCCAAAATCTGATAGGCTGGAGACGCATAAAAGTTGGTGGTGTAGTTCCTTTCTACAGGCCGGTGGCCTGGAGACCTAGGAGAGCTGATGGTGCAGGTAAAGTCTGAAGGCAGTTTGCTGGTAGGCCTCTAGTTTGGGCAGGATAGTCTTTTGGTTCTAGTCAGAACTTTAACATAATATAGATGAGGCCCACTCACATTATAGAGGGCAATCTGCCTCTCAGAATTCACTAATTTAAGTGTTAATATAATCCCCAAATACCTTAATTAATCATCATATTGACCAAGCTCTCGTTAATAAGGTTTTTAGTATCAGTGTAGATTCCAGGAAATACAGCCTTAAATATGTTATACAGAATTGGTTATTTGACTTAGTTAGACTTAAAAGTGGAAATGACTTCATCACCAGGAAAAATTGGAATACTGGTAATCTATGGCATGTAGTGATAAAATTTAGTCAAAGTTTCATTTAAATTTGCCCACAATTAAGTGTCTATTTGACATAAAGCTTTGGGAGACAAAGTGGCTATTGTAATAGAATATTATGGAGGAATTGATTAATTGTAGGACTTTGGGATGGATGCTTCTTGGTGCCCTGGGGAGAATAATGAAGGCATGTGATTCCTAGGATTAGAGTCAGACATTTGGATGGATTCTGCTGAATACTTGGACCTTGAACACCAAATAATTCTGAACTCCTTTGTTAGAAAAATGAGTCCCAATTTCATCCATGTCCCTACAAAGGACATGAACTCATCCTTTTTTATGGCTGCATAGTATTCCATGGTATATATTTGCCACATTTTCTTAATCCAGTCTATCATTGTTGGACATTTGGGTTGGTTCCAAGTCTTTGCTATTGTGAATAGTGCTGCAATAAACATACGTGTGCATGTGTCTTTATAGCAGCATGATTTATAGTCCTTTAACTATCACAAGAACAAAAAACGAAACACCACATATTCTCACTCACAGGTGGGAATTGAACAATGAGAACACATGGACACAGGAAGGAGAACAACACACTCTGGGGACTGTTGTGGGATGGGGGGAGGGGGGACGGATAGCTTTAGGAGATATACCTAATGCTAAATGACGAGTTAATGGGTGCAGCACACCAGCATGGCACATGTATACATATGTAACTAACCTGCACATTGTGCACATGTACCCTAAAACTTAAAGTACAATAATAATAAAATAAAAAGAAAATTGGAAAAAAAAGAAAAAGAAAAAGAAAAATGAGTCCCTTCTTCCATCTAGCAGGCGGTTTGTCTCCTCATTCTTAAAAACACTACAATAAAATTACCCAAAGCAATTAGGAGAAACAAATTATCCTCAAGGCTCACTCCCACCATCCCTCATTGCCTCCAGGCCCAAACTAGTATAGGATCTCAACAGACTCCAGGTATAAGATAACACAGTCTAAACTTGGAGGAGACAGCATATTCATTGAAAGAAGATTTTACCAATAGATTCTAAGGGTATTGGACCAAAAAGTAAATAACACAGTATTGGATTGGCCTGAATTTATCAAAATTAGATTCAAAGTTTTATCAGAAACAAATGATATCAATTCAAATAATTACTCATTTGGTGGACTTAAACCTGGATTCAACTGTGGATTAGGTTAAATAAAGTTGAGAAGCCAGGCTTTCCTATGTAAAATGTAGAGGAATGAACCTGAAGCCTTTGCAAGAGAGAAATGTTGGATAAAGTTTATCACACATGACCCCCTTCCTCACTTTGTTAGGAGAGCCTGGATAGCATTCTTTCCACTGAGGCATGGAGCAAGGCATTGGTGAGGGGGAACACTGCTGTCTTTGGAAAAACTCTTAAAGGGCCATCCTCTACAGGCTGAGAGTGGTGTTGGGAAAAGCCATGACTGAAATGGGCTCCTGTAAACAAATGGAGATTTGTCATCCTGGGATAAAAGAGGACAAATAGTAATGCCTAACCACCAAAGACAAGGGATGCATAGTTATAATCATGAGATACAAGTCCAGAACAATAATCAGAATGATTTTGCCTGCAAGGATATGGGGAGATAAGTAGTTAGTCTTGTTACCCTTAGGACTGAAATAGATGGGCAGCCTAATAGAGCCTTATTTCATCTGAATAATTGAAAAACTGTAAGTCTGGTGAGCAAAGGGCTCCAACTTATGTCACAAAAATAGTGATTTAAGTTCTCTCATACAATATTCAGACTGGAACTAGTTCACAGACCCAAAGATGCTTGAATGAAGGAAAGGCAGCCTTCCCTGGAGGAAGAACTCAACAGCGCTTCCACAAATAGTACATTGTAAGTAATCCTCCTAGCCTTCCCAAAAGGCTTGTGTAGCCATTTTCTAAGGCTTTTACACTCTTGGAAAGTGAAAGAACACATTTTTTTTTTTTTTTCGTAATTCTAGACTTTAGCTCTGAACTGATGATACCTTTTGGGAAGTCTTATTTTACCAATTGCCCCAGTGATTAGAAAATATTCTAGATGCCTTCATCAGCACATACGTGTAAGAGGGTAGAACTATCTCACGTGAAAAGTGTAGGCTCATCACCTTAGAGCAGTTTATAGAAGTTCAGTGGTCTGGGGTGTTGAGTTATCCCCTCTAAAGTCTTAGTAAAGTTACTGAATTTTGGATCGCTGATCACTTAGAAAGAAGTACAACACTGGCTGACTTCTTTGAATACCATAATTCAATGTGATGTTTTGACTCATTTACCTAATAACCCATAAGGCTGTCAGTTTTAATTAGAGCCCAGAGCAAGAGAAGGCTATACAACATGTACAACAAGGTACTCTGTGACTTGAACATTATAAAATCAGATGTAGCAAAATGTTTGTGACATACAGGAATATTTCCTTGAAACCCAGGAAAATGCTGATTAAAGAATCCTGGTATACACCTCTATGGTTATAAAGTAAAGTCATACCCTGGTGAAAGCAGCTCTAAGCTTGCTAACAGGCCTGGTAGAGACAAATCCCTGACTGTTGGACAATATGTGGTCATACAACCTGAACTACCCATCATCTACTGAGTATTATGTATTTAACCAAACCATAAAGTTAGCATGTGCAGCACATTCCATAATCATGTGGAAATGGTATGTATGAGATTGGGTTTGAGTAAGTCCTGAAGGAAGGAGTTTCTTGAGAAAGCGGTTTAGACTCTAATGGCATCTACTTCTGTATTTCTGCATCCCCCTGATCCCACACCTGTGGCATCATGGGAAGCTATTTATGATTATTTGACTAGAGAAGAAAAAAAACTGGGTCCTCTGATTTATAGATGATTCTACATGATGTTCTGGTACCAGACAGGAATGGATTGCTGCTGCATTGCAGAGGTAGCTCTAGAGGACAGTAAGAAAGAGAGTACCACCTACTTACCTATGGGAAGAACTATTAAGAGGTAGCCAGAAGTATAGATCGATATTGGGAAGTGGCAAATACTTTGGCTGGATGGTCAGGGGCTTCATAAGTTTCAGATTGGAGGTGTTGGGACAGGGAACTCAGAGAAAGAGGTATGTAGATGGACCTTTTGGAATGGGTGTAGAGTTAAGGATAATTGTTACCAGGGGGACTGCTTACCTAAGGGGATCTGCTGCAGAGAAGACTCTCAATAATCACAGAGGCTAGATGACTTATTCTGTGGATGGTTTCAGCTTCTTTATCCAGCCACTCCATAATCTGCTCATCAAAAAAGTGGCCATGTTAACAAGAATGAATGTTATTCATGAGCTCAACAACATGGAGTTCTTCTCACCGAGGCTGATCTGACTGCCACTGCTGAGTGCCTGGCATGTCAACATGTCAACGGCAGAGACCAAAGCTGAGCTCTCAATATGGCAACATTCCCCAGGAGGACCAGCCAGCCACCTGGTGGCAAGTTGATTACATTGGACTCCTTCCATCATTGAGGGGGCAGCAATTTTTTTTCTTCCTGGAATAGATGCATAATATGGACTTGGGTCTGCCTTCTTTGCTGGCAATGCTTCTGCCAGTACCACCATCTGTAGACTTATTGAATGCATTATTCACTGTCTTGGTATCACACAAAATATTTTTATTCCGACCAAAGGATTTTATTTTGTAGCCTAAATAAAAAGAAAGTTACAGAAAGTGTCACACTCATGGGATTCACTGATCTTATAGTGTCCATCATTCACTCAGAAACAGGATGCAGTAAACATTCAAAATTAGGAACACATATATGATACCATGTATCTCATTGTAAATAAAATATATGGGTCTAGAAAGCCAATTTTTGCATTCTGGCCCCACAACTAGAGTCTTAATTGCTACATGAGAAACGCTTTCACCAGGGTTCTACATTAGTCCTTACTGAAAGTTGAGACAACAGTTTGGCCTTTTAGGAGTTTCTCATACCACTGAACCAAGAAATAGAGAAGAGTTACTGTATCACTGGTGATTGATTCTGATTATGAATGGGAAGTAGGGTTGCTATCGCATAAAGGAGATAAGGTGGAGCCTAGGGAATTTGTGTTGGGAGCCTAGGGGATTTATTGGTATGCATTCCTTATGCAGGAAGTTAGTGGAAGCATACAGCAACCCACTACAGGCACCTTCAGGAGTAGAGATTTGAGTTATTCCAACAGATAAAAAGCTATGACTGGCTTAGATGCTGACTGATTGATTGTAAAGGAAACAGAGTGGGTTGTAGAAGAAAGAAGTTTAAAGCCTAAGTATGGCCTTGTAACTGCTTGCAAAAATGAGGACCATGTTAACTATGTATTGTTTCTTGCATATGTACGTACATCTTCTTATCTTCTCTTTTCCATACAGAAGTTTGTTAGTTGTGATTAATTTGTAATTTAATTTTTAGTTTACTGATTATCAAAGAAGGACTGTGACTAAACTAGAAGGAGAATTAACACTATCCAGAGATGGCTACAGTTCTGAAGGGAAACTTTGAGTCTCCACCTTTCCAAGAGTGGGTGAGTGCATCTACATTTATATAAGAGCAGACACATCATATTAGGCAGACTCATTAATTTGTTGCTGGTGTTGGTTAGAAGCTAAATATGTGTTGCAAGGATTTTGTGGGTTTAAACGGGAAAAGGGGTGGATTGTGCTGGGTTATCCATTATCAAATCAGCTGAGAACTGCATTTCTCATCATTTCTTGTCAGTATAATTCCGGGTCATATTCTGCCAATGAGAGGCACTCTCATGAGATTTGCAGAGGTAGAAATGGGGAAGCCATTATTCCCTGACTGCAGCTGTGGGCAGGGGCATAGACACAACAGTTGCAGACATAGGGTTGAGCTAGTACTTCTGGGCATCCTCCTGGGAATCACCCAGGTGGTGCTGCAGGCAGCTGTGGCCACTGGTGACGGCTTTTCTATGAATCATGCTGTTCTGTGTTTTCCAAAAGATGGCAGTAGCCTCCTTGACCTTCACTCTCTCATTCCTAATGAAAATTGTGTTTTCTCCTAATTTACTTAAGAAATCCCTTCCTATTTACAATACCTTGAGTGGCTTCTGTTTTCCAGATCAAACCCTGGTATGCTAAACCCAAGTTTTCCTCTCTCTCCTACCAAGAAAATCTTGAAACCAAGAATGAGATAGGTAAAGCAAGGCTGTCTCTCTAGACAGTTGTTAATAAATGAAGCCATTTTTGAAGAGTCTGAAACCTCTTCAGGAATGTCTGAAATTAGAAACAGTTGATTGTCCTCATTGGAGGAGTTTCCATCCGGAGGGGTAAGGTTCCTGTGGATGTCTTTGTATAACATTAAAGATTAGAAATCCTTAAGTACACCAGCCACTATATTTAGAATAAATTAAAAATAGAGTAACTGCTCAATTATGTGTTTTTTTTTCTCTCTGTCTTAATTCCTTCCTCCCAACATATATAAGCACACAAACTTTTCATATTGCTATATTGGTTAATAACACACAAATTTATTTTTAAAACATTATTGATATTTCCTAATTTTTCTCATCTTAATTTTTTTTCTCAGTAGTGAATATAAAAGGTATGCCTATTCTTGATATGGGTACAGTGGCACATGCCTGTAGTCCCAGATACTCAGGGGGGCTGAGGCAGGAGGATCACTTGAGCCCAGTAATTTGAGTCCAGCCCAGGCAACAACATAGTGAGACATTGTCTATAAAAAGAAAAAAAACAAAAACAGTATGCCTATTCTGAAGAACAGATGTTTGAAATCTTTTGCCTGTAAAAAAGTTTTCCCATATTAAAATGGTGGAGATCCGCTGCCTTCAAGTCCAAAATACCCATGCAGTTTTCCTCCCATTCTTGAGCTTGGTTTGGAAAGAGCATGGCACTTATAGACAGAAAGGCTGGGGTTGAGTTGTGTTTCTTGCTTCTTGCTGACTATAAATGTCAGGCCTCTGAGCCCAAGCTAAGCCATCATATCCCCTGTGACCTGCACGCACACATCCAGATGGCCAGTTCCTGCCTTAACTGATGACATTCCACCACAAAAGAAATGAAAATGGCCTGTTCCTGCCTTAACTGATAACATTATCTTATGAAATTCCTTCTCCTGGCTCATCCTGGCTCAAAAGCTCCCCTACTGAGCACCTTGTGACCCCCATTCCTGCCCGCCAGAGAACAACCCCCATTTGACTGTAATTTTCCTTTACCTACCCAAATCTTGTAAAACGGCCCCACCCCTATCTCCCTTCGCTGACTCTCTTTTCGGACTCAGCCCGCCTGCACCCAGGTAAATAAACAGCCTTGTTGCTCACACACAGCCTGTTTAGTGGTCTCTTCACACGGACGCACGTGAAATTTGGTGCCGTGACTCGTCTTCACATGGACGCACGTGAAAATAAAATCTTGGATAAGTCACTTTTTCTTTCTTTCTCAGTGACCTCTTCTGTTCAGTAGTAAAGAAAATAGTTGTTAGAAGTTGTAACATTACAAAAAAAAAAAAATTAAAACATCAGGTAATGTGAAAGTGTTATAACACAGTCAGCTGATCCTAAAAAGTTCTGAGCCATTCATACAAATACCATCAGCACATATGTAAATCTGCCATCAACACAAGCATACCTTTGGCCCACCGCCGTAGACTAAAAAAAAATAAAAAATAAAAAAAATGTATCTCGGGCAGATTGTGTACCCCTTATTGATCTATTTGCCTTTTTAAAATAACTGATTCCTTATCCAGTCCCTGTTGTACTAAAGTTATTTTGCTTATATCCTGATCTAGTACAAAGGGATAATTTATCATAAGGATATGGAGAACATCTTATAAATCCCAAGGACAGGGAAACAGTTAGACTTTAACTAGGACCTTGAACTAGGAAGGGAATATTTTCTCTTTCTGAAAGCCTCTTTGTTTTCCTCTCAGACCTGCTTCTGTGGTCCACATGATGGCATATGGTTTGTCATAGCTCCTCAGTTTATGTGTTACTGTTCTAGCAACTGACCTGCAAAGAGGTAGACTCTCTTAGCCTCAATTTCAAACTCCGAGTTGTAAAAATCGAATGAAAACTTATTGGGTCAAATGTCCATCTCTGTTCCATAAAAATGTGGCCAAAATGACCAGTTCATGTGGTATAAGCAAGGCTGCTGGACACCCACTCCAATGAGTGATTCCCAGTAAAGATAGCCAGTGTAAGAGCAAGACCCCAAAGGTTCTACATATTCAAAGGATCTTTGAGTGGAAGATCACCCAAAGGGTAGAGAGACATAGAGGTACTTCCTGAAACACCAAGTCCTGGTACCTTACAGGCTAAGCTTTGTATTATGTACTTGCACACTTACTCATCTATTTATGTATTTATGCAGAGATTGCCCAGTGTCAGGCACTCTTGTGGGATACCATCATGAGCTACATATAAACTCTGCCTTACAGGGTTTGTAACTTCACTGTCACTCATTTAATTTTAAGCCACACAGTAATGCCATGTTTTAGGCATTTTCACTCCTATTTCATAAGCACGGATATGTAGAAGCCAGCTTTTCTGGTATGACAGCAAGACCTTTTTTGTTCCACCATAGATGATGATAATTAACCTGATATTTTATATACTAACTTCTGATGTACTAATTATAAATCATTTTTGTCACTGCATCACATAATAGATTCTCCTAGGCAATTCTTTTCAGAATTATTTTAGTTACTGAATATGTTTGAAAGCAATTAAAGTGTACTTTAAAAAAGTATCCCATAACTGGGCTGGCCTTCTCCCAAGTTATTTAAAATTAGTGAGGTCATTACTAATACAACCAACTACATTAATAAATCCATGACTATTCTTGTATATCTATTACATCTAGCAAGCTCTAAGCTAAAATCAGATTTTAATATTTTATAGATGGGACAGGATTTTAGCTCCTAATTACTCATTTGCCATGTTCTCTTGTGCTGGGAGAAAGAAGGTTTGTGTACGGTAGTGTTCAGTTGTCAAGATAGAGAAGGAAAGCAACAATAATGGCAGAGTTGTGATGTCATATGTAAGCTGGGAGTCCATACGTATTGTTTCAGGTACTGTTATTTGTTAACTTTTCATGCATATCTCATTCAATTCTCACCAACTCCAGTGAAGGATTATTATCCAAATTTTACAAATTGGGAATTTATTGTTCAGAAAGGTTCATACATTTGGTTAAGATCAAGGAGCCACAACATGTAGCCAGATCTTTATCACTACAATGCTCGTGATCTCTCCACTACCCAGTTCTGACCCTAAGACCCGCAGTTTTAGTGTAGCCTGTAAAGAAGATGAGACTCCAGCAGCCAAGCCAAGAATTTGTAAAAGGCTTCCCTCTGATCCAGAGTTGCCTTAATCCTGTATCTGACTATTTCTATAATGGACACTTCTTCACTGAGGAGTTTCTAGACTTAGTTAACTTACATGGCAGAATGTTAGGACTCTCTTAGAACCCAACTTGAACTACCTAAAGCAAAAATAAGTCTCTTGAAAGACAGATTTCATGAACTCTCAGAAACCTGAGGACCTACTGACTGGAGCTAGGACTACACTCTCCATATCTTTTCTCTGCGTCAGTCATGGAGTTTACTTCTTTGCAACTTCCCAGGCAAAGAAGAAAGGGGGCTGGATATGGAATGAAGTTTCTCTCTTCCAACTCTAGTTTTATAAGTCTTTCAGAAGGCTTTCGGTGGGTCTCAAGTCCTCATCTTGGCTTGAGCAATGGACTGGGGCCAGGGAGTGGAGAGTTGACGTGTCTAGATCCTGTATCCATGCCCATGGCTAGGAGGGGAGACTCTGTAGTCAGAGGGAGGGGAAATGGGTGGTGGGTAGGAAAAGTGGACATTCACTATGAGAACTAAGAAGGGAAAGCTGTGTGTTCTTCCAGCTTCCAAGGAGTTGTCTTTGGGTCAGGGAGAACATGATTAACAGGTCACGTACCTAATCCCCACTGTGTGGGACACGTTACAGTTTTCTTAAATACTGAGTCAGAGACCAGACCTTCAGCATTCACCTGAATCCATGCTTTCTGGAGTTTGGCTCTACCCTTTTCCCAATCTATATTCTCTCTCCAAAGACCTCAAAGTGTTCTTAAATTATTTTTTAAAAACTACAATTAAAACAAATCTGTTTATCTCCAAAGCTTGTTAGTTCATTATGGATTCAGAGAATAGTTTTCTGATTTATTTCCTCTGTTTGGGCTTCTTCTGCCCTGCTAGTGGAATTTGAATCTAATCTTTGTGATCAATTATAATTAATTAGGCAGTATTCTTCCGCAGTAAATGGTGACTATAGAATGGTTATGGCGATCTGTGTGTTTCACTCTGAGCTGTAAGTAGAGATGTGTTCGCTAGATTGCTGTTAATTAATCGTTTAGTTTGTCAAAACAACACAATGGGCTTAAAAATACATTTTGATAGTGCTGCTGCTGACTGCTACTTGTGAATCTCTGCTGGCACCAAGAAAAAAGAATGATGAGAAGGACAAAGCTTCCTTACAAAGTTGCTGATGTTGGTGTGTAAATCCTTGTCACTTGCTGGGAATATGTGTGGCTCTGAGACTATTTATTTTTAGGACATATATGCACGTGAATATAACTGATAACTCACGAGGACAAATGTACCATCTATAATTTATTTCAAATGGATGAAACTGGCAAGTTGCAAAACGGCTGTTCTTCAAAGCCCTGGATGATATTCATAGATTAATACAAAGACTTCATTTTAACCAGTAGTGTCAGTCTTCTCTCCAATCAAACTTGTAGCTATAATGCTAAACAATGACCCCAAAATGCTCTATTTTATATATTTCTTTCAGTCACATTCAGCTTTGAGAGTGGAAGTGCGAGAAATAGCCCCAGTACTGGCAGAAGTGAGGAGAGGTCAGGAAGAGGCTCTAGGCTTGGGCATGCCTCAAACTGGATTACTGGATAAGAGAATAATGGCATTAAGTAGATTGCTTAGAAGTGAAGCAAAGAAGTGAAACTTACGCCCCCTGTCTGCTTTGGACAGGTGTGTTTTGAGAAGCAGAGGGGAGGTTTTCATAGGCCATTATCAAAGTGGTACAAGTCTGTGGGGGTGCAGGGCTAGAGAACTTCAGGAACCTGCAACTGGAAATGGACATGACTCACATCATTTCACTTTAGGGAACATGGGATGGAAAGCTACTCGGTAGTGGGGAAGAACTATGCTCATTAGCTCATTTTTTGATTCAACTTGGCCAATCAGCTTTTTAAATACAGGATAGGTGTGTCCTACAGAAAATCTCTGAGATATAATGAAAGCTTGATGTTTGGGGAAGCAAATATCCTCCTCATCCAATTCCAGGATTCTCTGATGTCCAGTGATCCCTGATCCTGCCAGGGGAAGCGGAGAAGTTATTTGCTTGTTTGTATTAGTTTGTTTCATTTAAAAATTTTGAATATTTCAGTCTTAGCTTTATCTCTGATTGCATGATGATAAACATTGTCTCTACTTCTAGAAATTTCATTCTCTGCTGAGGGAGTGTGGAGTAGTGGTTAAAAGCCTGGACTCCTGTGCCAAATCACTTTGATATAAATCAAATTGTCTTGGCTTTGAAACTTGTTCATTGAGTGCAGAATATTTTAACTCTCTATACTTATTTTCATGCTACTCTAAAATACATTTTTTACAATAATGCCTATTACCTAGTTTTGTTCTGAAGATTTAAAACAAAATGTGGAAGGCTTAGACAAGGTTTTGGTATGTAGCCAGTACTGTATGCATCAGCTAGAGAAGCAATACGTCAGAGTGATTAAGAGGGCAGACCCTACTAGTCAGACTATATAGATTCGAATAACAATCCTGTCACCTACCTACTGTGTGGCCATGGGAATGTCATCTAACCTCTCTGTGCATCATGTGTGTCATTTGAAAATAAGAATAATAATGCTAGCTACATCTGAGAGTTGTGAGAATTAAATACATGAACATACTTATATGTAACACTTAGACCACTGCCTCAGGTATAGTAAGCCTATATGTGTTTATCTATGGTGATGACTAAATAAATATGGGAAGAATTCCTTGGGTTCCCAAGATTGTGTCAGAGGTGGCATGATAATGGTGAAAAGCCTTGGTTCTGGAAATGACTGCTCTCTACCTTAGTTTCCTTATCTGTGAAATGGGGATTAGAATAGAATAAAAATTATAGGTAAGTGGTGAGGATTAAATGAGGTAACACAAAGAGGGTGATTGGCACCTAGCTGGAAAATGAATGCTAGCTAATTTAATTTATTGCTGGCATAATTACTGTGAAGGCAGCCACCTGTTCTTTGTACCCACAAGGGAGTCCTGAGAGTCTTCAAGTAGCTCTAAAGCTTACCATACCTAAGGGTCCTCCCAAGTTCCAACATCAGAGCATGGCTGTCTCTTCATCTCACCTAGCAAAGGTCTTCTTGGGCCCTCCTCTCAAGTTTTCCATGCTGTTTCTTGCACATGGATATTTGGGACTATGTTTTTTTTTTGAAATTAAAAAAATACTTCTATTGGTCAAAACAATTTAGGGATGCTAGAAGACATATGGACTGCTAAAAAGAGTAAAAATAACAGTAACTACTGAGCACTTACTGTGTGTCAAAAGCTGCAGATATGTTCTTTTTCAAAATAACAACCTTATTGAGATATAATTTAAATACTATGAATGTCACACTTTTAAGGTCTACAATTCAGTGGATTTTGGTGTATTCACATAATTGTGCAAAAATCCCTATATCTAACTTTAGAACATTTCATCACCCCTAAATAAACTCTGTATCAATTGGCAGTTACTTTCATTCTTCCCTCCCCTAATCCCCTGGCAACCACTAATCTATTTTCTGTCCATATATATTTTTCCATTCTGAACATTTTATATAAATGAAATCATATAATATGTGGCTCTTTGTGTCTGGAATTTTTCTCTTAGCATAATGTTCTCAAGTTTATCCATGTTGCAGCATGAATCAGACCTTTATCCCTTTTTATTATGGAATCATCTTCCATTGCATGTGTATATCATACCTTGTGTATCCATTCATAAGTTGGTGGACATTTGAGTTCTTTCTACTTTCTGGCTATTATATATATATAGCTGCTATGAACATTTGTGTACAAGTTTTGTGTGGGCATATGTTTTCATTTCTCTTGGGTATAAACCTAGGAGTGGAATCACAGAGTTGTACGGTGACTCTATGTATATAATCTTTTAAGAAACTCCCAGGAGGTGCTCTTTTACCTACATTATCTTACTCAATTGTGGCAATGCTCCTCATTTTACACATGAGAAAGCTGAACCTCAACGAGTTTAAATAACTTGCCCACATTTGCAGAGTAAGTGGGTGGTGGGGCTAGAGTCCAATCTTTAAAGAATCACTACACACTCCTGGTGTCTCCAGAAAACTGTTCAGGTCTCTCAGAAATTTTTTACTGTATTCATTCTAAAGGAAATTTGAGGCCAGTGGTTTTCAAAGACAAAGGATATTGGTAATGGACAGGATGTACAATAACATAACCCAATCCCAGGTAAACTGATTGTGAGAAAAATTAAACTTGAGTGAGTGGAGTTGTGGAAACTAATTTGCGGTGATATCCATGTGTTTAGGTTATTATTTGGAAAATGACCAGCAGAACATAAATGGCTCAATGCCAGCATTGGCTTGAGGAGTTTAGTATAGAATCTGGGCATGAACACTTTGGTGGTTAAATATGTTGGAAATAACTTTTCCCAGTTAGTGTTTATCTTCTAGCTTTCTTTAAGGTGTCTTTTGATGAAAAGTTTTTTTAAATTTTAATGTATTCAGATTTATAAATCTTTACTTCAGGGCACAGATGTCGGAGCCAGACTGCCTGGACTCAAATCTCAGAACCTGCATTTATTAGCTGTGTGACTTTGGGTAAGTTAATTTAGGTCCCATCCCTTCAGTTTTGTCATCTGCAAAATGAGGATAATAATGATGTCAACTTTAATGGTTTACAGGGAGAATTACATATGTGCATGTAAAGTAATGAGAATGATGCTTGGCCTATAGGAAATACTATATGGAGGTGATACAGAATCAAATTATTTTATTCTTTGTGGTTTTTATTTTAGAGTTCTGTGTAAGAAAACCTTCTTATGTGGAAGTCATAAAATTATTCTCTCTCTGGCAGTTTCCAATCCACTGTTTAATTTACCCTTACTTAGAGGATTTTTCATCTAGTGGTTGTTTTTCAGTCTCTTGTTTTCCTTCTTGTTTTCAAGTTTATCTTCTATTTCTAAGGACTTAATAAAATGTAAGTAATTTACGTTCCACATTTAAATGATATCTGAAGTGTTTGTTACTGTGTTTGTGGGCAGATCCTTGTGTATGTCCTCTAGTGCTAAGTCAAGGAGCCTTTTTATTCTTTTGTTTTTTCCTCTGTTGTGAACTTTTTATTTATGTTGGGAATTTTTCTATAAGAATTCTTTTAGGCTTGGGTTGAAATTGCGTTCTTCCAGGTAGGATTATAGTTATCCACCCAAGGACCTGAAGTGTCTACCAATCTGGGATCACTTTAAATCGTATTATCTGAGTAAGGTTTTTCAGATAACATGAATATGGACCAAAACACCATGAGGACTGGCTTGTTGTTACAAATTATCAGGTAATGTTTCTTCACCTCTATCTAGTGCCAAAATTTTGAGGATTTGTAATTCTTGTTATCCCCTTCTGTGTAGCAGGGGTTATTTCTCATTCATCCTCTCTCTGAGGGGAGCCTTCAAGGGCTTGGGATTTTATCCTCTGTTCCCTACACCCAGAACTCATATTGCTGATACACAGAAACATAGAGTCTTTAGGGTTCAAATGAAGCCATTAAGGAAAATCTAGTTGTGGTGCTTATTTTTTTCCCCATGATTTGGGTTTCATTTCAACTTTTGGAAACTGTGGATCCTTTTGTGCCAGTTCGGCAGTGTCTCTAAAAATGCATTTCTATACATTTTGTTATCCATTGTTTTAGTTGCTTCTATCAGTAGCAGTTATTCAGGGTATTTAACTTACAATATTTCCAGAAATAGATGCCTCTTATCCTTTCTCCTCTCCTTCCTCCTCTCCTTGTTCTTTCTTTCCCTCCCTTCTCTTCTCCCCTCTTTTGCCTCCCCTCATCCTTTCTTTTCACTTTCCCTCTCCTCCCTTTTTAGCTTGCCTATAATGGTTCAGCAAAACAACTCTTACCCTAGAAAAAGGAGATATAAAGAATAAAGGCCTTTTGTATAGGTGAGGGGACTTAACTATCTAGCACCAATTTTTTGCAGCCTTTATTTACTGAATTATGTGTAAATAATGTTCTAACTCCTCTTAGCAAAGAACAGTGTTTTATTCATTATTATATCTACAGTGAACTGAAAAATTATCTTAAGCCAATACACACAAACTTTCCTTTAGGGTATGTATAAAAATATGTCTCATTTACAGGAATATAAGCTGCATTAGTTAACCCTGTCTTTATCCTTAAGCCTTTTGACCATATTCAGTTCCACCCCCACAGGCCAGACTTTGATCTATCTAATCTTTGATACTGCAAAGATTCCTAGTCAATTCTGAAGCCTGTTTTGTTAGAATTATTATAAATCTGTTATTTAAAAGTCTTAACGTGTTTTATTATGAAATCTCTACATTGGCTCCTACCTGCTGATCCACTTTCATCTCTTCTTTGGGAATCAGGCATGATCATGATGGTCTAGTCTAGTTTGAACTGCAGTGGTTGAATTGTAGCGTTTGTAACCCTATGTTGTGGGTTTCCCACAGAAAGACTATCTTGGTAGTGTTGAGATGTTATCATCCAGAAAGAATGGACTGATCTGATTTTCAGAAACCATTCAGATAAATTTAGCCTGGAACTAGCACATGAAGTTTGTATGTCATATATTCACTAACATTCATAAAACACCCACTATGTACCAGGGATTGAGATTCTGTACTAGGGACTGGCAATTTAATTATGAATCAGACAAATTCCTTGGCTTCAAGGTATTATTGGTTTAATAGGAGTGGCATGTAGGCCTCTCTGATACTCTGTTAGAAGAGATACCATCTCACCATCTCCCTTCTCCTCCACAAGACACCCAAACTGTAGAGGAATGATTGGTTTAATATGAAATATTTATAAATGTGATGCTAGTAGTGCAGCTCTGGTCCTAGAATAGTTTTGCATTTTTAATCTCAAGACCTAGACGTACATTTTGATATTTATTCAATATCTCTCTTAAACACTAAGAATGATCTTGGAAAATTCTATTAAATGTTTTGTTCTATACTATTTTCTAACCCTCCAAACTCAGTCTCCTACTCTTTTTTCTTTTTTTTTTTGAGATGGAGTCTCACACTGTCACAGGGGCTGGTGTGCAGTGGTGCAATCTTGGCTCACTGCAACCTCTGCCTCCCGGGTTCAGGAGATTCTCCTGCCTCAGCCTCCCGAGTAGCTAGGATTACAGGCGCCTGCCACCATGCCCGGCTCGGCTAATTTTTTCTATTTTTAGTAGAGACGGGGTTTCACTATGTTGGCCAGGCTAGTCTTGAACTCCTGACCTCGTTATCCACCCGCCTCGGCCTCCCGAAGTGCTGGGATTACAGGTGTGAGCTGCCGCGCCCGGCGTCTCTTACTCTTTTATGTTCCAGACCCTCTATCTTGCCTATCCTCATATGCTACCTTGTTTATTTAGTTCTCCCTCTCTCCCTTTTATGCATACAACTCCTCTGGTAATTACAATTATTATCCTGATTGATTTTCTTGTGATAACCCTTCTAAGCAGCTTTGGCTCTTTCTGTTCAGAGAGTGAGGCTGGGAGAAAAAGCTAAGTAGGTAAAGGGGAAATTTGTGAATACCAACATGTTAAGTTTTATCTCAAGGTATCCGCTTATATGAGTTATCAAAAATGCCAGTTTCAAGAAGCTAGTAAGGAGCATCTTGAGACTAGAGTTAGTATGTTGGCCAACAAGGCAGGAGGGAAGGAAGTCTGAATTGTTACCAGGGAGAAGGGGATGCCAGTTCTGGAAGGGTGGTCTGAAAGAAGGAAGGCAAGGACCGAAGGGGCATAACTGATACATAGTAGGCATAGAGAACCCAGAAAAAGAGAGACAAGATGAAGGAATTGTCTGCTTGTGGAAATCACATGGTTATGGACTCTACATTTCTTTTCATTTCGAGAAACGGCTGACTTTTTCTACAGCATGGCTTATGTCATTTAAAATGCATCTTAGTTCCTGACCCTGGTGGCTTAAGTCATCTAGCATGAAGCAGATAAATTTCACCATCTTGTTCACATAATGGAAATCTGATGGTGCAGGCTTCAAATAGCTTAAATTCTACTATGTAAAATGAACTTTGCAGCAAACTGACATAGCCTCAAATAGGTCATGTTTTGGTGGTGGTGGGCTATGAACTTGAAGCCATCCTTTTCTTTTTCTTTTCTTGTTTTTTTTGAGACAGAGTTTCACTCTTGTTGCCCAGGCTGGAGTGCAATGGCACGATCTTGGCTCACCGCAACCTCTGCCTCCTGGGTTCAAGTGATTCTCCTGCCTCAGCCTCCCTGGTAGCTGGGATTACCGGCTTGCGCCACCACGCCCGGCTAATTTTGTATTTTTTATAGAGACGGGGTTTCTCGATGTTGGTCAGGCTGGTCTCGAACTCCCCACCTCAGGTGATCCACCCGCCTCAGCCTCCCAAAGTGCTGGGATTACAGGCGTGAGCCACTGTGCCTGGCCAAAGCCATCCTTTTCTATGTTTTATCACAAGATTGTTTTGACATTTTCATCAGTTTGGACCTATATTGAATCCCACCAGATGCATGAAATTCCCCCAGAACGTTAGGCCCCTCCCCTTGATTAGGTGATAAGGGTTTCCTCAGGGTCCTCTAAGAAGAATTTCTGCAGTATGTGCTTGCTGTTAATTTTGATTGGACCCTGGAGGACTCATTTGTCATTTTAATTGTTTCATTCCCTCAAAATATGAAGAAACCACATTACCTCCGTGTTCTCTGGTCATCAGTCAAATGATGTTGACTTCTCTGTCAGCCCCAATATTTGAGGATATTGCATGTCAACTGAGAATTCAGTGTCCTATGATAGGTCTTTAGCTGAGATCACATGAGAATTTCTAGAAAATGTTTTG
Organism: Homo sapiens; assembly: GCF_000001405.40. NCBI lineage: Eukaryota > Metazoa > Chordata > Mammalia > Primates > Hominidae > Homo > Homo sapiens. Next base: position 118,722,616 of record NC_000003.12, on the reverse strand, counting down.
AAGAAAAGTAGTAAATGGGTTTAGAACAATTAGGGAGCCACATGTAAAACATAGAAATCATCCTTTGTATATCATCTCATGTCTTGCACCAAAATAAATATGAGACAAATTAATAATTGTACATGTGATAAACAAAAAAGAAACTTGAAACAGAGGAAATATTTATTGAATTTCTGCATTGGAAAACATTTGCTAACCTTACAGTTGTCAAAAATAATCACATACAAAAATATCAGTAGATTTAACTAGATAAAAATGTTAAAATGTATGTACACCAAAATACATAATATAGAGAAATAAAGGTTTGCTACCAAGTGCAACAAATATATACATAAAAGGTAATATTTAAATATATAAATAATAAAAGATAAACGATAAGAGAAATATAAAAAAGGGTAAAAAAGTATGACTAAAAAATCATGAGAGTAAAGTTAGTAGTGGCGATTAAAATTTGAATAAACCAAATGTTAACTATTACTAATTACCACAAAATTATACCTTAAAACAAATATGAAGTTCTACATTTGCCTATCAAATTAGGGAAGACTTAACAAACAGTAATACATAATACTAGAGAGAACATGGTATAATAAAAAACATTCCATATGACATATAAACCTAATAATAATTGATACACATTTCTGAAAACCAATTTGAAAATATGTACTAAGATCCTTTGAGGTGATTTTATACTTTGCTCCAATAATTGCATTTTATGTGCTTTATCCTACAGAAATAGTAAATTTTAAAAACAAAAGATTACGGTTTTGGGAAGATGGAGTAGATACATTTTTTCCTATTCCTCTTGCTAAGTACAATGAAAAATCATGGACATTATATATAAAACCAAGAAGACTATTATAGGTAAACAAAGAACGCAGACTTTCTAGGGACCTCTGGACTCCAGGAATGTCATGGTGATGTGTTCTGTGGGTTCTGCTTTTGCTCTACATATCTCAGACTTGGAACTGAAGACACCAGTAACTAGAAAGACCAAAAGGCACAGACCAAAAAATCCTAACGAAAGCCTACTCTCAAGCTAAAGGACTAAAAAAGGGTCAACCTACCAAGACAGAAAATTTTTAGGTACAGTTTCACTCAAGACAAACACCACAGAAAAAACTGTGGTCCCAACCCCACCCATGCCAGCAAAGGCCAAATGGGAAGGCTAAACATCCACCCCTCGTCAGGAAGGCAGTCCACCTTCTCCTGTCACCCCCTACCAGGGCGAATACAGAGAAGATGAAGTAAGAATCTGGGTTGGTAACCAACTCCCCTTGCCCAACCTGTGATGTCAGTGGAGACCACATGTAGATTCAGGAGTTCCACTTCCACTTGACACTAACAAAGCACCCTTCCCATTTCCAACTAGGGTGGTATCATAGAGATTAGGACTGTTATAATTGCCCACTGCTAACAAGGTCACCCCCCTGTGGTGTCAGTGGAGTCTACATGAGGAGCATTAACAAGGACTTTTATCGCTCGCAGCCAGGGTCATATCAAGAAAGGCCTAGTGGGAAAACAGAACTCTCAGTTCTGCCCAGAGGTAATGAGGAACCCATCCACCTAAGGGTCACTAAAGGCTGAGTGGGGTACCTAGACTTCTAACCTGGCAGTAACAAGGTGAAATCTATCCCTTCCCCTGCCACAGCAGTGCCAAAGAAAGCTAGCTAAAAGAGAAGTTTTATGTAAGATCCAAAGTTTCATAATACAAGATACACGATACACCAAGCTTCAACATAGTAATCAATTATCATACCAAGAACTAGGAAAATCTGAACTTAATGAAAAGATGATGAATAGATACTACTGCCAAGATGACAGAGATGTTAGAGTTGTTTGACAAAGACTTTAAAGTGGCCATAGTAAAAGTGCTTCAAAAATAATTAGAATAAACTTAAAACAACTGAAAAAATACGAAGTATCAACAACGAAATAGAGTTAAAGCAAAGAAATAGAAAATACTAAGAAGAACTAAATGAAAAATTTAGGAATGGAAAATACAATAACTGAAACAAAAATCTCAATGGACAGGCTCCACAGAAGAACGGAGGCTACAAAGGAAGGAATCACTGAATTTGACGATAGAACACTATAAATAAGTTAATCTCACCAAGAGTGTGAAAATATCTTAAAAAATGAACAGTGCCTAAAAGACCTGCCAGGTTACAACGAAATTTCTAATATTTGTATTTTTAGAATCATGTAAAGAGAGAAAAAAGGTTGGGACTGGAAACATTCTCAGAGAAATAATGGCTGAAATTTCCTAAATTTGGTAAAAGACTAACCTATAGATTCAAGAAGCAGAGTGACTCTAAAATAGGATAAACCCAAAGAAGTCTACACCAATACACATCATAGTCAAATTTCTGAAAATGGAAACAAAGGAAAAATCTTGAAAACAGTTAGAGAAAAATGACACTTTACTTATGGGGGAAGAAACTATTTGAAAGACACCAGATTTCCTACTGGAAAACATGAAGGCCAGAGGAAGTGGCATTATATTTTTTTCAAGCACTGGTAGAAGAGACTTGTCATCTCAGAATTCTATATTCAATGAATATATTCTGCAAGAATGAAGGGGGAATCAAGACATTTTCAAATAAAGAAAATAGAGAATTCATTACCAAAATACCTAGTTTATAAGAATAACTAAGAGAAGCTCTCTAAAAAGAAAGAAAATGATTAAAGAAGGCATCTTTGAATGTCGGAAATGAAGAAAGAACAATGGAAAGAGGAAAAATATGGGCAAATATAATAAACTTTCTCCTTTTGGGTTTTCTGGATTATGGTTGACAATTGAAGCAAAAATTATAACATTGATATAATCCTAAATATATAGGGAGAAAGTATTTAAATCAATTATACTATAAATAGGGAGAGTAAAGGGACATTATGAGAGGTAAGATTCCTAAACTTCATTTGAACAGATAAATTGTCAGCACCAGTAGACTGTGATTTTTTTATATGTGTATGTGTGTGTGTATATATATGTGTGTGTGTATGTGTATATATATATATAAAATGTCATACCACTAACAAAGCTATACAAAGAGATATACCCACAAACACTATATATAAATCAAATGGAATTCTAAAAAATGTTTGAGTAACCCACAGAAAGACAGGAAAAAGAAAACAGAAAGAAATGAAAAATAGAAAAAACAAAACACATACACAAAAATGGAAAACTTAAGTCTTGACATATGAATCATCACATTAAATGTAAATGGTCTAATTATATCAATTAAAAGACAGAGATTGGTTGAGTGGATTAAGAAACCACATGCTGTCTATACAAGTACCACTTGAAATATAATCATATAGGTGGATCAAAAGTCAAAGGATGAAAAATATATATCATACAAACTTCAATACAGGACTAGACTTTTTTGGTGGAGATGGGGTTTCGCTGTGTTGGCCGGGCTGGTCTCCAGCTCCTAACCGCGAGTGATCCGCCAGCCTTGGCCTCCCGAGGTGCCGGGATTGCAGACGGAGTCTGGTTCACTCAGTGCTCAATGGTGCCCAGGCTGGAGTGCAGTTGCGTGATCGCAGCTCGCTATAACCTCCACCTCCCAGCCGCCTGCCTTGGCCTCCCAAAGTGCCGAGATTGCAGCCTCTGCCCAGCTGCCACCCCGTCTGGGAAGTGAGGAGCGTCTCTGCCCGGCCGCCTATCGTCTGGGACGTGAGGAGCCCCTCTGCCTGGCTGCCCAGTCTGGAAAGTGAGGAGCGTCTCTGCCCGGCCGCCATCCCATCTAGGAAGTGAGGAGCACCTCTTCCCGGCCGCCATCCCATCTAGGAAGTGAGGAGCGTCTCTGCCCGGCCGCCCATCCTCTGAGATGTGGGGAGCACCTCTGCCCCGCCGCCCCGTCTGGGATGTGAGGAGCGCCTCTGCCCAGCCGCAACCCCGTCTGGGAGGTAAGGAGCGTCTCTGCCCGGCTGCCCCGTCTGAGAAGTGAGGAGACCCTCCACCTGGCAACCGCCCCGTCTGAGAAGTGAGGAGCCCCTCCGCCCGGCAGCCACCCCGTCTGGGAAGTGAGGAGCATCTCCGCCCGGCAGCCACCCCATCCAGGAGGGAGGTGGGGGTCAGCCCCCGCCAGGCCAGCCGCCCCGTCCGGGAGGGAGGTGGGGGGGTCAGCCCCCTGCCCGGCCAGCGGCCCCGTCCGGGAGGGAGGTGGGGGGGTCAGCCCTCCGCCCGGCCAGCCGCCCCGTCCGGGAGGGAGGTGGGGGGGGGTCAGCCCCCTGCCCGGCCAGCCGCCCCGTCCGGGAGGTGAGGGGCGCCTCTGCCCGGCCACCCCTACTGGGATGTGAGGAGCCCCTCTGCCCGGCCACCACCCCGTCTGGGAGGTGTACCCAACAGCTCATTGAGAACGGGCGGGGATGACAATGGCGGTTTTGTGGAATAGAAAGGGGGGAAAGGTGGGGAAAAGATTGAGAAATCGGATGGTTGTCGTGTCTGTGTAGAAAGAAGTAGACATGGGAGACTTTTCATTTTGTTCTGTACTAAGAAAAATTCTTCTGCCTTGGGATCCTGTTGATCGGTGACCTTACCCCCAACCCTGTGCTCTCTGAAACATGTGCTGTGTCCACTCAGGGTTAAATGGATTAAGGGCGGTGCAAGATGTGCTTTGTTAAACAGATGCTTGAAGGCAGCATGCTCGTTAAGAATCATCACCACTCCCTAATCTCAAGTACCCAGGGACACAAACACTGCGGAAGGCCACAGGGTCCTCTGCCTAGGAAAACCAGAGACCTTTGTTCACTTGTTTATCTGCTGACCTTCCCTCCACTATTGTCCTATGACCCTGCCAAATCCCCCTCTGCGAGAAACACCCAAGAATGATCAATAAAAAAAAAAAAAAAAAAAAGGACTAAATTAATTGACTATATTAACATCAAACAATTGTTATGTAATGATAAAAAGGTCCATCTACCAAGAAGACTAGGCAATCCTTGATGTGTGTGCACCAAATAATATAACTGAAGAATATGTGAAACACAAACGAGGAGAACTGGAAAGATAGACAAATTGACAATTATAGTTGGAGACTTTCAGACCCTTCTCTCAACAATCGAGAGAACAAGTAGACAGAAAATCAGCAAAGATATAGAACTCAATAATACCATCAATCATTAGGATATAATTGGCATTTATAGAATACTTTAACCTATGAAAGTAGAATAAACATTATTTTCAAATGCCTGTGGAACATATAGCAATATAGAATTATCCTGGACCACAAAACAAACTTTAATATATTTTAAAGAATTAAAACCACACAGAGTGTGTTCTGTGATCATAATGGAATCCAGGTAGATATAAATAACATAAAAATAATAAAATTTTTTAAACACTTGGAGACTAGACAAAATACTCTCATTTGTCAAAGAGGAAATCTCATGGCAATTAAAAAAATGAACTTCATGAAAGTGAAAATAGAGCACATCAAAATATATAAGAGAGCTGAAGCAGTGCCAAGAGGTAAATTTACATCTCTAAATGCTTAGATTAGAAAAGAAGAAACATCTCAAATCAACCTAAGCTTCCACTTCAATAACCTAGAAAAAGAAGAGCAAAATAAACCCAAATTAAGCAGAAGGAGAGAAATAATAAATGTAAAAGCAGAAATCAATGAAGATTAAAACAGAAAAACAATAAAGAAAATAAATGAAACAAAAGCTATTTAAAAATCTATAAAATTGACAAACTTCTAGAAATACCGAAAAAAGAGAAAAGACACAAATTACCAATATAAGGAATGAATATCACTAGAGACTCTGCAGACATTAAAAGGGTAATAAAGGAATACTGTGAACAATTTTTCAAATAAATTTGACAACTTAGATGAAAATGGACCAATTCCTTGAGAAGTACAAACTACAACAATTCACCTAATATGAAATAGGTAATTTTAATAGCCCTGAAACTCTTAAAGAAATTAAATGCATAATTTAAAGACTCTAAATAAAGAAATCTCCAGACCCATATTATTTCACTGGAGCAATCTACGCCAATTCTGAAATAACACCAATTCTATAATATCTACACAATCTCTTCCAGGAAATAAAATGGGAGGAAACACTTCATGATTTCTTAAAAAACAGAAACTACCTTATAACTTAGCAGTTGTACTCTTGGGCATACTTCTAAGATTAATGAAAACTTATGCTGACAAAAATTCCTGTGCCTGAATGTTCATATCAGCTTTATTTGAAATAGCTCCAAACTGGAAACAATCTAAATGTACTTCAGTGATACATGATTAAATTAACTATAGTAAATCTATTTCATGGAATACTGCTCAGCAACATAAAAGTACAAACTATTGATGTATATGACATTTAGATGAATCTCCAGATAATTATGCTATGTGGAAAAAGCCAATCAGAAAATGTTACATACTGTATAATTTATTCTTAAAGTGATGGCATTATATAAATGGAAAACAGATTAGTGATTTCCAGGGATTAAGGAGGGTATATATGGGGTGAGGGTGGAAGTGGAAAGGAAATGTGTGTGGCTATAAAAAGAAAACATGAGGGATCCTTGTGGTGATGGAAATGTACAGTATCTTGATTATATCAATATCCTGGTTGTGATACTGTACTGCAGTTCTGCAAGATATTATATTTGGGGACACTGGGCAAAGGGCACACAAAATCTCCTTGTATTATTCCTTATAACTGTCTGTGAATCTACAATTATCACAAAATAAAAAGTTTAATAAAAAAGCAAGTATCTCTTTATTACTGTATGATTTATAATAGAAAAAATTGAAGTAATCCAAATGTCCAAAAATGAGGAATATTAAAGTAAATTATAATAATAACACAGAACATTATGCAACTTCTTAAAATGATTTCAATATGTTACAGAATATTTCAGCTATAATGTGAAGTGAAAAAGCAGTATACAAAATTGCTTATACCTTATGATCTCAATCATGTTTAACAATTGCATTGGAAAAACTGGAAGACATAGTATTAGTGTATGAATAGAAAAAATAGATTAGTGTAATAAAATAGAAAGTAAAGAATCTGTCCCATATACACAAGGAAATTTAGAATATGATAAAGATGTTATCTCAAATTACTGGGGCAAAGATGAACTTTTAAATAATTGATGCTGGGACTACCTGTAGCCACTGTGAAAAAGATAAAATTAGGCCCATACCTCACAATGTACATAAGAACAAACTCCAAATGGATTAGGGATTTGTGATGATCAGTTTTGGGTGTCAACTTGACTAGATTAAAGGATATATAGATAGCTGGTAAAGCACTGATTATTCTCAATGCTTCAGTAGGCACTGAACGCATCCCTCTCCTGCTGGACAGGAAACCCAGGTGCTTTGGCATTTGACAGAAAGATTGGTCTGCTCTAGATGTGTGTCTGTGAGGGTATTTCTGAAGGAGATTGGCATTTGTGCCAGTGGACTGAATGGGGGAAAATCTAGCCTCAGTGTGGACAGTAACCATCCAATCAGCTGTGGACCCAGATGGAAAAACAAGGAGGAGAAAGGGCTAATTCTCGCTCTCTCTTCCAGAGCCAGGATGCCTGCTCCTCCTGCCCTTTTATAGGTCAACTCCACATTCTCTGACTTATGGACTCTGGGACTTGCACAAGGGTTCTCCGGCCTTTGGCCTCAGACTCAGAATTACACCAGTGGCTTCTCTGGTTCCAATGCCTTTGAACATGGACTGAGCCACACTGCTGGCTTCCCTGGTTCTCCAGCTTGCAGGTGACATGTTATGGACTTCTCAGCCTCCATAATCAAATGAGCCAATTTCCCTAATAAATCCCTTGTCATATATATCTCTTTCTCTAAATATATCCTATCATTTCTGCCTCTCTGGAGAACTCTGACTAAAACAGAATCTAAACACAAAAAAATAACCATGCAAGTATTAGAAGAAAATATAGACAAATTCCTTTATAATCTTGGTGTGCAAAAGGGATTTCTAACTATCTCTCAAAATTCAGCGGCAAGAAAATAAGACTGATCAATTTGTCTACATAAAAATGTAAAAATGCATGTCAGAACACTAAAAACAAAGCTAAAAGACACATTGCATGCCTGTACCAAAACATCTCATGTATCTCATAAATACACATGTCTACTATGTACCCACAAAAATTAGAAATGAGAAAAATTTAAACAATCAAAGTTAAAAGACAACTGATTGGGTAAAAACATTTACAACACATACCACGGACATAAGTTAATATTCCCAGTATATGAAGATCTTTTAAAACTTGACAAAGGGGAAAAAATAGAAAAATGGGAAAATGCATAAACAGATAACTCACCAAAAAGTATATATATCTCCTAATCATATAAATATGTTCAAACTCATTAATAGAGAAATGCAAATTAAAACAATAGTGATTTATTATTCTTGGATATGTATGTATATATATCCACATAGACACACACACACACACACACACACACACACACATACATATATATATATACACACACATAATAAAGTCCTTTGTCTCTAATCTATGGGTCTCATGTCCTCTATCAGCAGCCATTAAACTGTGGAACTGTGGTACCTAAATGCCCATATATAGGATAGTGGTTAAATAAATTATGACACATCTGTCAAGAACTGTGAAGTGTCTGAAATTTTACCCTATCTGCAAGTCAAAACACTGTCACAGTTTTGTAGAATCTAACAGAAGGCGTGAGACTCCTAGGTCAGAGATGAAGGAAAGTTTATTACCTAGAGTAAATGTAGCCAAAGTATGCCATTTTTGGCACCAGTTTTATCAGCCCCAATTCCCACAGGGTAAAGCAAATAGTGGCAGATACACCTTCATATAATCTGTCTGTACAATGATTGACTTCCTGTACGATTGAGGAATTCTGAGATTAGAGAGTGCGTATCTTTGATATTAGACAGTAAACATGCCTGCCCTTTGTTCTGAGGAAGATGCTATCTCTATATTTCAAGACTGTTGGCTATACAAATATGCCTGAAAAGATAGTCTGGAACAAAGGGCAGTCAGTGTCTTGCTCAAAAGATGTGAAGAAATGCAAACATCCCCAACAATATCCATACAATGAAGCACTATATAGCTGTTTAAAAAAGGGAAATTATCTATAAATTGATTTTTGTAGAACATATGGTTAGTTGAACTCAGCAAAGTGAAAAAAACCCCAAAGTAACGATAACATCCAAACAAAACAAAACAATACAAATACAAGAAACAAAAACACAAAAACCAGCCAGTTTACTACTTTTAATATTAGGAAGAAGACGACTTAACAAAATACTCATACCTGTGCATTTGTGCACACACACATATAAATGCACCCCTACACACTCTAAAACAAACAAAACCATAGGAAAGTGGAGGTAGAAATTATTAATAGTTACCTACAGGGAGTGGATTGGAAAAGGGTTATAAAGAAAGGACTAATGGAAATGAGACAGTAGGGATAAAGCACTTTCCTGAATATACCTTTTTGTTTAGCTTTGACATACCATGGTAATATTTCACATTTCCACTCACCCTCCCCACAAATAATTAAAATCAACCAGGATGTGGGAAAATTACAAAATAAATACATCGACAAATGAACTTAGCTGTATTACAAACAAATAATATAACCACAGTGGATGGGATGGGAAGGAAAATAAGTAACTTTGGAAAGTAGTATTTTGACTGGATACTATAAGGCTAAAGACAAAAAAATCGTACACAAATACTATACTCTAGTAAATCTGTTTTTCATGTGGAGGAGGAGATATGTTTTAGCAATTTTGTAGCTATTTTATATGTGTCCTAAGACTGAACAAATTAGTGACTATATTGTAGTTAATGAGAGCCAGTATCATCTTACTGTTGGAGAAAGAAGTAACAAATAAGGAACGGGCAAGGGCCTGAAGCTAGAACAGAATGGACATTATGGTGTCACATTAGAGTATGTAGCTCACACATACAGTAGGCTTAATATATATGGGGACAGATAATAAATATTCATAGGCGTGTATGCACAAGTTATTGTACATTCATGCATTTCTAAGCTCTGTCTGCTGAGAGGGTCTAAGATTAATCTGCTCTCTACCCACTGCAAACTTTCATAGGCACAGGACAACCAACACGATGATGCTAGTTTTCTAAATGCCATTTTTCAATAAAAGAAACCAGAGTTCAGCAAATGAGCATTTGATTCCAGGGAAGGGTCAGGGAAAATAGAAGATGAGCGTTGTAGTACCAGAACTGTTTGAAAAGTGATGGAAAGCATGTCCGAAGAACACAGGCGCCAACCTCAAGGAACTCCCACTGGCCAAAGCTGAAAAAATTTGGCTGATAAAATAAATAATGATAGTATGGGATTATAACTCATAGAATAAAATAAATATGGAATCATATTGATATAAACCTATAATTCAATACATAAATAAATGTGAGATAAGTGGCAGCCCTTCCTTACAGAGGAATTCCAATTAATAAATATAGAAGGAATGAGGAAGTTTTAAAATTAAATGACCATTAGGCACATATCACAGTAATAATTGTTGCAGATGAAATCTACTGATAGTTGCCACCATCAGTGGGTGAGGTTTGAGAGGAAACACGATGTTAGTAGTCTTAAAGTATCTTATCCAAGATATTTATCAATTACAAAGTTGGGGATAGTAATTTTACAGGGAAAACAGGTATCACCTTAACCTAAGTGATCAAGGTTGCCATTACCAGTAATAAGACTATTAATATCATGTATCCCCTGAAATGATGCACCGAGCAGGATCCAGCATCATTTCTGTGGTACTATCATCAAAAAAGGCATAATTTCAATCTAATCATTAGAAAAGGCTAGAGAATCCAAATTGAGAAGCCTTCTGATGAAAAGTATAAGGCCAAGAAAGATAAATAAAGATTGAAGAACTGTCACAGATTGGATGAGACTAAGGAGATACAATAACTAAATGAAGTGTAGCATCCTGGAATAGTATAAGGGCAGTAGAGAAAAAACTGGAGAAATTCAAATAAGGTATATAGTTGTATTGATGATATTGTACCAATGTTAACTTCCTGATTTTGATAATTGCACTAAGGTTATGTAAATTTTTGACATTAGGGAAAACTGGGTGAAGGGTATACATAAACACTTCCTACTATTTTTGCAGGTTTTATATAAGACGATAGTTATTTCAAAACAAAATATAAAAAAATCTGGATCAAAATAAAACAATGTTGACAATATTATCCTTTATGTAATAATTCATTTATTTATTACACTTTTAAACTAGTTTCCAAATTTTGCATTGTTTTATAGTTTATTTGAAAACATGAAATATTTTTAAACAAACTAAAAGTTAAGACTACAACAGACAACCAACCATACCATCCAAATTCAATGATATTAATATTTTGCCATACTTACATCAGTATTTTTATGGGTATAAAATGTTACAGAGACATTAGAATACTTTTTTCTTGATCTTGTTCATCTTCCTCCTTCTCCTTTCTAGAGGCAAAGATTAAAATAGGATATATACACATATATATCCTATATAGACACACATTTGACTACAAGTAATGCTTAAAATTGTTCAGTGTGTTTTAAAATATATAAATATTATAGTATACATATTCATCTACAACTTTTTTCACTCAATATTATGTTTTCAGGATTTATTCATGTTCCGTTCATTTTAAATGCAGTATTTCTCTGCATAGGTATAACAATGCATTTAACCCTTTGCCATTGAAAGAACTTATTTTCTTTCCTGTCTCCCCTTTTTGCAATTACAATGTTGTAATTACATCATGGGCATAATTCGCTGTGAGCATGTGTGAGTTTCTGTAATAAACTTTGTAGAAATATAAATTCTGGGTTGTAGGTTGTGTGCATCTTCAATATTATATGTTGCGAAATTTCTTTCCAAAGTGGTTAAACCAATTTGTACTTCCACTGGCAGTATATGAATTCCTATTTTTCCACATGCTTGCCAATACTTCTATCATTAGACTTTTAAAATTTGCCAATCTGATGAGTGTGAAATGATATTTCATTTTTGTTTTAATTTGCATTTTCCTGCTTAGTAATGAGGTTGAACATCTAATTTTGTTTGATTCATGGTCATTCGCGTTTCTCATTCTGAAAATTACTTTTTCATTACCAACTAACTTTTTATGATAACTTTATATGTACTAGTAAAAAAAGAAATGAACTAAGCATAGAAAATTGACTGTATCACAAATGATACAGTGTTTGATTGTATTGACTGAGATATAATGTCCACGGTCTTGGAGTACTGCATTTTGTTCCAGATATCTGTCTAAAGAGTGCTAAATGGAATAATGAAGACTCTTGAAATAACGAAATATGAGAAATGATTGTAGCACTAAGGGACGATTTTCCAAAAGTGTCTTATGAGGAATGTGACATCTGTTTTTTAAAAATTTGACAGGCTCTCCGGAGTCAGAGGATATGTATGTATTAATGTTGTTTCAGAAGTGCCAAGGCCCATGGTAGAAATTTCGAGGAAAAACATTTGAACTCAAGATCACAGAGATTTTTTTTTTGACCACTAAATTTATTCTGGGATGGAATTAGTTACCTGATCCCTGAACTTGTTCTAGCTGAGGTTTACAGGCCCATGTATTGGGAATGTAGTTAGATTCATCTGTAGGGGAGGACCCTAAATGAAATAATCTCTATTCCAACTAAAAAGTCTATGTTTTTACATAGTAAACAATTGATAGAATGAAGTTCTAGGAAATCCAGAAATGAGTCATTTTTAGTGTTCACAATTATGATGGCTCAGTTATAACATTGCTTGAGGTAATGGTGAGTCAGTCTTTGATTTTTCTAAAATTTCTCAGTAAAACAAATATGCCTTAATTGGCTAAACCAAACTGGAATGTTAACTCTGAATTCAAACTTGATTTTCTTCATGGCACTTTAACTTCATCCCATCCTCACTCCTACTCCAAGTGGCCCTCTGCCTTTCTGGTCCTGTGATTCCTGTAGCAAGATAATGTATATATGATTATGGGCATACCCACTAATACCATTCTATCTTTTTGTACCAAGAAATATGGAAGCCCAGGTTGGTGAATAAAAGACCCTTTAGGGAAAGGAGAACATTTCTATCATTAGGCAGACTGTAATGGAGTTGTTTTTGAGCAACCAAGGGGTCCTTTATAAATGGATTTGGGGGGCAACAAAAAGAATTTTAGTTAGAGGGAGAATTTTCTGTTAGATTTTCAGAAGATCTTAATGAGTGTTAAGGTGAGTTGAGGAATCTTTTATGAAGATATTTAGTGAGAGAAACTTACTCTATGTGATGGTGATGGCTTAGATATTGTTCTCCTTGAAACCTGCTCTTTGGTGAAATGACCTCTGAGATGTCTCATCAAGGCCTCATCATTCTAAGTGGCCTCTAACACTTGAAGCTCTTAATTTTCTAAGGATCACAAGTGCTTTCCCTCTAGGCCGCCCCATTTGGAATTTTAACTAAAGGGTCCAAGTCCAGTGCACTGACTCTTGGGATATTTATTGTTTACGAAGTTGGCCATGAAGTCCCATATGCCCCTAAATGTGCTGCTGCGCTATTAGATCATGTTTTCTCCTGTTATTTTCTCTTCCGGACCAGATGGAGGCTGGTCCAAGTTGTTTATTGGTCCGCTAGAATTATCTTATGCATTGGGCTTTGGCAATGATGCCTGGTACCCTTGTCTCAGATAGATATTTGAAAGCCATTTCTTACTTATTTTTCCTCTCTGGCCAGGACGCTGAGAGGAAAAGCCAGGTCAGAAGAAATTGTCAAGCAATTTCTATCCCTTTCCCAACTGTGACCCTCACAAAATTGCTCCACCCTTCATATTTCTATATGTCTCTGAGAGAGCAGTGAACTTGTTTACAAAACACACAATTCTAGTCCAACCTCTTTCTTTTATGGCTGAGGAAATGAGAGCCCAAAGAGGCTGAGTGACTTGCCCAAGACCACACAGTACAACAGCAGTGCAGCCAAAACTAGAATTTAGTTTGAATGCCACTCTTCCATTAGAAAAATCTTTCCCATAGATTCCTGAGGGGAAGCTCTCTCCTTAGCCTTCTAGATAGGCCTAGATAAATTAGGATGCTGCTGTGAGCAAGGTTTAGACTAAGGAGGTCAGTGCCCACTCCCAAGGGGCTCCTGAAAATGAGTAGATGTTAAGGATTTTGTAGACATATTCTGGGTTTAGGGCACACAGTAGTTGAAGGGAAAATCCCAGAGAAAAGAAAAGAAATAAGAACCAGCTGGTAAGAAATGTAGATGATCAGGAATGCCATCATCACCAGGAGGAGTGGTAAATTAAAAGGATTGAGTGAGGAAAAAAAAAATAACTTGAAAATTTATGTAAATACAGTGAATCAAAAGATGGCTTTGAGAAAAACATTAACATAATTATGATTCTGAGAGTGTAAGATTTTGGCTAGATCATTAATTTGGTTTCACTGGCAGCAGTAAGTGAAGAAGCTAGGAGGAAGTTTGCTGAATAAATGTGCCTGGAGTTGACTGGAAAGTATGTATCTGCTCTGCCTTGTTCTGTAGCACACACATGCTCTCTTTCTTTCTTTCCTGTAAGGAGACACTTGTATGTCAGACACTGTAGGCTCAGAAAGACCTAGAAGGCACCAAAACTTGAGGATCTGCCTGTTTTCTCCTGAAAAACCCAGGAGACATTTTTTTTTCTTTTGCCATTTATAATGATTGCAAATGTTCAAAGAAAGCAGTTAATAAACATGAAAGGATCCACAGAAAGGAGACTAGGAAACAGAGAAGTCAGAGAGATGACTGCAGAGAATAATGTTAAGCAGCAGCAGCAGTGGCTATCTGGAAAAGGATTACCTTCTGGATTTCTGAGATGATTGTGTCCTGGATGTATATTGGACCAGAGTCTGATTTTAAATATTCTGTCCTGATTTTAGACCATAGCAAACAATAGAAAGCCTTGCCTTTTGGATGCCACCTGATAAGATTGGGAGGAGTGTAAGAAAGACACTGCTATCCAACAGTGCTTCCCATGGTGGATCGATAGAATGTCAGAATGGAGAGGGAATTAAAAAGGATCCTGACCTGTGTTCCTCAACAGGGGTCATAGGCATTTGAGGCAATGCAGTTTTTCCCTGCTTATCATAATGACCCAAAATTGTTCCACCCTTCATATTTCTATATGTCCCTGAGAGAGCAGTGAACCTGTTTGCAAAACACACAATTCTAGTCCAAACTCTTTCTTTTATAGCTGAGGAAATGAAAGCCCAGAGAGACTGAGTGACTTACCCAAGACCACACAGTACAACAGCAATGTAGCCAAAACTAGAGTTTATATCCACTGCTTCTCCCACACGTGGAGCTGTACCCGCAACTATGCTCATCATTTCACTAACAGAGAGTCATTCTTTTGGGATTCAGTTTTTAATTTCTAGCAATCTTCACCAATGTCAAATAGTTCTAGGAAGTATGAAACTTGAAAAGATCAGGACAAAGAAATGTTGAAAGGAAAGGAGAGAATGGAACAAGAGATAAGTTGAGTTCTTCTCAGGTAGGACAACAGAGAATGGAAGGCCTGGAATGGCCGCTGCTGGGGTGTGTGGGGTTATTCAGATGCAGGCTGCATTCATAAATGATGTACCACAGCCAGGTGAACATGTGGCTATAATGCATTGAGCCTGGCTATCAGACACAGCTCGAGAAGTCAGTCTCTTGACTTCAGTTTATAGTCATACCTCATAGAATTTATATCACGAATTCATCTTTGAGGCAGCGTTTTTCTGGTACTCTTGTTCAGTCTGAACGTATTTCTGGCTTCTCAAACTCAGCCCACTGACATTCAGGATTCCAGCCTGGCTCTTCAATAAATCCCTTCTTCACCTGAGACAGTTTGGAGCAAGCACTCGGAGGAGCAAGGCTTGACATTCAGCCAGAGCCATGGCTGAGTTTCAGCCCTGTTGCTTCCTAAGTTGCTATGAGTTTGGGCACCTCTTAACATTTCTGGGGTCTGTTTCCTTCTCTGTAGAATGAGGTAGTGGGAGGGTTTCCAAAAGTGAGTGTGTAGTGTAGTTGGCACCTGGTCAGCACTAAACGTTGTCATCTACTCCTCCCTGACTAATCATAAATGATCTTCTTGAATAAAATTCACTTTCCATTTTTAAAAATCCTATAGCTTTTCCAGTCTTCTCAGCCAGTTTTCCTGTTGTTCTTTAAGTGCATGCAAAGAGCCATTTTGTTTCATATTACAGAATCTTCAGCAGCTTACATACATATTCAAGTGCATTCGAAGGAGCTCAGTTTGTCACCGAGCGTCCTGGTTTTTCTATTGCCACTAATTCTACAAGATACATTTGCACAGGGTGCTCAGAGACCATTAAAGCTCCTTAAAGCCCTGCAATCACATGTAATAACTGTTTGGTTATACCTTCCCAAATTTACAGGACACTGCAACCAAATTACTCAGCTTGTGCAGTATGAATTCCTTATGAGGCTCTGCTCTGCGTAAAACGGAGACCAAGTCCTTTCTTTATGCCCCTTTCCTCACAGAAGTCATAGTCCATTATGGGGCAGCCTGGAGGGATCTATTACTTTCAGTGAAAGGGAGTTCTTCCACAAGGTTTTCCTTAAGGACTTGAGTTTTCGATATACACCTCTGCTTGTGAGACGGGCCACTGATGAGCATCTGTGTTGTGACAACGTGATTATGCATGTTGTGAATAAACATACTTGTGTACGTGTGTGCTGTCACAGCAATGAGCAGCATCCAATAAATACCGGGTTAAGAGTATGCCAGCATCTTCCTAACAGCTGGCACTGCTGAAAAACTCGCCTGCCTTATTAACACTCCACTTATCTGGAATCTGCTCACTGAGCAGAAACAACTTCATAAATTTTTGCAATTTGCATTCCACCTCACTGTTGCTCATTACTGTTGACCTCATCCCTTCTCTGCTAGAAAGGACCGGCCTCTCATGGCCCCGCCTGCTAGATGTCCGTTACCTCTGCTTGTCGACATCAAAGGCAGAATCAGGGTTAAGGCTTGTTGATGCTTCCAGGGCTGTGAAAGAATAATGGCATTTCCCCCACTTCATTTGGGAGAAAGTGACATTCCCAGAGTCCCTTCTTCCTCTTGTCCATTTGTAACCTCTTCTTTCTGAGGAACATTAAAATGGAGAGGTCCAAACTTTCTTCCAAATGGGAGGAAAAGAAAAAGGCAGGCAGCAGTTTGGTTGTCCAAGAAAATATTCTAATCCCCTCTCAGTGTCTTTCAGAGATTAGTCAATTGTGTTCACAATGCATGCCATTTTCTCACTTAATCATTCTAATGTAGTTCGCCAGCCTTTTAACCTTTCTCTCCTTTGCCCTGGCTCTTTTATTCCATGTGGTGTTTTCAGCTGTTTCATTAGCCACAGTTCACAACTCATAGCATCCAGTTAAATATATTGTCAGGCCAGGTACCTTTCCTTATTGGCCTGTGTAGTAGGGGGAAGCTGATTCCTTTTCCCTGCTTCTATCTGCTCCTCTCTCCTCAGTAAAACGTCCTTATTATCCTTGATTGAAAATGGTGGTTTGCCTGCTGTCTCAGGTGTCTCTGAAACAGCCCCCGTCCCAGGGTGCCAGATCCTGAACCCCTGTGGACTACAGAGGCAGCTCCTGAATGCAGTAGAACCTCTGAGCAGTGGCTTCATTAAAAATCATATCACGGGCTCAGTTTTATATTTTCCCCTCCCTGACTTGATGAAAACGAAACAAGAAGAGGTGGGGAGGGGGGAGGGAGGAAGGAAGGAGGAGAGGTAGAAGTGAATTGCTTAATAGAGACAGTCTGAATATTTAATATGCTGATTTTATTGAATAAAAGGTGAAAAAGTGGTTCTTGTTTGTTGCTTGCCTGTCAAACCATGGCAAACAAGCATTCTTTTCCCTGACTGGAGCTTTTTATTACTGTATGGATTCTAGAGTGTAATTATGCCCTATATCTGAGCTGCATTATACACACAATTACAGTTCCCCAGCTGAACTATTTATTTTTTACCAGAGGAGATATTTGTTTAGTTTCCTTGGAGGCTTTTTTTTGGGTGATGGCTCTCATTGTCTTGCCCTTCATCAAGACGGAATGTCCAGGAGCAGCCCCTTGCTTTGAGCTCCTAGCTCATCTGTTGATAGCTTGGATGAACTTCCTAGCCACATTTATTAACGCTGTTGGAGACAAATGCTAGGCAAAAGAAATTTTAGGGCTATAAATGTTTAAGAATGTTTGCACTGTTTTCAGAGCTTTCATGGGAAGGACTTTTTATTCTAGCTATTATCATCTTATGAAATCTGATTTGAAATCATTTAAGAAAATAGCTTTCTCTAGATACAGCCTGCCTGCCTAGCAGTTCATAAAGAAAGAGCCTACAGCTAAATAGAATTCACGTCAATAAACATTTGTTGAAAATCTTACCATAAGCCAGGCACTGTATGGGCAAGAGGGCACAGAGATGAAGAAGACTCAGTCTTTATCTGGGAAGATCTTATAGTTCATCCTGAGAAACAGGTCTGTAATTAATTCTGAGAAATGTAACATGTACTGCAATATTGGTTCATTCAATCATTTTAATTTTTGCTGATATCATACAATGTCCAAACACTGAGCGGGGGATGTAGATATATTGGGGAAAACAGGTAAGGTCTTCACCTCTCAGATGTGGTCTCATTATAGAAGGGCGATGGAGGACCAGACAGATAATATTAAAGTAAGCAGATAAATAATTAAGACAATTTTTGATACTTATGATTACCATGAAAAATAAAACAGGAAAATGTGATTGAGAACGTGTGGAGGTGGAAAAGGAAGAGATGGGGGTGCTTACCTCAGAATAAGTGTACAGTAAATGTTAGCTCTTTTGTCTCTGAGCAGGTATCATTTGAGCTGAGATCTAAGTGGTGAGAGAGTTTGTCGTGGATATACTAGAGAATGTCTTGGGGGAAGAGCTCTCTGGATAGACAGAACAGTAAGTGCAAGAGCTCTGAGGCAGGCACTGCAAGAAGAATGTGTGTGGTGGGCCCATAGTGAGGGAGAGAGCGGAGGCAGATGAGGATGAGTAGGTAGCTGGGACTGGGTCGTTTATATCCTGCCCGCTGTGGAAAAGAGTTTTGGGTTTTATTTTAATTTCAGTGAGAAGTCACTGGATACATCTGATGGGATTGTAGTAAGGAGCTCCACACTTCTTTAGCCTACACTCAGACACAACTTTCCAAACCAGACCAATCAGATGTTTTCTTCCTGGAGCAAAAGGAGAAAGTGAATAAAAATGACTACGATCCCTCACTTTTCCTAGCACAAGTCTTATGAGGGTCTCTGCTTAGCATCAGGTATCTTATTTATCATCTTGCACTATCTTGGGTCCTGCCATTTTCAAGACTGGTTTTCCAGTCTTCTGTTGATTCTGTGAATCTCAGAATTACTTCTAACAAATTCTTTTTGGACTGAGTTAACCAGGCTTTGTTGAAACCAAAGGACTCAAACTGAGACAAGGAGATGTGTAGTGCCTTCCTACCTCTTATGTGGGCTGGCAAGGCAAGACACGTAGATCCCTCTCAAGCTCACTCCATCAGCCTTGAAGGTGATGACAAAGCATCCCAGATTCTGGCTGTAGCATATCCAAAGGCATTGTTTTCTGGTGTTTCATGCTTTAGTATTTTTTCTGTGTCTTTATTATTATTTTAGTGGAGATTGGAGAAAAGCTAGATGAAGAATTTTAAACTTTGGGTCAAATTTACCTGTATGTAGTGATCAAATTAGCCAGGAAATTATTAAATTTCACTTATTTCTGCACTATTTGAGATCAAGTTGTCTCAGGTAAAATTTTGGTCTACCTCCCAAAACTTGCCTTACCCAATAGAGTTGGGCTACAAAATTGAATCATTGAGACATTTTAGAGAATCCTGACTGAAGGCAATTCTGATGTGGCTAGAGGAGAAAAGAAACATCTTCAAAGATCAGATTTTCATTTTCTGTCTGTCTTGTCTCTTAACTTTTATCTCCACCCCATTCCTTTGTTAGGTCTCTGGATTCAAACATTAATGGCTGCTTCCTAATGATTTTCTAATTATTTTATGTATTTTTCATTTCTGTAAAAATATGTCCAGGTGGTCCCAGAATAATGTTTTCATTGCTGTATCTTTAAAGCTCAATACTTATTTGTAAATAATTTGTTAATTTACTCTTTCTATGTCTAGATACCCACTCTTCTCTTTCTTGGAGTCTCTCAAATATTTCTTTCTTTCTTCTTAGTCTCAAATTGATAATAACCTTTTTGAAATATGATTACTTTAAAAATTATTAAATTAAGATTTAAGTACATTTTTTCCACTTGAATATCTTCCCTAATATTTTTCTTTAAGATGACATGACATACATTTGCAAATAGGTTCTCATCATTTCTCTTATTAATTTCCCTATTTAGTTTGTCAATAAATGCACACCGTGGAGTCCAAAGACAAATACTCCATGAATCTTTGGTGCTCCAAGTGTCTTTTTTCTTGGAGATTATTTTTAGTCAAATTTGTGTCAAAATAATAGACAAGAAGGAAAAAATGAATATAATTAGCTGTGGGAGTATGTCTACTATGAAGGTCATGACATTAATGAGAATTTTAGAAGTGTTGTAGAGACAAGTAAGGGCTTTTGGGGGGTGTTTTTTTTTTTTTTTTCTGCTGCACCTTTAAAACCGTTATTTTGAAGGCTGAATTTATTTATTTTTTAACCAAAGGTAATTAACTTGTTCAAAAATCCCAAACCACGAAGAAATAATCTAAAGCTATGCAAAAGATGTTTAGACCAGCAACAAAGACTATGTCAATGGGTGGTGCTAGGTAAGAAGATAGGAGTTAGAATACAGGTTGATAAGTGATATTATAATGCGTTAAGCACAAGATGCATTGGTAGAGAAGGAATTTCTACTCCAGTCTTGTACAGGGAGTGGTTCCCAAAGGAAGGGGTTTGAAGGAGACCTGAAGGAAAAGTAAGAGCCAAGCAGAAGCACACTGGAAATTTCTAGGCAGAGGTAACTGTTTACCTATGAAGGCCTACAGAAGAGTTCATGATGCTTCTTAGTACCCCCGGTATGGCTGGAGCAGGGCCCAGTGAGGCATGGTGATGGGGAGGGAACTGGTGCTATGATATGCATAAGGCTATCATCATGTGAAATGTAGATTTCTTGCTTTCTCTTCCCCAGCCATCATTCTGGCTATAATTCCTGGCTTCTCATCATTCTAGAGTAAATGCTAATTTCTTGACAAAGCTGGGGACAAGACTAAATGAGGGAGCATATATGTGGTACAGAGGATAGTATGGGTGTGGTAGGGAAAATTGCATGATTCTTTCTTGCACCCAAGATTTTCTCTCCTGTTCTCCTGAGCTTTAAATAGGATGAACTATCACACCTACGATTAAGTCACATTACATCACAAAGGAATTTTGCAGATGTGATTAAGGCTACCATCAGTTAACTTTGAGTTTATCAAAAGGAAAATTTTCTGAGGGAGCCATGTATAATCATAGCAATCATTTAAAAGCAAAGCATTTTCACTGGCTAGTAGCAGAGGAAGTCAAAAAGAATCTAAGTGTGAGAAAGAGTCAGTGTACCATTGGTGGCTTGATGATGGAGGTCCCCAAGTGTCAAGGAATGGAGGGAAGTCTCTAGAAGCTGAGAACAGACTGTGACTGATGGCTAGAGAAGAAATGGAGACCTTCATCTCCCAGTCTCTAAGAACTGAATTCTGCCAACAACCTGAATTAGCTTAGAAGTGGTTTCTTCCCCAAGGTCTCCAGATAAAAACCCAGTGTGGCCAACATCTTGATTTTAGCAGAGGACTTAAGCAGAGAACCAAGGTGAGCCCACCTAGATTTCTGACCTACAGAACTGTAAGACAATAAATGGGTGTATGTTTGTGGTAATTTTTTAAGTAAGCTAATAAAATGGGATTAAATATTTGGTCCACTTTGGGTTTAGACCCAAATTCAAGTCTTTAGTTTTCCACTCACCATTTCTATGATTATGGGAAAGTTACTTAACTTCTCTGAGTTTCAGATTCCTCATCCATAAAAAGAAATATAATAGCAATAGTATTTGCCTTATAGAAGTAGTAGGAAGACCAACTGAGGAAATATACAGAAAGTGCTTACCTCAGAATAAGTGTACAGTAAGTGTTTGCTGTTTTTAATATAGTTTTTATTACTACCATTTCTATTGTGTAAAATACCTAGCAGAGTGTCCGGCACATAGTAGGTGCTTAAGCGGTGCTACAGCCTTTCAGCTTTGCCTCATCTTCCCTCAGTTTCTTGGCAGCCCCCAGTTCTAACTGCCTTCTTCCTGCCTATCTCCTCCACTTTGTGAATATTGATTTTGAGACTGGAAGGGAAACATTTATCATTCTTAATTGCAATAAAATCATTACAATGGTGTTAAACATTCAAATAGAAATTAAGTTCCACTGCATAATGCAAAGACAACTATTAATCTGCGCCGGTAGCCAAACCCAGGAAAAGTGATATGGATAAAATGGATGTGATGTATTAATAACATCATGATGCTAGGGAAGGAACTTCGATCTGAGCAAAATACTTATACTTTATAGGCAAGTCTTTCTGTTTGTAAATGGAGAATCAGCAGATAAATTCCTGCAGCAAAATAGCAGAGTAAAAAGAAAACTTAAAAAAAATAAAGAAGGCATTTAATTCCCAAGTAATTATCAACATTGCCTGTGGAAGATAAAATTGCAACACTGTTATAGAAAGATTTATGTTCATTCTCATACAAATTAGCAAGGAAACTGATTAGTTGACATCTTCTCTGCTCCTCTATTCCTGACTGAATATGATCTCAGCCCTAGGGACTGGCAGGCCAGGCTTTCAGCCAGGGTCAGATGCAGGTTTTGTGGGGCCTGCAGCTGAGACCATTTTTGAAGGTCTCTTTAAAAAGAAGACAAAATTACAAATTCAAAAGTTAGATAGAAAAGTAAAGACTTACTCATCCTAAACGAGAATAGAAAACACACCGATGATAAATTGTTTAAAAGATAATAAATATCACAATCATCACAAAGTTCATAAAATGCCTTATTATTATAAATACTACTACATCCCTATAATACTCCATCCCTACATATTTGGTTACATGCTCTTCGATCATCTCTTTATATGACAATAATTTTGTAATATAGTTTTCTATAGAGAAAATTCCATTTTCCTCCAGCATGATTGACAGAAATCCATTTCTAATTGTTTAAAAAAGTTTTCTGCTTCAGAACTTTGTGTTGAGAAGGCAACATCTATAACTTCCTCTGCAGGAATTTGCTTGGAAAGAGCTCCTTGCCCTAGGGCAAGCCTTAGAGAATCCCATTCTTTTGATTTCTCTTGGCTTAGCTTCCAGGGCTGCTGCTAGAGCAACTGGTTTGCTTCTAAGGTACTCAGTGTCCCATCCTTTTGCCAACACCTCTCTTCTATGTTTCAAAGAGCAGCACGTTTTTAATTTATTATTATTATTTTATTTTTCCATAAGTTATGGAAAAACTATGGAAAAATACCACCTGTATGGGGTACAGGTGGTATTTGGTTACATGAGTAAGTTCTTTAGTGGTAATTTGTGGGATTTTGATGCACCCATCACCTGAGCAGTATGCAGTACACCCTGCACCATATTTGTAGTCTTTTATCCCTTGCCCCCTTCCCACTCTTCGCCCCAAGTCCCCAAAGTTTATTGTATTATTCTTATGCCTTTGCCTCCTCATAGCTTAGCTCCCACATGTCGGTGAGAACATACAATGTTTGGTTTTCCATTCCTGAGTTATATCACTTAGAAGAATAGTCTCCAATCTCATCTAGGTCACTGCAAATGCTGTTAATTCATTCCTTTTTATGGCTGCATAGTATTCCATCATATATATACACCACAGTTTCTTTATCCACTCATTGATTGATAGGCATTTGGGTTGGTTCCACGATTTTGCAGTTGTGAATTGTGCTGCTATAAACATGCGTATGCAAGTATCTTTTTAGTATAATGACTTCTTTTCCTCTGGGTTGATACCCAGTAGTGGACTTGCTGGATCAAATGGTAGTTCTACTTTTAGTTCTTTAAGGACTCTCCACTCTGTTTTCCATAGTGGCTGTACTAGCTTACATTCCCACCAGCAGTGTAGAAGTGTTCCCTTTTCACTGCATCTATGCCAAAATCTACTGTTTTTTTTTTTTTAAATTTTTTGATTATGGCTATTCTTGCAGGAGTAAAGTGGTATCCCATTGTGGTTTTGATTTGTATTTCCCTGATCATTAGCGATGTTGAGCATTTTTTCATTTGTTTATTGGCCATTTGTATATCCTCTTTTGTGAACTATCTATTCATGTCCTTAGCCCACTTTTGGATGGAATTGTTTGTTTTTATGTTACCAATTAGTTTGAGTTCATTGTAGATTCTGGATATTAGTCTTTTGTCGGATGTTTAGATTGTGAAGACTTTCTCCCACTTTGTGGGTTGTCTTTATACTCTGCTGACTGTTCCTTTTGCCGTGCAAAAGCTCTTTAATTAGGTCCAAGATATTTTGTTTTTATTGCGTTTGCTTTTGGGTTCATGGTCATGAAATCCTTGCCTAAGCCAATGTCTAGAAGGGTTTTTTCCAGAGTTATTTCTAGAATTTTTATAGTTTCAGGTCTTAGGTTTAAGTCCTTAATCCATCTTGAGTTGATTTTTGTATAAAGTGAGAGATGAGGATCCAGTTTCGTTCTCCTACATGTGGCTAGCCAGTTATCCCAGCACCATTTGTTGAAAAGGGTGTCCTTTCCCCACTTTGTGTTTTTGTTTACTTTGTCGAAGATCAGTTGGCTTCAGTATTTTGCTTTATTTCTGGGTTCTTTATTCTGTTCCATTGGTCTATGTACCGATTTTTATACCAGTATCACGCTGTTTTGGTGACTGTGACCTTATAGTATAGTTTGAAATCAGGTAGTGTGATGCCTCCAGATTTGTTCTTTTTGCTTAGTGTTGCTTTGGCTATGCAGGCTCCTTTTGGGTTCCATATGAATTTTTGAATTGTGTTTTCTAATTCTGTGAAGAATGATGTTAGTATTCTGTTGGGGATTTTGTATGAATTTGTACATTGCTCTTGGCAGTCTGGTCATTTTCGCATATTGATTCTACCCATCCATGAACATGGGATGTGTTTCCATTTGTTTGTTTCATCTATGACGTCTTTCAGCAGTGTTTTGTAGTTTACCTTGTGGAGGTATTTTGACTCCTTTGTTAAGTATATTCCTAAGTATTTTATTTTATTGCAGCTATTGTATAAGGGGTTGAATTCTTGATTTGATTCTCTGCTTGGTCACTGTTGGTGTATAGAAGAGCTGTTGATTTGTGTACATTAATCTTGCATCTGGAAACTGTGCTGAATTATTTTATTAGTTCTAGGAGCCTTCTGGAGGAGACTTTAGGATTTTTGAGGTAAAGGATCATATCGTCAGCAAACAGTGACAGTTCGACTTCCTCTTTCCTGATTTGGGTGCCCTTTATTTCTTTCTCTTGTCTGATTGCTCTGGCTAGGACTTCCAGTACTATGTTGAAGAGGAGTGGTGAGAGTGGGCATCCTTATCTTGTTCCAGTTCTCAGAGGGAATGCTTTCAACTTTTCCCCATTCAGTATTATGTTGGCTGTGGGTTTATCATAGATGGCTTTTATTACATTAAGTTATGTCCTTTGTATGCCAATTTTGCTAAGAATTTTAATCACAAAGGGATGCTGAGTTGTGTCAAATGCTGCTTCTGCATCTATTGAGATTATCATGTGAATTTGTTTTTAATTCTGTTTATGTGATGTATCACATTTATTGACTTGCGTATGTTAAACAATCTCTGCATCCCTGGTATGAAATCCACTTGATCATGGTGGATTATCTTTTTGATATGTTGTTGGATTCGGTTAGCTAGTATTTTGTTAAGGATTTTAGCATCTATGTTTATCAAGGATATCTATCTGGATTTTTTCTTTTTTTGGTTACGTCCTTTCCCGTTCTTGGTATTAGGCTGATGCTGGTTTCATAGAATGAATTAGGGTGGGTTCCTTCTTTTTTTATCTTGTGCAATAGTATCAATAGCGTTGGTCCTAATTCTTCTTTGAATGTCTGGTAGAATTCTGCTGTGAATCCGTCTGGTCCTGGATTTTTTTTTTTTGGTAATTTTCAAATTACCGTTTCAATCTCACTGCTTGTTATTGGTCTGTTCAGGGTATCTAATTCTTCCTGATTTAAGCTAGGAGGGTTGTATTTTTCCAGGAATTTATCCATCTCTTCTAGGTTTTCTACTTTATGTGCATAAAGTTGTTCATAGTAGCCTTGAATGACCTTTTGTATTTCAGTGGTATCAGTTGTAGTATTTCCTGTTTCATTCCTTAGTGAGGTTATTTGGATTTTCTCTCTTCTTTTCTTGGTTAATCTTGCTAATGTTCTATCACTTTTATTTATCTTTGCAATGAACCAGCTTTTTGTTTCATTTATCTTTTGTATTTTTTTTTGTTTGTTTCAATTTCGTTTAGTTCTGCTCTGATCTTCGTTATTTCCTTTCTTCTGCTGAGTTTGGCTTTGGTTTGTTCTTGTTTGTCTAGTTCCTTGAGATGTGACCTTGTCAGTTTATACTCTTTCAGTCTTTTTGATCTAGGCGTTTAGGGCTCTTTCCACTTCTGATGGATCCCTGTGGTGCCAGGCAGGGATGGGCTGCTTGGGGACCCAGCGAGCTCCCAGGGTCTTTCTGCCGCTTCCTCTACCCCTGTATTTTGCTTGGCTCTCTAATTTGACTCAGCTCCAGGTAAAGTTGGGAACGTCTCTCGCAAATAGACCTTCAGCTTCTCCAGTGGGGGTGTGTGTTCGCAGTTGGGGAACTCACAGTATTTGGGGTGTCTCACCAGACCTGCATTCACAGTTGGGGCACTCACAGTATTTGGGGTGTCTCACTGGTCCTGCAGGAACAGTCTGCTTCCTTCAGAGGATCTGTGGGTCCTCTCGTGATTGCTGGCTTGTTCTTGCAGTAGATCTGGAGCTAACATTCACAATGCAAGCCTCCGCATGCTGCTCTGTCCAGAGCTGCAATGTAATCCTGCCTCCTGTCTGCCATGATCCTCTGAATCAGTTCCACCAGAGGAGGAGCTCCAACTCGGTGGGGCTTCCAGCATCTCTTTTAGATCCTTCTTCTTGGAAGCAATTTTTGCTGAGGGCTGGGTGGATATGGAGGTACTGCTGGAAGTGGGGCCCCAGGTGACCATAAGAGGTGGCCTTGAGGCTGAAGCAGGGCTGCTAAGGCTCCTGCTTCTTCCTTGTGTCTCTGGAGCAGAACCTCAACAGCCTTGGAAGGGGCCAGGCAAATGAAGGGTATTAAGCATCATTAATTTGATGGTAAATTCATCTCTTCTCTCAGTCTATCCTCAATCGACCTTTCCAACTTACCAAACTTTACTAACAGCTGTTCCCCAAAGATGCCTGTATCTTTTCCACTTCTGGCCCTGAACCATTCCAGTATCTCTACCTGGATTTTCTTTCCACAACATTTATCTACTGAGATCCTGCAAAGCCTAGCTCAAATGTTACTTCTCCATGAAACCTTTTCTGATTCTCCTTAGCAGATAAAATCTTACCTATGTCTGAGCCCCTTTAGCACCTATTGTCCTCAGAGTTTACAGGGACTTTTCCAGAATTGCTTGTATATAGCTAACATATGTATTTATGGAAAATGTGTAAGAAATTTCTCCAGCTAAATAAAAAGACACCCCAAACAAATAAACAACATCAGTTTCAGCTATAGTGAGAATAAGAGTTTCGAGAGAAAAGAGCTGTGTTTGGTAGAAACTGCCAACAGGCTCCTGTGTGGGTCCCTATGGAAATTAGATCAAAGTAGTTGAATGATGAGTAGCAGTTAGCCAGATAAAGCAGAGGAAGTGTCCCTGGCAAAGGAATGGCACATACAAAGGTCCTGAGGTAGAAAAGATCTTGTTGCATTCCAGAAACTTAAGGAAAGCTTATTAGATCATGAGCATCTGTATGGTAGTTATTTGTTTCTATGACTGTCTCCTCTATTCCTGTAAATTCTTAGAAGATGGGGATGATTTTCTAAGCATTTCTGCATCTCCTACTCCTTTAGAGTGCCTATCATATACTCATTAAATGTTTGCTTAACTGCCTCAAACCTCATTTGTAAAATGAAGGAAAGTAGAAGGCCTATGTTGAAACACACAGAATGATCAAACTAATTTTTTATATCTCATTGATTCTAAGATGCTCATATCTTCACAATTTAACACCTCTGAAATTGTTACACTTGATAACACCTTACATCTGCATTTGGCATTTTTTTCTTTCTTAGTAGTACATAAAACAACGGTGTGTTTTATAATCAATGGTGTGTTATATTCAATGAAATGTGGTACCTGTCTTCATATGGCTAAATCATTGTTAATTTGAAGAAATAAGTGAGTGATTTTTGTAAGTTTTAATGTTTCAGACTGATTTTTCAAATCATTAATTTGAAAAAGTCTTACTCTGGACTAATAGAATTGTAAGAGTAGAAGAAAGTTGCAGGAAGCTGGCTCCACTTTCCATCCCCTCTAGGGTGTAGTGAAGACTCATTTTTATTTTGTCCATCCTGAAGTACCTCATGTTCTTCCCACTTCTGAGAACTTCTGCCTTCTCTGTGGCACTGTCTCTTCACCCTCTGTTGCCTTCAGTAGTTACTGTGGGAGGCAATGTTAATACAGTGGGACTCTACTCCCTGGCCATATATGATCGGTCCAGATTGCAGCTAACACAAGCATAGTTTCTTCCAAAGGAATCTGGATTTTTGATAACCCAAAAACATTGCACCAATTAACATTTTGGGTACCTGTCATGTAAGGTATAAAATTTGTAAAGCTTTGGTGTTCACATTCTGCCATGGAAACTGAGATGCACAGGAGGCCTCTCTGTGGCCAGAGAAGAGAGGCAGACATACAGTAATGGGAGAGACACACACAGGAAGGCACTGGGGTCCTGTCTGTATTCTTATCTCTGGACTTCATAAGACAGCAAGTAACCTTATGGTATAATAAATTATCCCTTGGCTTAAGTGCCTTGTAATTGCAACCACATGGCAACAAACTACAACCAAATGAGGCTCAACTGGTATATACAGCATTCCCAGAAAGTGATCATTCAGTACCTGCTTGAATGTCCCCAATGATAGATAACTTATCATCTCCCAAGGACTCCATTCCAGTGTAGGAAAGTGATGAATTCTTGGCAATTCTATTCATATTGAGATGAAATAGCTTCATATGAACTCTACAAATTGTTGCAAGTCATTCAATTGCCTGTACAAATTGAATGACTCTATTCTGCCTCCTACTTTATAGCTCCTCAACCTTAATAATGACTATCCCATCCTCTAACCTTCTTTATCTAGGACAGACATCCTAGGTTTATCAAATTAGGTCTGTTTTGTTGTTGTTGTTGCTCATTTATGAGAGCAGGAGAATGAAAGTGTTAAAACAAGAAAAATAACAATAGCAACAAAAAACATAACTGTCAAAGTGCATTTATTTTGTGCCAGGCACTGTGCTATGCTACATGCTTTATGTATATTAGTTCACGGAATCCTCACAACAAACTTGTGAGATAAAAATAGTTACTTTTCCAAATATGCTGATAAGGAAACTGAGGCTTAGGAAGATTAATTTACCCAACATCGCCCAGCTAGTAAGCAGCACAGCTTGCATTTGAACTTGAGATTTATCATGTCATAAGTGACTTAGCATTGCCTAGATCTGCTTTAGTAAAAGAAAAAAATCTTCAAAGAGGTTCTTTGAAATTCTGTAGCATGAGACTGAAAAGTGGTTTCAGCAAAACAGCACATTATGTAATGAATTTACCCCTTAGAATCACCCATTCCCTTGGGGAAAATGTCCTCAAGATGTGACAGAATCTGCCAGTCCCAGAATAGACCCATCTGTTATCTTGGGTCCCCCGGACAAGATTTTCATGGAAGACATCCTTCTCATCTGTGTGAGACATTGCTGAACAGAATTTTTACATTTGTTAATCACCCTCAAGATGCTAAGTGTTGAGCAAACCAACTATAAAGAGGCAGCTACTAAGTTAAGAACATGAACACACATATGTTTTATCAAAAGAAAAAAAAAGGTTCTGCTGATTCTCCTTTCTCCTAGTATTTTAGTCCATTTAGTGTTGCTATAAAGGAATACCTGAGCCTGGGTAATTTATAGAGAAAAAAATTTATTTGGCTAATTATTTGATTTTTAGAAAGTTCATGGGCTCAAGATTGGGTATCTGATTCTGGTGAGGGCCTCAGGATGCTTCTACTCATGGTAGAAGGTGACGGGGAGCTGGTGTGTACAGAGGTCCGGATCACATGGTGGTGGTAGGAGGGGTCGGTGGTGAGAGTGGAGAGGTGCCAATTGAATTTTCACTTCAGTTCAGTCACCAGCTCTTCCAGGAACTAAGAGTGAGAGAACTCACTCAACACCAAAGGAGGGCATTAATCCGTTAATGAGGGATCTGCCCCCATGACCCAAACACCTCCCACTGGGTCTCACTTCCAACATTGGGGTTTCAACATATGATTTGGAAGAGGCAAACATCCAAACCACGGCACCTAGGATAAACGTATTTAGGAGGTAAAGTATAGTGAAGGCCAGACAAGAAAAATACGGAGAGGATTACCACAGAGAGACAGAGAGCATGGCAATTTTTATTTATTTATTCATTCATTTTATATATATATATATATATATATATATATATTTTAACTCTTATCACCCAGGCTGGAGTGCAATGGTGTGATCTAGGCTCCCTGCAACCTGTGCCTCTAGGTTCAAGTAATTCTCCTGCCTCAGCCTCACAAGTAGCTGGGATTACAGGCACCTGCCACCATGCCTGGCTAATTTTTTATATTTTTAGTAGACATGTGGTTTCAACATGTTTGTCAGACCAGTCTCAAACTCCTGACCTCAGGTGATCTGCCTCGGCCTCCCAAAGTGCTGGGATTACAGACGTGAGCCACCACACCCGGCTGGCAATTTTTAACATTTATCTTTATGTCACTCTGGGTTATAACAACAGTTGCTGTTTTGGGAGTGCTTGTATCCTAGGTCAGGTTTACAAAAGCAAACCCTAAGATAAAGATTCATGTCAAATATGTTATTAAGTCAGCAATCTCAGGAAAAGACAGAAAGAGAGTAGGGGAAGAGTGCACGGAGCTCCGGAGCACACATACCCCTTCTGAGTTAGTGTCAACCGCAGGCAAAAGGAGCTGGGCTTCCAGTCAGGCATTGACTACAGCCATCTCTGTGAGGACTTACATCTCTGGGCTGTCTGTGCTTAGGTCAATGCAGCTCCAGTAGCCCAAAGGCGGTTCTCAGAGAAAGATTGTTGGTGTCAGCCTTTAAAGCTGAAGCACAAAAAAGGTGGGAGACAGGTGCATAGAACAAGTAAGAAGTGTCCAAGGGCATCTGGGTGGAGTAACTACCATGTTGATGGCAACTCATCATGTATCATACACTGTGCAGACTTCTTAGTTAATTTATACTACAATCTAGTGAGGTGGGGTAATTGTCTCCATTTTATAAGTACAAACAGTTTTTAAGCAGTTAGGTAACATTGTCTAAGCTTGCATAGTTAGTAAGTGGCAGAGTTGAGATTTGACCTTGCGTTTCTCCTACGCCAAAGCTCATGACCTTCCCACTGTATCCCATGTTACCTCTCTGTAGGTAGCTTCTGCTACCCACAATGCTGACCCTCAACTAACTTTCAATTCAGTCAGCAACACTCCTTGAGCACCTACTATGTGTCTGATGATCTGTTCGACATCATAGATGTAAAGATGAACCAGATTTAATCCTGCCCTTGGGAGATTACTCTCTTGCAGAGAACAGAACTAAATAGTATAAGTTGTAAAAATGCTACTATTAGTTTATGAATTAAGTACTTTAAGATTGTGGAAGGGGGAATAATTAATATTGCCAAAGGCAGGTGCAGGAGACAAGGAATCCTTGCAAGAGAAACTGGTATTTGAGTCATGCTTTTCCATGTGAGAACGATTTAAGCAAGTCAAACTACTGTTCTCAGGACCTGCTAGGAAGTAACTTATAACATGGATATGGAGGGCAACAACTTGGAGTGATGATGCCACTTTTACATATGTTCTAAGGTGCCGAAAATTTGACTCTGACCTCTTTCAAATTTATATCTTAACTCATCTTCATCAAACACTCAGCAAGCAGGTTTTTTTTCACCTCTAGTCATGGTCTTACCTGTTTATTCCAATTCACAATGGTGCTTTTTCTGATGAGGTTGTCTATGAGCACTGAATATGAGGCCTGAAATAAATGAATGAGTAATTAAGCAAGATCAGAGTCAAGTTCAAGGACCAACGACAAGAGCAATGGTGGTATAGGAAGCTAACTGTAAGTGGGATTGCGATTGATCAAAGGATAAATGAAGGAGGTGGTTCAAGAAAGAGGAAGAGTTGGTAAAGATCTTTTCTGAGCCCTCTTTCTCGTATTTCAAGGAGAATAGAGTATCCTTAGGACACACATCCCAGTTTATCTCTTTCTTTAATCAGTTGGTCAATCAGCCAACTCTGTTACCTGTCCTCTCCTTAGTCAACACTTATGGAAGGAAATATGATTATCATTGAAGCTTAGAATTAATTAAAATTGTGTAGTGTTAAAGGCTATTTTCTGGGATTCCAAGTATAGGGAGCAAGTCTCAGCTCTCTGGAATTCCTAGGTGTCTTTATTATAATAATTCCAGTGGCTGAGGAGAAGGGGTTCTACTGGGTAGTAGAAAAGATTAAAAAAAAAAAAAAGAATTATAAGGAAAAAGGGACATTAAGAAAACTTTTATTTCTTCCTCCTGTCTCCAGGCAGTATCATGCTAAAATGGCATGATAAATGTGGTTTTTGAGAACTTTAACTTGAAGCCATTTACAGGAAATCCTTGTCTGAGGGCTGTTGCTTCCTCTCAGTGGTAGTTAAGCAGATCCACAATACATTCTATCCTTTACAGCAGGAGGATGGGGCACATACACACAAGTGTTTCTGATTAGATTTATAACAACATAAGTGGCATACATTTCATTATCTTTACCAAGCAAATTAAAGCTCACATCGTGGAAAAATAATTAGCAAATTTCTTACTGATGCTTCTGTTGTCAAATCTATGCTTTCTATTCTGAAGTTAAGTACTGGGGGCTAAGGAGGCCTTTCTTTGTCCTTATTAAAAGCATTATTGCAGAGTAGTGTTTAAAGATCTGCCTGCTTGGTGGGAAATGGAAAATGTGTAAAATTCACATATGCCTGTGTCCCACCCAACCTCATTCAAACTCTTACTTAAGTATGATGTTAGTTTTTGCAATAGAAATACAAGAAAAAACAAACTAATTAATTTGATTATTGCTTCTTCCCATTAAGGACTTTAGCAGACAACCTGAATACTAAAATATCATGAATATACACAGTCACAGTTGAAATTTAAGATATCCTTATATAAGAGATGCTGCTGACTACAAAACAGTAAAATACTGGCTACCTTATGCCGATAGTTATTTATAAAAAATATCTGCAGGTTTTTTACTTGAGATTTTACAAAGAAACTTTATTCCAGAAACACTGGCATATAGAGTCAAAATTATACAATTTACTATATAGAGTTACCTTGAGGATACTGTTGTAGATTACATGACTCATATTCAGAGACTCCTTTGTGGGGAGGTATACATTCCCACTGTGCTGAACACAGGTATGGTCATGTGACTTGCCAGGGTTGTCAAGATGAATGATGTATGTCACTTCTGAGTAGAAGCTTTACGAGCTGGAAAATGTGGCTTACCATAAATTTTTTTTTCCTCGATATGACTCCCAGCAATGTTGCAGATGAAGGCTACACTGTTGGCCTGAGACTGGGAGCAGCACTATGGTCAATCTGTGAGGGACAGATAACATAAACAAGAGATAAACCTTTGTCATGAGATTTGTGATAATTTGTTACCATAGCATAATTAGCCTATCTTGACTAATACCTTAGTCACTTAGTATTGCACAAAGTACAAATACATTTATCATGTCATAGGGCAATCTGAATTGTCCAAAGCTTTCACACCCAGGAAATGGGAACCCCTTTAGCCTAGGAGTATACAGGGAGAATCTCTACTAAACTGATATGGCTAAGATAACATTTGTCATGGGCTTTATATATATATATTTTGTTTTTAATTTATTGATCCTCTTCTTCTGTGTCCTCTGCATTTTTTTTTTCCTGTAGTGGTCTGACCACTCTTGAGTGATCACTCAAGACACTTGATATTAATTGCATTGAACACTAATATAACATTTGCATTGTTATAGCTCTCAGCTCATATTTTAAGTAGAGTCTTTTTCAAGTCTCCCTATAGCCCTGGGTAACTCTTTTTATATGCATAACATTTCTCTGCACCAGTTTTTTTCTTTCTTGCCTCTAAAGACACTATAAAATGGCCAGCTTCAATTATGTAATTATTCCTCCATAAATAATTTTCCTCTTTATTTGTATGGAGATGCAACTTTCTTCTTTATCTTTCTGTATTTTGTCACAGAGAGGTAGTACAATATACAATATTCTTCTCTTTTTGACTGGAACAAAGAGTACCAGGTTAAGTTTGACCTACAGAAGGATTCTTGCACTGGTCAGAGGGTACTATATTGCTTCCTGAATAAGCTTTCTCTCAGCTTTGGTCTTTTAGTCCTCTTACTATTTAAATATTTTATGCTCAGTCTCTGATGAATTGCACTTAAAGCACTAAATAACATGTGTAACAAATATTTCTCAGGTCAGTTAAAGAAAACATAGTCACTTAGCAAATACTACACAGCAGCTGCTACTTCTCAGATCTGTCTTCAACTTTTTTTCTTCAAAGTTTAAATTTTATTAAGATTTTGTAAAATTAGTGTGCCCATTTTTTCAAAACATCAGCTCAGAAAACTGTGGTTTGTGAAACAAAGACTTTCAAAATTCAAAATCCAGTTCTTTCACTTTATTTAGCAAGCATGTTTGGAACTACAGTGTACAGGGTGACTGCAGGAGAATCTCTACTAAACCGACTTTTGATTAAGTGTTGAATGGTGCTGAGTCAAGAATATTATTGTTCACCAAAATGCATCCTAGAAAACATCAAAGGCAGGCATAAACTTCAGGTTTTAATACTAATTAGAGGCATCTGTTTCCCAGGTGTGAGGTGTCTGTCTCTGAAAAGAGGGAGACAGTAAAGCAGAGAAAAAACGCGCTAGAGCACTGATGAGCCAATAAATGATTGAGTGGATTTGAGAAGGAGAACAAAACAAGCGAGATAAAATAAGATGTTGTGGTGAATATGAAGAGCTTGGAGAACAGCTCTAGCTTGCTTCTGTGTATGGGGCTGAAAATAATACAGATATGCCTGCTGCACTGCCTAATTTTTTATTCAAATTCTTTTTTTTCTTGTTTTTTTGGTTAGGGCTATAAAATGATCTTTAGTTTGAAAAATGTACTTTTCTCTGAAATTTATGAACCTCAGGAGGGCTGATGAATCTATGCACTTATCTGTGCTTTGCTAAGTCTATGTCTTCATTATTCATTCAGCACTTATGAAGAACCTTAAAGACAGGAAGCACAAATCTCATACTTTTCTTTCCCAAAAGTTGAAGCAGATCAAAGTGGCTTTTGACATACTGCAAAATAGCACTTGATTTGGGAGAGAGCTCAAACATCTGAATATTTTCCCAGGTTTACTGAAGTGTTTTGCTCTAGTGTGCATAGATATAATAAGGTGGCATAATAAGCAGGTGATTTGGGATCTACAGACCTCGGTTCTAGTCCTCATCCTGCCTCTTCTAGCTGTGTGACTTTAGGAAATTCAGCTAGTCTCTCCAGTCATTGATATCATTATATGAAAAATAAAGCTTTACTAATATTACCTTTAAGGTTTTTCCCATGTCAGTGGTTTTATTACAAAACTCATAATTCAATTCAATTCTCTAAAGCTTTTTTTTGGCACTATGTATTAGGCACTAGAGATAAGACAAATATAAGATATCATGTTCTCAGATAGCTCACAGTGGGAAAAGTACGAGAGATGAATGTCCCAGATACTGTGTCACTGTGTCAGAGGGGCTGATTAATCCTATCCAGGAGGGTTAGGGAAGATCTGTCAATAAAGGTGACACTAGAGCACAATTCTGAAGGATAGATAAGAGTTACTATGCAGACCAGGACAAGGACATTTGGTATCATTATGCAGCTCAGCAGTCTTCAGCTTGGATGTTTCTAAGTCTTTCCTACTCTGGCATTCTGGCATTACCTTTCCTATAACACTGAGCTCCTACTTCCATTTTCTGTAGAGGTCCATCAGGCTTTTGACAGAAATCAATCTCTCTCTCTCTGTCTCTCTGTCTCTCTCTCTCTCTGTGCGTGTGTGTTAGGTAGGGGGCATTTATTCTTTTCTGAGTTATTCCACACTGAGGGATGCTTAGATGTTTTTGCAAAAGCGGTAATCTTAGCTCTCAGCTTCTGAAGCTACTACCTTTGTCTACCTAACCTCATCTTTCCCCCTTCTTCCATTTACCCGAACATCACTAATACAAGATCATTACGCAGAGACAACTGTTACTGAAGGCTTAGGAAAAGTAGAGGGCAATTATAGATTGAGAGAGAAGGCAACTTTAGAGTCATTGTCCTTATAGAAATACGCATCACAAGGAATTTTCCACTGGCCTTTGCTTCCAATTAGAAGAACTTCTCTAATCTCTCTTTATGTCTCCACCATTCTCCCTTATAAACCCCCAAATTTCTAATGCTTGGTTAGGCAGAGCCATTCAGCCTCTTTTTGCATTTTCACCTTCGGGCTATGCTCAGGTAGCCTGACTTTCCTTACTAAACCACTCACTTTTAAGACTTGCTAGGTGTTTTCTTTAACGAATTGGTAAAACAAAGACCAGTTTGGGAGGGCACATTTAACTCTACAACTCATTAGTTAAAACCATAATCTAAAATAAGATTTACTTAAGCCAAATAGATATTTTCCCTCTTATGTTAAAGAGTTGTAGTGAGATAGTTCATGGCTCTGTGGGGGTCCTGTCCCACAAAGCCTTCAGAGACCCAGACTGTTTCTGTCTTATTGCTTCATTGAACATGACCTATATTCTCAAGGTCAATCCAGGGTCCAACACAGCCCCTGAATTCCAGCTGTTACCTCTGAATTCCAACATGAAAATGAAAGAAGAAGGGGCAATGAGTAAGACACAGCTTTCTCTGAAGGAAGGTTCATGGAAGTCGCCAAGCCATCGGCTGGAATTCCTTACTTAAATCTCCTTTGCCAGAATTTAGTCCCATGGTTACACAATGACACATAGCCACAAAGGAGGCTGGGAAATGGAGCCTTTATTTGGCTCACTTGCCCAGATAAAACAAGAGTATTCTACTGATACAGAAGAGGGGAGGAATGCATATTAAGAGACATTCAGACATCACAGTCACAATTTCTTTTCTAGTAGAGATGGGGTTTTGCCATGTTGGCCAGGCTGGTCTCAAACTCCTGACCTCAAGTGACTCGCCTGCCTCGGTCTCCCAAAGTGCTGGCATTACAGGCGTGAGCCACCGTGCCCGGCCCAGATTCCTTTCAAAAGATGGATATCAAAAGTAGACACAGAGTTGTAAAAAGGGCCTCAACAAACCTTTAGTCTGTATTTATTCACTTGTCAAATATGAGCCTTCTCTGTTACCATCGTTGGGATTAGAGTTCAGTTTTGTAAAGAACATGAATGAATCATCTTTTTTTTGTCATTTTGACAAGTCTAATTTTTTTCTGCTGTTATTTTTTTGTGCTGTGTGATTCTAATAATCTATCTTTTAAAAACTTAGTTTTGTACTGTTTCCCTTCAAGCTCTTTTTAATGAGAGTATTAAATCTGAACAAGAGCTTAATTGTAAGGAGTTTAATAGAGTAAGTATCATAATAGCATTAATAAGGCCATTCTGTGAGAACCTGCTGTATGTATTTGGTATTTGCTTAGATATAATCATTCATTCATTCTTTTATTCATTCAGGAGATGTATACTGAGTACCTATACATTTCTTCTTACTGATTACAGTACCTGTCAGTGCTTGAAAACTTAAAAGTGTCAAGAGAGACATGGCTTCTGATCTCATGGAGCTTACTTTCTAGTGAAAGAGAGATAACTACAAACAAAAATAAATTATTTACCTGTTTGAAAAGAACCTCTGAAGAAATGAAAAAGGATTCTGAAATAGAGAGCAATGGACGTGGAGGCCTACCCTAGTGTGGGTGATCTTGGGATAGGGCTCTCTGAAAAGGTGGCATTGAGACAAGCTCAAAGGATGAGACAAAAACAAGCCCATGAGGAACTTGAGGAAGAGCAATCCAGGCAGAGGGAACAGCAAATACAAAGCCTTTAAGGTGGGGAAGAAATTGACATGGTGGAGATACTGGAGAGGATAGTAATGTTAGTGTGCTGCCTTGGTCAGTAGGCTCTCCTATAAAGCTTGCTTTTAAAATGCAAATTAGTTCTAACAGGATTGACGGGCAACAGTTTGAGCATAACACGATTTTGTTTATGTGTGATTTTGTCTGAGAGGAGCACCAGGTGGATGAAAAATACTGCGCCCAGCTGAACTGAGTAGGAATATACCAAATGCACATATGCATGCCTCCGACATCCGCCAGCTACCTTGGTTCACTGTGTGCGTGAGTCACACCTACCCATCCACCTAGTGTCATGACTTTCCTTCTGATTTCAGATAATCCTCTCTCCACAACTTGATAATGCACAAACTGCAAATCTTCTGGTACTCACTGCTGCAAGCAAACTTGAAGTCTTTCTGAGGTAAAGTGCCATATTTATTGTAGTATCTTTGTATTTCTTAACCATTTAAAACAGTGCCACCATTTCTATTAGGTTCCTACTGCTTTTGAAATGTGCCACAGATGAAATTTTTGAGTGCTGCTCCCCTCGCCCCATTCTTCCCATAGTGCTATGGTTTTAATTACATGATTTTGCGTAGTGCAGTGATTTTTAGGAATGCACATGTTGCATTATGGCAGAACTGACTGCACTGGGGAGGTTATCTTTACACATAGCCTTATCATCTATGTAAAAAAACTTAGATTTTTTTTTTTCTTTTTCCCTAACTGTCATGGGAAGCCCCCAAACAATTTTAAGCAGGGAACTAACCTGACCTGATCTGTGTGGTGGTGTGGTTTATAGTAAGGGCTAGGGGTTGAAGCAGTGAGACTAATTGAGAGATTATTATAATAGCCCAGGTGAAAGGCTATATTGATTTGAACTAGGATGAAAGCAATGAAGTTGGAGAGGGAAGTTTAGAATTAAGCTACAGTTTGGTTTGCTGTCTGGATGTTTGCCAACTCTTACTTAAAGACCAACACAAATTTCTAACAGCTGGACAAACTCTGGCTCAAACCGCTAAAATCTCTGGCTCAAACCACTCAAATCCCTGGTTAATGTGGAATCTAGGCCATTTAGCCTTTTTCTGCTCCAGCACTGCTATACAATGCAAGATCACTTTCAAGAAATGAGAGCGCCCTTGAAGGTATCTTTTGTAATCAAAAATGCTAATTTATTTTCATTAATTTCTATTCCTTTCTTTTAAGCTACACTTAGGATTAATAAAATAAATTACAAGATACAATGACTTGAATCCTAGGATGCTTAAGGAATTAACTGAAACAAAACCCTCTGAAAACTCTGTGAGGCTTGCTGAGGGGCCCATCATACCCAGATGCCATAAACCAGGCGGCATATGTTTCTATCTAGAAATACAGGAATAATAGGAAGATTAATTTTCAAAGTCTGAGAGGGATTACAGGGTAATGGGGGAAAATCCAAATGACTCTTAAAAGAACTAATCTTGTCAAACCAATCTAACTTTTTTCAACAACAGCATGAAAGTTATAATGTGGCTTGGTGCTATAGTGCTTTTGATTAGACATTTGAATGGCATTTTCCTCAACAGTCTGGGCAAAGTGATTTTGAACATTTTCTCCCTCGGGGGTACCTGGATCAGAAGGAGGCCTAGACTCACAGAGTTGCTGATGAGTGCAATCACCAGATGGGAGGGTTTGGTCCTGAATAAATCGAGAGCAAACTGTAGGTATTGAGGATCCATTTCGTGAGTGAGAGTGGGGCAGGCCAGTCTGAACTGTGAACATCCACGATTGTTGAATATTATTAAGTCAATGAAGAGTAGAGATGGAGGTCACCACTGGGTCCTACAGCACACCAGTCACTCCACTGGCTTTACTGAAAGTTGAAGGCTGGCCTGGGGTGTGAGGAGAGTGGGGAACAGGAAGTCAAGGCCTGAAGACTCAGTGCTCCTTGGGATTGGCATGTTATCCTCTGTCCAAAGGAGCAGAGAACATGTCCTGGAGAATCAGATGAATAGAAGGTAGGCTAGAACTTGTGGTGATCTTGACAGACATATAAGCTATCTTAGTCTGTTCAGGCTGTGTTTTAGTCTGTTTGTGTTACTGATACAGGAGTTAAGAAGAAATTACTTAGGCAGATAGTAAGGGTATAGGAGTCCTCGGTAAGGCTTTACTTTTTAACAAAAAGCAGTCCCAAATCATTTTCTAAAAAAAAAGCAGCCTGTAAAGTTGAGCTGTAGACATAGACCCAGCCAGCTGGGAGCTCACACAGGTGAATGGTGGCAGTAACTAGGGACTAGACATATTCAAGATGGTGGCTAAGCCTTCTCGTCCCTGCCAGCCATGTGTACAGTAAGAAGCAGACAAGATGGTGCTGGCCAAGGGTAAAGTTAATTTGCATAATAAGATTAGGGTGGGGCAACCAGCCTTCCCCAAGTGCTATGTAAACATCATACCTGATTGAACAAATCTGTGAGCCCTATGTAAATCAGACACCACCTCCTCAAGCTGGAGTATAAAATCTGGTGCATCCAACACCTGCCAGTCTTTTCTACTCAGAAGACCCCTTTGTCTCTCTAGAGAGAGAGCTGTTTTTCTTTCTCTTTTTTTCTGCCTATTAATCCTCCACTCCTAAACTTCTTGTATGTGTCCATGTCCTAAATTTTTCTGTTGTGAGACAGCAAACTCCAGGTATATACCCCAGACAACGTAGCTGCTTCATTACTACAAAGGAATGCTTGAGACTAGCTAATTTATAAAGAAAAAGAGGTTTATTTGGCTTGCAGTTCTGTAGGCTGTACAAGAAGCATGGTGCCAGCATCTACATCTGGTGAGGGCCTCAGGCTGCTTCCACTCGTGGGGGAAGGGGAAGGGGAGCATCACATGGTGAGAGAGGAAGGGAGGTGCCAGGCGTTTTAACAAGCAGTTCTCCAGAAACTAAGGATGAGGACTCACTCCCTCCCATGAGAATGGTCCCAAGCCATTCAGGAGGGACCCACTTCCGTGATCCAAATACCTCTCACCAGGCTTCACCTCCAACACTGTGGATCAAATTTCAACATGAGACTTGGCGGGGCCAAAAAAAACCATATCTAAACCACAGCAGACTGCTATAAAAAGTACCTTGGACTGAACAATTTTTAAAACACAGAAATGTATTGCTCATAGTTCTGGGGGCTGGAAAATGCCAGATTTAGGGTGCTGGCAGATTCTATGTCTAGTGATGGTCTGTTCCTAATGAACAGCATCTTCTACATGTCCTCACACTGTGGAAGGGCAAGACAGCTCTCTGGAGCCTCTTTTATAAGGGGACTAGTCACATTCATGAAGGTGGAGCCCTCATGACCTAACCACTTCCCCAAAGCTCCACCTTGATGATTAGGTTTTAACATATGAATTTTAGGGAGACACAAACCATTCAGATGATAGCATATGATAAACTCCTTCTCCCAACTCCCACAATGTAGTAGAAATTAATCAATCACAAACAAAGTCAGAAAGGATAATAAACTACCCTAATGCATAATTAATTTTTGTACAAATTTAGATATTGTTAATTTAATTTCATGTGACTCTTAATGAACAAAAGATGTTTAAAAGTTTGCAGTATCCCAGTTGAACATCAGTGCAAATATCCTCAATAAAGTACTGATAAACCAAATCTAGCAGCACATCAAAAAACTTATCCACCATAATCAAGTCGGCTTCATCCCTGGGATGCAAGGCTGGTTCAATATATGCCAATCAATAAATGTAATCCATCATATAAGCAGAACCAAAGACAAAAACCACATCATTATCTCAATAGATGCAGAAAAGGCCTTTGATAAAATTCAATATCCCTTCGTGTTAAAAACTCTCAATAAACTAGGTATTGATGGAACATATCTCAAAATAATAAGAGCTATCTATGACAAACCCACAGCCAATATCATATAGAATGGGCAAAAGCTGGAAGCTTTCCCTTTGAAAACTGGTACAAGACAAAGATGCCCTCTCTCACCACTTCTATTTAACATAGTATTGGAAGTTCTGGCCAGGGCAATCAGGCAAGAGAAAGAAATAAAGGTATTCAAATAGGAAGAGAGGAAGTCAAGTTGTTTCTGTTTGCAGATGACATGATTTCATATTTGGAAAACCCCATCATCTCAGTCCAAAAACTCCTTAAACTGATAAGCAAATTCAGCAAAGTCTCAGGATACAAAATCAATGTGCAAAAATCACAGGCATTCCTATACACCAACAATAGGCAAGCTGAGAGGCAAATCATGAATGAACTCCCATTCACAATTGCTACAAAGAGAGTAAAATAGCCAGGAATACAGCTAACAAAAGATGTGAAAGACCTCTTCAAGGAGAACTACCAACCACTGCTCAAGGAAATAAGAGAGGACACAAACAAATGGAAAGACATTCAATCCTCATAGACAGGAAGAATCAATATCGTGACAATGGCCATACTGCCCAAAGTAATTTATAGATACAATGCTATTTCCATCAAACTACCATTGACATTCTTCACAGAATTAGAAAAAAATATTTTAAATTTCATATGGAATCAAAGAAGACCCCGTATAGCCAAGGCAATCTAAAGCAAAAAGAACAAAGC
Organism: Homo sapiens; assembly: GCF_000001405.40. Lineage (NCBI taxonomy): Eukaryota > Metazoa > Chordata > Mammalia > Primates > Hominidae > Homo > Homo sapiens. The sequence goes on along the minus strand of NC_000003.12, from coordinate 118,679,519 downwards.
TGGAGGCATCATGCTACCTGGCTTCAAACTGTACTACAAGGCTACATTAACCAAAACAGCATAGTACTGGTACCAAAACAGACATATGGACCAAAGGAGCAGAACAGAGACCTCAGAAATAGCACCACACATCTACAACCATCTGATCTTCGACAAACCTGAGAAAAACAAGCAATGGGGAAAGGATCTCCTATTCAGTAAATGGTGCTGGGGAAACTGGGTAGCCATATGCAGAAAACTGAAACTGGATCCCTTCCTTACACCTTATTAAAAAATTAAGATGCATTAACGACCTAGATGTAAAACCCAAAACCATAAAAACCCTAGAAGAAAACCTAGGCAATACCATTCAGGACATAGACATGGGCATGACAAAAAAGCGAAAAGCAATTGCAACAAAAGCCAAAATTGACAAATGGGATCTAACTAAATGAAAGAGCTTCTGCACAGCAAAAGCAACTAGCATCAGAGGGAACAGGAGAAAATTTCTGCAATATACCCATCTGACAAAGGTCTAATATCCAGAATTTAGAAGGAGCTTAAACATATTCACAAGAAAAAAGAACCCCATCAAAAAGTGGGCAAAGGATATGAACAGAGACTTCTCAAAAGAAGACATAAGGTGGCTAACAAACATATGACAAACAGCTCAACATCACAGATCACCAGAGAAATGCAAATCAAAACCACAATGAGATACCATCTCATGCCAGTCAGAATGGCAACTGAAATTCAGGAAACAGTAATTGCTGCTGAGGGTGTGGAGAAATAGGAATGCTTTTACACTGTTGGTGGGAATGTAAAGTAGTTCAACCATTGTGGAAGACAGTATGGTGATTCCTCAAGGATCTAGAGACAGAAATATCATTTGACCCAGCAATCCCATTACTGGGTATATACCAAAGGAACAGAAATCATTCTACTATAAAGACACATGCACATGTATGTTTATTACAGCACTATTTACAATAGCAAAGACATGGAACCAGCCCAAATGCCCATCAATGATAGATTGGATAAAGAAAATATGGTACATATACACCATGGAATGCTATGCAGCCATAAAAAGGAATGAGATTACGTCCTTTGCAGGGACATGGATGAAGCTGGAAGCCATCATCCTCAGCAAACTAATACAGGAACAGAAAACCAAACACCACATGTTCTCACTTATAAGTGGGAGTTGAACATTGAGAACACATGGACACAGAGCAGGAACAACCAATACCAGGGCCTTTTGGGGTTTGGAGGGTGTAGGGAGGGTACTTAGAGGACAGGTCAATAGGTGCAACAAACCACCATGGCACACGTATACCTATGTAACAAACCTGCACGTTCTGCCGAAGTATCCTGTTTTTTTCTTTTTTTTTTTTGAAGAAATAAAGTTAGAAAAAAGATTAAAAAGAAGAGTTTGTATTCTCTAGCAGGGTAAAATAAGGAAAACACCTTCATTTGTTCATCTCATCTTTTTTATGGTTTAAGTTTGTAATTTTGATTATAATACCTGCTTATTTTTAAATCATCCTTAGTAACAATATTATATAATCTGCAAGATAAATATGCTTTTCATAAAAAAGCCTTTGGTTGAGTAAATTTAGTAATAAGGACTACAATTTATTGAACACTTATTAGGTGCTGGGCTCTATGTCAAGTCTGTTTTATTCATTATCTAATTTAATCTTCTTTTTTTGATTAAGAACATGGAAACTGAGGGTCAGAGAGGGTCTGTTTCATACCTAAATTCCCAGAGTTAGAAAATGCCTATTGTTGAGTGATTCTTCCACGAGTTTACCAAAGCACTAAAAGAAACAAAGAAAAGGCCATCCCTCTAAATACTGAGAATGGTTTCGAAAGTGGTACTATTCAAGTACTACAGGTATTCTCTACCATTTTTTCGAGGAAAAGATACATTCAGTGTCAGAGTTTGTGGGGTTTTTTTCTTTTTCTTGAGGACAGATGTAGCTTAGGGTAGATGTGATATTGTCAGCACTTTTTGAAATATTGTTTAGCTGTTCTCATTCTAAATTTTTAGGGGGAGTCAGAGGCTTGCTGGTTTGGTCTCAGGAGTGGTCTGCACTGTGAAAATGTGTAAGGACACTCCTGCAGGGCAGTTCCCCAGGTGACCTTGGAACGACCCGGTTCTGTCCCTTCTCACTGGTAGTTCTCAAGAATAACCGTTGAATGTGCTGGGAATGCCACATCCTGCAATAAGGAGGGGCCAGCTGGGACAGCCTGATCCCTCATAGAAATGAGATGTCTTTCTATGCTCTAGTTCAGTGAATTATGATGTCCCTGGATACAAAACCTAGAGCAGTCTGTTTTCTGGAGGACCTCAGCTATAATGCAAGTGGGGTACTTGTAGGCAAACCTTTATCCACTCTGGGCAGCTTTTCTGAGGCTTGGGGGACTGGTTTTCCCTGAATCCTAGGCTTCTGTTGTCACTGTCATGCCTATCTGTAAGTGATAAACTCACTTCATGTAACTTGTGTGTGGGTGTTCTGTTTCATTGGATTTAGACACGTTAGTAACCAGCACACAGTGAGCCTGTTTCATAAATCCTTGTAGCCTGTGTCTCTGATCAGGTTCAGATCAGTGATAGTAAGCACCACACTTGGATCTCCATCACTGCACCCACCAGCTCCTGTCTATCCCACCAGAGCAGCTCTCATTTGTCCATCTCCAGTAAGGCTGTTAAGAGGGAGCATTGACTGCTTACTGGTATCATTATTTCCTGCCAAGATGAAGTAGAAAAAAATGGGGACAATTATTATTTGCTTGACTCTTTTATCTTTTTGATAGAGACAGGGTTTGTTACCTCTTAGGAAACCAAATATTCCTTCAAGCAGGTCTTGCTGAATAATGCAGAATTGTTTTTTATTTTAAAGCTATCGACTGTCTTTTATATTAAAAACTGTTTATTTTAAAGCAATTTATTCTTAGTTTAAAAGTATATCAAAACCAGATATTAGCTCTAAGTATGGCCCCTATGATTTTAGTTCCTGCAATACATGATCAATCACTTCCTGCCCTCAAACATGGAGAGATGATCCTAACACATTTTTCCAAAACAGGAACCTCTCTGCTTTTATTTTTCACCATTCTATCCTTATTAAGTGGTTATAGTTACAAAGAGCTCCAAGAATTATCTTTCAGGTAGCAGAGCTGGGGTTTGAACTTGGGTGTGGCTAATGTCAAATCCCATGTTCTTAACTATTATCCTCTTCTGCCTGTCAGGGTGATGCCTATTTTCTAGGCCGCTTAGATTTTAAATTTTAGAACTAAAAGTTAAAGCTTTTACTCACTAATAAAAGTAGAAAAACAATTTTTAAACATTATATGGATGTCTACTTTTATACAACCTTTATGTAAATTTATTATAATATTTGCACACACACACACATACACATGTATATGTATCTATATTCAAATATAGAGGTTCTTTCCCACCACCCCCAGAAAAGGAAAAAAATTATATGGACGTGCAAGTGTGTATATGTGTGTGTGTAAGTTAATTAATAAACCCTTTACCTGGCAGGACTTTCAAAAACAACAAAATTTTTTTGTAAAAGAGCAGATAGAAAGATTTGTTTAATGAATCAGAGATTTGTTCAAAGTTGACAATATCTTTGAAGAATTTTTTTTCTAAATATCTTTGATGTGAAAGCAAGGGAATCTCAAGATTTGGGTTCTTGCCTGGCTATGCCAGCAACTAGCTGGAAGACTTTAGGTGAATCACTTTACCTTTAAATAGGACAGGAAATTTTGAGAGTTACATTACGATGCTTTGAAGGTAACTTTGATCTCTAAGCATCCACAGATTTGTGAAAATAATTCTCCCTACCCTAAAACATATAAAGAAAGTCTTCTCTTTAAAGAAACCTGTTATGATAGAAGCAAACTGAAATTCACTGACGTACTGTAACAAAAGAGAGTACCACATAGAACAACTTTGAAATGGTGAAATGTTAGGGAAGTAATGTTTTTTGTGGTTTATCGGTTGAGGTCAGAAAGTTCTTAGGGTAGAATATGAGAAGTGAGTGAGTCTTTGAATTGATTTCTAAAGCCAAGTGTCTATGTCAGTGAGGTAAGGCTCTGGACAAACAAATAAGTATTATGTGAATTACAAGATATTCTGAGGTGGCAACTATAAAACCCATGGGTGCCTTTGTTCCCATTTTCACCTATCCTACAGTATTAGTGTGAATTCTCCAGAGAAACAGAAACAGTAAGATATTATATATTTCTGTATATAAGGAGACTGATTATAGGGAATTGTCTTACATGATTATGGAGGCTGAGAAGTCCCAAGATTTGCAGTTGGCAAACTGGGGACCCAGGAGAGAGTCCGAAGACAGGAGAAGACTGATGTTTCTGCTTGAAGACAGTCAGGCAGAGAAAGAGAATTCTCTCTTACTCTACCTTTTTGTCCATTTGGGCCTTCAACAGACTGGATGAAGCCCACCCACATGGGAAGTAGAGTTGGGGGGGCAATCTGCTTTACTCATTTTATGGATTCAAATGTTAATCTCATCCAGAAACACTCTCATAGAGACACCTAGAATGCTTACTTAGATAGTCTGGGGATTTCGTGACCCAGTCAAGTTGACACATAAAATTAACCACCATGTGTACCATTTTGTAATTAACTGTACTTTTCTCTGTGACTTCTTGAAGACATAAATTGTGACTTGCTAATAACTAGGATTCTAAAACAGAGCAAAGGACCTGGCCTATATGTACTGTGTGTTTAATGCATGTTTAGAAAAGAGTTAATGAGCACATCAATGGAAGAAATGGGAAACAGTGGTCTGGTATAGATTAGGTTGGGGATAGGTGAGTATGGGAGTTGGGTAGAGGGTGGTTTTCCACCTCATAGCAATTTGATTTTATTATCTTTTAAGAGAGAGAAAACCTTTCAAAACGGCTTCATTTACTGTTGCTTATTTGAATAGATGTGACATTCCAAAGCTGGTATTTCTTAATAGCTGTGATTAACATATCTAAATACCTCTCCAATGACTTCTGAAGCATTTTTCTTTTGTTTGAAGTTTTATTACAATTTAGACTGGTAGTTTTGACGAGCCAGGCTGGTAGTTTTATTCTTATTCTTCTTTCTGATTGAAATATCATTGTGTAAATGGATATCCCAGGGATGGGGGGGGTACCCTCTCCCTCAAGGATGAGAATCTGCTCAATATTCCTATAGTTGAGAAAACACATTTTGAAATACAATTATAATTTAAAAAATCTTCTTATGTCCTATTAGAAAAAATCAAAGTCTACTCAGGTCTACTGTTAAGCATAAATTAAGTTTAATTTGCTTGCCCAACCTTTTACTCATGCATCCAGCTGAGGGAAACTTCAGATCAGCCCAGACCTTGTCACAAGTGCTCAATTAAAAGTCTGAGTTAATAAAGCTGTCTTAATTGGCCTGACAGAACTAGCAATATGACCTTATCACCCAGCTACACCTCTCTAATCCTGGATTTAAATGCCTGTGAAGGACAGATAGTAACTAGCAAATTTTTGTTTTCTTAAAAACATACCACATGCATGGTTATAACATTCAACGCCTCAGCTCACAACTTTATCCACCAATCTAGAGTATGTTCTGAAGCTAGTTAAATTAACTTAGCTATCAAAATGCTAAGTTTGATAGCTCATTTATCTTTCTGTCTCACAACTCGACATTACAATACAGTGGTGATTGATCTTGCATCTTCCAGGTACCATATAGTATAAAAACTAAGAGAAGATTAATTAAAAGCTGTCTTACCCAGACATGTTTTTAAATAAGTTTTAGATTTACACTATATATCAGCTGAAGCAGAAAGAGATTCTAAGACTAGGAGCTCTGTAACACCAATTGGATTTTTCTTTTATGTAGAATATGTATGCAGTGATCCTGATGACCATTATTATTCTTACACATGCGTTGAATACCAACGTGAGACAGAAAGGCCCTGCGACAAGTGTCCTCGCATTGTCTCTAGTCTAACGCAGCATTAACACACAGCGCACAGAGAGCATGTTGCGCCACCATCACTACTGATGATTTCTTTGAGTTAGGAAGTTTGAGGCCTGGCGCGGTGGCTCACGCCTATAATCCCAGCACTTTGGGAGGCCGAGGTGGGCGGATCACAAGGTCAGCAGATAGAGACCATCCTGGCTAACACAGTGAAACCCCATCTCTACTAAAAATACAAAAACAAAATTAGCTGGGCGTGGTGGCGGGCGCCTGTAGTCCCAGCTACTAGGGAAGCTGACGTGGGAGAACGGCGTGAACCCGGGAGGCGGAGATTGCAGTGAGCCGAGATCACGCCACTGCACTCCAGCCTGGGTGACAGAGCAAGACTCCGTCTCAAAAAAAAAAAAAAAAAAAAAAAAAAAAAAAAAAAAAAAAAAAAGGAGTTTGAGGGATTTTAAGTGGATATGGAGGAAAATGATGTCTAAACCCAGGACTTGGAAAGAGAAAACTCACAAATATTTGTAGTTAACATTTATGGAGTGTTTTTTATGAACTGCGGATAGGTATCTGACTTTGCAAATAAAAATTGCAGCTACTATTTATCGAAGTACTGTGTCACATGACTTATTTTCATTATCTTTAAGTTTTACAATTTTAAAGGATTAAGTGTTATTATACCTATTTTGTAGATGATGAAACCAATGTCCTGAAGTCTGAAGTTCCCTGGCTACAGCCTACTGGCTAGTAATCAGCAGAGTGGGGATTTATGTTCTAGGTCGCTCTTGGTTCCAAGGCCACTGCACTATGTTGCTTTCCAGCTCCCTGCAGAACAGCAAGTACACTTTCATATACACCATAGAGAATTTTTGAAAGCCTAATAAACTATTCGATTTATTATAGGATGCTTGAGTTTACCTTTATGAGACTTTATTCACAAGAAATTGTTGCTCCCAAGAGATATGCCACATCTCAAATCAGTTTTCCTCTCTAATATCCAGGAGGTTCTTTGTGGACTTTAGACCCCCAAACTATTTAATAGTCTTAATGGGTAGAATTTTCTGGTTTTCATCTAAATGATTTAAGTTCCTTGTCAAGAAAATCGCTAAGTTCTATTTTTTCTGCATTTAAGACAAATAACTGAGCTGTCCTTTCAAAGTTTTAAGCTTATAATCCTAAAGATTGCTATACATTAGCTGTAAAGGAAACACTATTATATGGCCATCTCTTTCCTTTACAGTTACAAAGCACTCATCATATGCCATAAATGACTGTACTTACAATGTCTATAGGTTTTGATTGTTTAGAAGAAGGGAAGACTTCTTTAGTTTTTAATCCAGATGTAAAGGAAAGGAAAATAAAATGTATTGAACTCCTAATGAGTAGTAAGCAATGTTGCTGACAATCTAATTAATGTCAAATAACTAACTCAATTTATCAAGCATGTACTGAATATCTTCTGAATTTCAGGAATTGTGCTAGGCACTTTTGTGAGTGCAAAGTTGTTTAAGATACAGCTCTTTTCATGAAGGATCTCCCCATGTAGTATGAGATAAGATTATATCCACACACAAAACAAATAGGTAAAATGGACACTCAGGAAATGATCTATGAGAAAATAATTTTCTTCAATAGCCTGGACATTTGCTTTATTGGCGGATTCTGAAGTTAGAATCAGGATAGGGTCCATGAGAGTTAGTGAATCCTGGGCTCTCCTCAGACTAGGATTTCTCCTCAGGAGCAACACTTGCCAAGGGCTGAGATGCACGGAGGGAGCAGGGACAACCTCAAGATGTTCTCTGAGATGGGAAAACCGTCCTTGAGTTGCCTGTTTAGACACGACGGTGTGCCTGTACGTATAGCTGTTCCTCCCTATGAGATTCCTCTCCCCAATTATTCAATCTAATATTAATGTAATCAAGCAGTAACCTAGGTACTGCTGTAAAGGGACTTTGCAGATGTGATTAGAGTCCCAAGTCAGTTGACCTTAAGGTACAGAGATTATCTGGGTGGGCCTGACCCGAACAAGTAACACCTGTAAAATGAGAGAGTGTTTTCTGGCTAGGAGGAAAACAGCAAGTCAAAGAGATATAAGCACAAGAAGGATTTTATGCACTGTTGCTGGGTGGAAGATGGAGGGAGCCATGTGACAAGAAATGGAGAGGGCCCCAGAGGCTGTGAATGGCCTCCAGCTGACAGCCAGCAAGGAAATGGGGAGCTCAATACTGCAATCCCAAGGAACTTGGATTCTGCCCACAACATAAACGAGCTTGAAAGCAATTGTTCCTGAGTGTCCAGACAGCCCAGCCCAGCTGATACTTTGATTCTAGGACTGTGATACATTGAGCAGAGAACCCAGTAGATCCTGCCTGGATTTCTGGTGTATAGAACTGTGAGCTAATAATTGAGTATTGCTTTAAGTCTCTAGGTTTATTGTAATTTGTTATGCAGCAATAGAAAACTGATGCACCATCAACACCCATAGAAGGTGAACAACAAAGAAACCGCTCTGGTCTGCACTCAGGAACTATTTATTCTCCAATGAATGGGAAAACTGAAGCCTTATTTTATATGCTGGTTAACATGGAGTGAAAAAACGATCCTGTGCTCTAGGGTCCCACAACCTGGATTTAAATCCCGGCCCTGCCATTTATGAACTGTGCTACCTGGGATAACTCTATTCAGTCTTTTTGGTTGCATTTGCAAAATAGACTTAATACTATTTATGGAGCAGGGGTATCATGCAGATGAAGTGAGATAATATATGAAATATAGTAAGTACTCAATAAACATGATACTTGTTTGGTTTAATAAGAGATTTACAGCATTTCTTTTAAAATTGTATAGCTTTGTGGAAATTCTCCTCATTAGAGTACTGATAGCTAAAGTAGTGACCTCAATATCTTAACCTTCTCAAACTTAATGGGAATAGGTTGCCCAATGTAACCACTCTAAAATTTCCAACAACAACAGGAAAAGCTACTCATTTCCCTGTTGTTGAGGATACTTCTTGCAACTCTTTTAATCTCCATATTTACCAGGTGCTAGTAGTCCGGCTTTGCTATTGTTCCTGAATTCATGTCTGAGTTGATCTCCTGTTGGGTGGTGATAAGGGCTTATAAAGTGTATATTTGTAGAAAGAACTATGTCTTGAATCATCATAATCAGCAGGTGTCAGTAGAATGTATCTTAACACAGCTTGAAAACTGAGGAGGACTATTGGAGGAAAATTTTTGTTCATGTCTACCCTGGAACTTCCTTAAATAGTGATTCTAAAAGTGAGATCCATCACACTCATTTATAATATAAAATCTTGGGTCCACCCCAGACCTACTGAATTAGAAATCCTGGGGGTATGGCACAGCAATCTGTGTTTTAAAAATTCCTTTTTGTGATACATTTTAGTCTTCAGAACCCTGCCCTAAGAGATTGGGGTGACTCTTAGCGTCTCCTGGAAATTTGAAGTGGAATTTTCATTTTTGCAAAATGACGAACACAACCACAGAGAATTAATGAGAAAGATTATGAATGATCCAATTCTATAAGAGACTGAACACAATCTTGGTTGATATGCCTCCTAAATTTTTCAGGTATATTACAATTTTGTGAAATGAATCACTGTGCAAATGTATCGAGACTAGTTTTTTTTAAAGAAAATATTAGGTGGCAAATTCTTTTGTAGAGTTAAAACTCTGATTTATCTGTTTTGTAAGCAGGTTTTTATGTATTGAGTTTTCTTAGGAGAAGGCAGATTGTATCTGGTAGTTTTATGCATTGGAAATACTTCTGAAGAAATATTCGATTAGTTGATATGGGAGTCAAAATATGTTAGGTTGTAGAAAGCTGAGACAATTGCCATTTTTACTATAAATGCTTTTAAAATGGAGTTTGATACTCTTTCCATAGTGTAATTTTCAAGGCCTTTTCTTTTTTTTTCTGAAGGTAGTATACAGAAGGGTGAAGCAGCATGGTGTACTGGGAAGAATGGGTCAGTGCACTCGGCTCTCCCACCTTTCACCTATCTGACCTTAGACAAGTTCCTTACTCATGGAGATGAAGAATCAGGTTGTGGTCTAGCTTCTGTGGGTCAGTGTTTCTTAAACTCAAGCGTGCAGCAAAATCACTTGGAGGGCTGATCCAAATACAGATTGTCTGGGAACAGGGCCTGGTAACAGATGCAGCAGCCCTTTGCTAGTGACCCTGCTTTAGCTCCAATTTTGAGTCGGGCTGGAAAAAAAACGGCTGGTTCCTATGTTTCATGACCCACCTATAGGAATATTGCAGAAGGCTAACTCACAGATTGGTTAAAAAAACCACTTAAGGAGGTCATCCCTATGTTTAAGGAAGAGACTGCCTTCCTTCTGAATGAGAGCAGGTGATGCTAGGAAGACATCCTTTGTAATACTTTGTTTTTCAAGGTCCATGGACTAAATGCACCCACAGTAACATTTAAAACAATATTTTAGTACAAAAGATTTGTGTCTTTAAAATAGATATGTAATTGTTTCAAAAATAAATCGACAATACAGCATAATATGATTTCTAAAGCTTGACTTATACATTGAAATTTAACATTTAGAAATTATTTTGAATTGAGAAATTCTAGTTTATTAAAATAAAATTACCAAGAAAAAAAGTAGAGAAGTAGAATGTCTGCTCCAAGACAGAAAGCAAAAAAATATTTTTAGCCATTGTAATATAAAAGAGTAGCTTCTGTGTATAGGAGCTTCTGCTTTTCTATCTTTTACAAAATAGTATCAAGTATATTAATAAGCGATTATAATAGCTAATGTTGATTGCTCACTATGTACTAGGCACTGTTCTAAGTACTTTATATTTACTAATTTAATATTTTTGGCATAATTCTGTTTTATTTACTTTTAATTGACAAATAAAAATTGTGTGTGTGTATATATATATATGGTATACAACATGATGTTTTAAAAATGTGTAAATTGTAGAATGGCTAAATCAAGTTAATTAAAATATCCATTACCTTATATATTATCATTTATTTGTGCAATTCATTTCATCTTCACAAGAACCCATCCATGTAAGTACTACTATTATTGCTTGGACAATGAGGCTTGAGTTACTTACCCAAGGTCACAGAGCTGCAAATGTCAGATCCAGGTTTCAAATGCAGAAGTCTTTCCTGAAAGTGGGGGTTGTAAGCCCTTGTGCAACACTGGCTCCTGTGTGGCTTCTGCTCTGGTGTTCAGTGCTGAGTCTGTCTGTGGCTTGACCAGGTGAGAGATCCTCTATCTCCAGACGTCCAGGACAACTCACACAGAGCCCGATCTTCCTGGCCTGTGCTCTCACATCAGACCTTTCCCACTGCACTCCCACCCACCTACTAACAATACCTAACATCTGCACTGTGCTTACCACATCATCTTATTTAACTGACTGCTTTCTCCTTGGTACATTCTTCCCTGCTAGGAAACTTCACCCCAAATCTGTGTGCACACCAGGCTTCCTGCCCCATGGGGTCCAGGTCAAAGAAAAAGGAACCTTTACACCTGTCCTTGCTCTGCTACTCCTGAGCCTTCTCACTTTACTCCTGCTGTTACCCACTCCACCATTCCAGTGTTTACCAGCTTCTCTTTCTGAGTCTTGTTATCTGTTCCAACTTTCAGATGGGCCTTCTGGACACGAAGACACAAGTCAGTACTCCTCATTTGCCTATTGATCCTTGGTAAAGACCTTGGATTTACCTACTGACTCCTTTTATTCTGGGCCATTTCAGGCAAATATACACACTGAACACAATTCTGGCCTATTATGGTGCCAAGCAGTGATGGCAGAAAGGGTCGGGTGGGGAGATGAGATGGAAATTTAGAGTCTCATGCAAACAAAGTTGTTAATAATTTCACATCACCTCTTTACTGCCCAAGTACTTGAGCATTTTATTGGTGGCTTTGCCATGGTCCATGGGTATATTTTACACAGAACATGAACATTAGAAAGATCAAGTTATAGTCATGTCTCCCAGTGCCCTTCAGTTCACATGTATTCTAGCATGCATACAGTGTGGCTGAGGCTGCCTCTTATTTTATATAAATATAAATATATATCTATTTTAATTAATGGAAAGTAAAAACAATCTAACATCACAATGGAAATCATGTTTTATTGAATTAATTTTTCCTGTAGGCATTCTCTGGCAGATGGAACAAAGCTGGCCTAGCAGAGACACGGCAGCATTTTCTAAAACCCTTTAAGTCAGGAGCTCACGAAATGTGGAAGAGGAAATGATCGACAAATTACTTCCAAAGTTCCAATCTCCTTTGTTTGTTCAGGTCATTCAGAATATCATTATCACATTAATGGAATTTTCTTATTTCTATTTGCAGGTCCTTTTGTATGCACATTGTAATCTGATTTGAAAGGAAGAAGGAAGAAACCCTTCTTCATTTTCATGTTTTCTGAAAGCCTAGTTCACTTGCCAGATGTGTTGAGTGAACAGATTTATAGGCTATCATGAAAGAGATGTCCTTCACACTTTCATTTCTCTTGCCCCTGATTTTCTGACTTCTATTTCTTTAATTCTTATGTTATCATCTAGCTGTTACTTATCCATGTTATGATTTAAGCTTAGGCTGGAAAATTCTATAGGTCCCTGTAGTCATAGCAGAGTAGGAAGTAAAAGCTAAACCCCAGTTGCTGAGTATTTGCAGATAACTCAGGCAAAAGATAGCTTTAATTTTAACTGTATTTAAGTGTGTGCCTTCTCACTCCATCCAAGTAGTTAAATTGACTGTAAGGATAGTCCCAGGTTCACTGCAAAAGAACTTAATTCTTCATTTGATTTTACCCAGAGAACATTTTTATAGCGTTGTGATTCAGGGATGATAATTTCATTCGCAAATGGTGTGTTTTAAGCAGTAAACAAATATTACTTTTCAGACCCCAAAGATAAGTTTAGTTGGGGCTCAAATCATACGGTGCTAAATCTAGAGCCTGATTTCAAACAGGTTGACTGTGTTTCTTTATGGTGCAATATGCCTGTGTCAGGAAGTGGACATTTTATTTTGTGCTAGCAATGATAAGAAGGTGCAACAACCTTAACAAGAGTTGATCAAGGGTCCCAATCAAATCCCGTGTCTGCAGTCTTAGAGAATTACAGCTCATATAACAGATCTGATAGAAAATCTTTTCATTTCTATGAATTTCACTAAATCAGAGAATTTCTTTGCCACTTTATTTGGTTTCCTTCCTCCCATAAGTAATTACTCTTTATTTTAAGTGACAGAATCACTTTAATTTTGCATTTTTTCATCTTTATGTAGACCTCGGCCAAGATTAATCTGTCCAGAATATTCTGGGTACTTGGCTCTTCTGTTTCAGGATTGTAAATGGGATACAGCAGGCAGCTTGCCCTTCTCCTGCCTTCTAGGTTTATTTGAATGTAAATGTTATTAAAAAAAGGGTGTGTCCTAGCACCTTTTCAGTCTTTACCGAAGACAGCGTTCAGGATTGCTACCTATACACAAACTCATATTGCCCTGTTGGAGCTTGGGAAATCTTTGATGCTGTGATTTTAAAAGTGCAACAAAAAAATTCTTTCATCGTTAATTCCTCTTCTCATCCATTTTCTCCATTCTCCACATCCCTCCTCTCATAATTTATAATCTCTTCCCTCTTCTCATTTGTTTCTTATTTGACCACCTCTTTGCTCTTTCTTATTAAAAACCACTTTCTTTTCTGTATACTTTCCCTTTCTCTCAGGTTAGTGCTTCTTCTCTTTGGGCCCCAACTTCTAATTCCCACGTTTCCTCTAGTGTGTTTCTCTCTTTCACTGAAAAAGAAACTGAGTTGGTTTTACTTTTATCGTTTAGAGTGAACCGATTTTAAGTCTTCACTTAAAATCAGTGCCCTGCCCCTACCCAGCAAGCAGATAAATTTGCCATTTGACCAGACTCTTGTTTTTTGTATACACGTCACATGTGAACTAAGGGTGTGTGTGTGTGTGTGTGTGTGTGTGTGTGTGTGTGTGTGTGTGTGTTGGGGGAATAGAAAGTAAGGAGAGAAAGTAGCTTGAGGTTGATCACATCATATTCTCAGGGCACCAAGTAAAAGGGTCCGAGTTCTTGAGGTAGTTACTAGCCCTAGTCTAACATGTTTATTTTGCTGTTGGGGGTAAAATAACATTAAAAGAAGAACTTCAGATGACTTAAATTTAACAGAGTTTAATTGAGTAAAGAACAATTTGCAAATCAGTCAGCTCCCAGAACCATAAAAAGTTTTAAGTGACTCCAGGGTTGCTACAGGGTTGGATAACATTTATGGACAAAAAAATAACAGAAATAGCTGGATTGGTTTTTGCCTTACTTGAACAGGTGTTTGCCTTATTTGAACACGATTTTAACAGTTGGCAGCCTGTGATTGGCTGAAACTTGGCTGCTGTGATGGGCTGAGGCTTGGTTGCTTGTGATAAGAGTAGGTTACAGACTATTTACATATCACATTATGTAACAGTTCATTATATACTGAGAAACCTTTGGCCATACTTAAATATGTAGAGGTGCTGCTTTAGGCCAAACTTAATTCAATTTAATAATGGCAAAGAGAAGGCACTTTAGCATTTTCTTTGTATGTTCTCTGCTTTTCATTTCAACCTATCTTCTTACTCCTAATTAAGCCATTGAGATACTCCATTAAAAGCAGGGACTGAGGCCAGGCGTAATGGCTCATGCCTGTAATCCCAGCACTTTGGGAGGCTAAGGTGGGAGGATAGTTTGAGGCTGGGAGTTTGAGACCAGTGAGACCTCATCTCTACAAAAATTAAAAAATTAGCCGGGTGCAGTTGCCCATGCATCTATGGTCTCAGCTACTTGGGAGGCAGAGGAGGGAGAATTGCTTGAGTCTAGGTGGTCCAGGTTGTAGTAAGCCATGGTCACACCACTGCACTCCAGCCTGGGTAGCGACAGAGTAAGACCTTGTCTCAAAAAGAAAGAAAGAAAGAAAAAATGGCATGGGCTAAACCTTTGCCTAATGTTGCAGTTTGTGTACTTCTGAAGGTACTGGAGGCAGAGAGACATTCTTGGATATCACACTTGACGGCTTTACTTCCTGAGGGTTTGATTTTAGAGGGGGACCCTGCCATTTTCCTTCCCTTTTCCTGTGCACCCAAATCTGTCTCTCACATAGCTCCACTCTTATGTCTTCATAGGATTTGAAGGAAAAATACTATAGTGACTTTCCTTAGAACTTCATTTTAGAGATGAGGATATTGACTTACACAAAAATCAGGTAATTTATTTAAGGTTATTCAGGAAATTGATAA
This sequence comes from Homo sapiens, assembly GCF_000001405.40. Classification (NCBI taxonomy): domain Eukaryota; kingdom Metazoa; phylum Chordata; class Mammalia; order Primates; family Hominidae; genus Homo; species Homo sapiens. Next base: position 118,664,265 of record NC_000003.12, on the reverse strand, counting down.
TAATTATGGGGACTGTATTTTTCAATCCAAAACTGAGACCCATAATCTGACAATAATACTCATAGTAACAGGAGTAGTGACAACAACAAACACAGCAACAATAATCACTGCTGTTAGTTGAACATACACATCGCCAGGCATTACGTAAGGTACATATCATCTTATTTGATCCTTTCAACAACCCTCTATGTGGTCATTTTTTATTCTAACTCTATATATAATGGAGGCACAGACAGAAATCCACTTTATGCATAATAATGGAGCAAAGGTAAGTTGTAAACCGGACTCTTTCTCGTTCTAAAACTTGTGCCTCACACAGTGGTGTGCTGGAGCCATCTTGTACTGGCTCATGAGTGATGATTGTTAGCATCTCTTCCAAACTCAGTGTTCAGTGACATCAGGTTAGTTGCTTGAAATTGGCCACCATAGAAGTATTTATACCATGGAAATTGGCCAAGGCTAAATATTAGGGCATGGCTTTCTTTGCCAGAGAGTTGATTGTTAAACATTTACCGACACACCACTGCCTACATGTGTTTTTACAATATTGTTCTTTTATCAGTGAAATGAGATTTTTAAATATCATGATTCTCCTAGAAAATCTGGATCATGTGATTACTATCGTGGTGTTAGGGGAAAAAGCTGAACTAAAATTCAGATGTCTGTACCCTCCTGATTAAATGCTCTTTTTGACTTTTCTTGCTGGAATTTATTTTCTTTTATAATCTTAAGTCCACAAGTTATGTTTTAGACAAGGGCTATTTGGTTAAGGAATAGAAACTTACTCAATCCAATGTAAAGTGAAAAGAGAAAATATGTTGAGAAGGTCCAGCGGCACTGTGGATCTCCATCCCACAGAGTCCTGTAGCAGGAAGTGTGTCCTCCTGAGGGAGTGGAACATATAAACTGGAAAGTCAGTTCTGAGCACCTTGGCCTCATTGCTCTTGAACTTTCTAGTTTCATGTTGTTGCATCTCTTTGCGTGTCCGTGTTGGCAGACCAGCTATTTCTGCTTCAGAGTGATATAGCCAACATCCTGATTCATTGGTATTCTCATTCCAAGCAAGTGCCACTAGGCTTACTGTTTTGAGCTCCCATTTTCCATTTTCCAGGAGAAAGACACTTAAGCTCAACAAGGGCCAGTTGTCCAATCAGCATGGATAGATGGTGAAAACAGAACATCTTAAAAGCAAGGCTGTGGAAAGAGGTTTCTTCGAGAAGGCAGGAGTGGCTGGGAAATATTCCTTGTTTTTAGTACAATGACTGGAAAGGGGGAGGTATGAAATACAGAGGAAGAAAAGCTAGATTGTAAGGAATTTGAGGGAAAAATCTGGGTCTTATTTCTAAATATATGACACCTCACCCTGTGTTTGGCATTCCAAAGACACTGAAAATAAAGTCCACAGGTAGCTCTTGTGGATGATTTTCCAAATAGTAAAAAAAAATTTCAAAAAAGTCTCCATAGGGAATTTTTATAATTTTATGTTGCCTCAGTACCCTAATTTTCTCATATCAGAAGCAAGGCTCAATCACCCTGGACACAGCTTCCAGCTGTACGCCACAGCCACTGGCTGGCTCAAGCCAGTGGCTGGAAAGAAGAACTTAGAGGCATCTCTCCTGCCTAGCAGATGGGGCTGTCTGCTTTCCTGCTTCCTTTAAATGAACCACTAGGCATCTGCCCTCAAACTTAAAGTGACCCACAGTCTAATTCCTTAGAAATACTGCTAGTCATTGCATGCTTCACTCTCTCTCTTTTTTTTTCTCCTTCTCTCTCAGCCTGACTCTTCATTCCTGCCTTGTGTGACCCAGGGATGGAGGACTGCCCTCCCAACTCATTATCCTCTTTGCCCAGGAGCTGTAAGTAAAAATCTTTCAACTTGTTTCCTGTTCTGGTGGTGTACTGAATTTATATTTTCCATCTGAAGAAATAGGGACTACCCTAGACCAGGTTTTCTTCAGGATGCTGGGAAGAACACAGGGTTGGCCTCCCAGCGCTGGAGCAATGGTCAGGCAGGCATAAACTGGACATGGGTCAGACGAGAGCCACAGGGATGTCTGCCAGTGTGAGAAACTATCTGGTCACAAGTTGAACAACTAGCCATTAGACTGTCTGCCAGGCAAAAGAAAGATCCTGTGAAAGGCACACTGTAAACGCCCAAGTTCAGCTCCCCTTTATTTCCCATTAAAGCAGCGTTGCTCACAGCTCTGATACTGGAACCCCTATTTAGCTGAGGGCTCTGAAAACTATTTCTTCAAAAGAGAAAATAGAAGGCTAGTAAATAATTCTATAAACAAAACCATTCTAGTGGTCAATACAGATTATTACCAATGAGATCCATATGGGTCATCAAAGGGATTATGATGTCATTTTCAACACCCAGCTGTAACCTTCAGTTGGAAGTCCAGTTCAACATAAAAGTTTAACATTTTCAAGTCCCCTCCCACACTGCTTTACCCCCTTACAAGGTTATGACTAAAAGCAGAACCATTTAAAATAATCATTTTATGAAATTACATGAAAATAGAAGAAATCATGTCCAAATTGAGGAAAATGACCATGTTTTTCATATTCCATCTTCAGAAAATAGCTTTTAAAATAAGTGGTATACCATCCTTACTTTTTTCTAGTTAATGAGGAGCAAAATATGTGCCCTCAGGTTCAGGAGCCCTAGAGTTCAAATGATCAATGCAATTGTAAAAAATTCTTACCCTGCATGTTGAACTTAAAATCTCATGAGAAAAGATTTTATTTGTGCTATTAGAATGTTACTGCCTAAAGCCTTCACTTTTCCAGAAAGTATTGTTGAGATTTAAAATAATTGCAATAAAAACCAGTCTACATTTTTCAAAGTTTGAAGAATGGTGGCTTGGTCTGAGAATTTGAATTTATTTTTTACTCTTTTCATTATATGAATTTATTAATACTTTACCTTTAAAATGCAATGCGTATAATTCAACTGTTGATTTTGCAAGAACTGATTTTTTACTCTGAGCACATCTACTCACAGCACATCTCACTTTTAACTTCCATGTAACATAACCTTTTCTGCTTAAGCAACTCTTCTAGTGACATTATCACCATCTCACTAAGTTTATTCTTATATGGAATTGCAGCCTGCTAGGAACTAGAGGAGGTACGTTCTGGTTGACTTGTTTTAAGATCAAATAAAACAATCAATTACTCTATTCTTTCTAACTTATCTTCCTCTTCCTCTTTCTCTCGTTTCCACCTTTTCCTTGCCAGGTGTGAGACAGATGGTCATGCAGTGGAGAATAAACAAGGACCCTTTAATCCAGCTGGTGCTCTGCTTGTCTCACTTGTGGTGTTGCATGTATTTAGCTACCAGTGGGAATCCAGGGGACTGTGTAGTAAGGATGAGTGGGGTCATATGCTGGGCTGACTTTTTTCCCAGGACACAGTGGAATGGCCATGCAAGTTGTTAAAATACTAAAATATTTTTGCACTAGTTGATAAATAACAACTGGTTAGGGCCTCTTAACACTAAGCTGTTCCCTTCACCCACCACCCTGGATTCCTGTGTCCCAACTTGGGGATATTTGGACCTACTTTCCCACATCCAGTTGGATTGATACCTGGTACAAAAAGAAGCCTTAGGACTTCTTTTACTACTTTTTAAAACCACTTGTATCTATTTGTTTTTATCCTATATGCAACCCAACTAATTCTTATATATGTTAGAATAGTAGTTTAGTCCATTTTGCATTCCTATAAAGGAATACCTGAGACTGGGTAATTTATAAAGAAAAGAGGTTTGTTTGGCTCACAGTTCTGCAGGCTGTACAAGCATGGCACCAACATCTGCTCAGCTTCTTGTGAGGCCTCAGGAAGCTTTTACTCTTGGCAGAAGGCGAAGGTGGGACAGGCATGTCACATGGTGAGAGAGGAAAAAAAAGAAGGGGGATACCAAGCTCTTTTAAACAACCAGCTCTTGCCTGAACTAATAGAGTGAAAACTCATTTATTACCACAGGGAAAGCACCAAGCCACTCATGAACGATCCACCCCATGACACTAACCCTCCCACCAGGCTCCACCTCCAACATTGAGGATCACATTTCAACAAGAGATTTAGAAGGGACAAATATCCATATTGTATAAGCAGTCAAAAGCACAATTTCTGGTGTTATGAAATCTCTCTCTCTATATATATGTCTGTGTGTGTGTGTGTGTGTGTATGTACACACATAGACACAGTATACATACATGCAAATCTCAGCCTGGCTATGGACCAAGTTCCTTAATTTTCTTATTTTATTTTTATTTTTTTGAGATGGAATCTCACTCTGTCGCCCATGCTGGAGTGCAGTGGCTCTATCTTGGCTCACTGCAGTCTCCGCCTCCTGGGTTCACATCATTCTCCTGCCTCAGCCTCCCGAGTAGCTGGGACTGCAGGCGCCCGCCACCACGCCCAGCTAATTTTTTTTTTTTTTTTTTGTATTTTTAGTAGAGACGGCGTTTCCCTGTGTTAGCCACGATGGTCTCGATCTCCTGACCTCGTGATCTGCCCGCTTTGGCCTCCCAAAGTGCTGGGATTACAGGCGTGAGCCACCGTGCCCGGCCCAAGTTCCTTAATTTTCTTGAACCTCAGTATCTTCAATTATAAAACGTAGAATATAATAATGTTTGTCTTGCAGAGTTGTTGGGATGATTAAGTGAAATAATATATGTAAAGTGTTAGCAATGTTCCTGGCAATAAGCAAATTTAACATTAATTATGACTATCATTGTTTTCATGCTGCTTCATGCTCGAAGGTAGCCCTGTGAAATGTGTTCATATCTATCCAGCTGCCCAGAAATCAAGGTTGAGATTGTCAACATTAAGCATTCTTCCTTACTCTGAAATCTAATTCAAAACTTACTAGAGTTTAGTTCAATATCTAATATATTTTACTTATTGAAATTGTTTTCTTATTTTATAAAGTTTTCGTTGCAACAATTCCTGAAACTTCTGCCCTTCAATGCCTCATTACACTTACACAACTCCTCTTCACACATTCTCTTTTCTTTTCTTCTGTGTGCTTATTGCGAGCCATGCCCACTCCCACTTCCCTCTTATTGTTTACCTATTTTCTCCCTCCTGGAATTCTCTTTCCGTTAATTCTAATCTTCATGATTTAAGGCCACTGTAAATTCCTGTCTCCTCTGGAAAAGCCTCCCCAAATATCCAGTCTCAATAATGCCTTCTCTTTTGGCCTTTAGCAGAATTTATAGCTTTCGATCCCCACTTTAAAACCAATTCACTCCATTGTTTCCAGTGAGTCTTTTCTTTACAGCTAGCTTGTACATGTCTTGAAGGCATGGACCTGAGTTTAGGCCGTCATAGGAAGTATCAAAACGGGGTTTTGATGGCCAAGAATTTTTTTGAGAGGTCACAAGGAGTATGGGCTTTCCAAAATGTAAAAGCACTTTAGACAGAGAAAGGAAAAATATTTCTTATAAGTTGATAAGCAAAGCAGAGCATGTTAAAACAAAACAAAACAAAAACCCCTTCTTGGAATTAGAAAGGATGGAACAAGATTGCTGAATAGAAGGCTTCACCAATTGTCCCCAGCCCGGTCCCCGCAAGGACACCAAGTAAACAACTATCTACATGGAAGAAACACTTTCATAAAAACAGAAAACCTGATGAGCATTCATAGTACCTGATTTTTAACTTTTTAACTTCATATCACTGAAAGATGCACTGAAAAGGTGGAAAGAGCAGTCCGGAATCCTCATGGACACCACTCCTCCCCACCCTCTGCAATCCCCATTGCAGAGTCTTGGTGCAGAGAACATCTTTGAGCACTGAGGGAGGAAGAACACAGCAATTATGAGGCATTAAACTCAGTGCTATCCTGTTAGAGCAGAAGCAAAAACGCGAACAAACTCAGCTGATGCCTGCCCACGGAGGGAGCTTTGGAACCAGCCCTAGCCAGAGGGGAATTGTAAATCTCAGTGATTGTTGGAGCTTGAGTGCCTGCAAACCTTGCCACAGAGGGCTCCAGTGCACTGTGTCTCCAAGTAAACGTGAAAGGCTAGCCCGTAAGGACTGCAACTCTTAGGCAAGTCCTAGTACTGAACCAGGCCCCGAGGCAGTGGACAGTGGACAGTGGACAGTGGACAGCGGGGAAGGGGATGCGACCTACTGAGACACCAGCTGGGACAGCAAAGAGAGTGCTGGCATCTCCCCTCCTCTAACCCTAGGCTGCAGAGCTTGAGGGTCCAAAAGAGACAAATTTTTTTCTGCTTCAGGAGAGGAGGGGGAAGAGTGGGGAGGACTTTGTCTTGCATCTTGGATACCAGCTCAGCCACAGCAGGATAGGGCACCAGGTAGAGTCGTGAGGCCTCATTCTAGGCCCTAGATTCCAGATGAGATTTTTAGACACATCCTGGGCCAGAAGGGAACCCACTGCCTTGAAGGAAAGGACCCAATCCTGGCAGCATTCATCATCTGCTAACTGAAGAGCCCTGGGGCCCTGAATATCCAGCATTGATACCGAGGTACTATGTTGAGGGCCTTGAGTGAGTCTCTGAGACTTGCTGGCTTCGGATGAGACTCAGTACATTACCCATATGTATAAAATATTATTAGAGCTGAAGAGAGAGATAGGACCACATACAATAATAGTAGGAGACTTCAAGACCCAACTTTCACCATTAGATGGATCTCCCAGACAGAATGTCAACAAACATCAGACTGCGCTAAAGACCACATGGATCTAATAGATACTTACAGAACGTTCCATCCAAGAGCTGCAGAATACACATCCTTTTTCTCAGCGTGTAAATCATTCTCAAGGATAGACCATATGTTAGGTCACAAAACAAGTCTTTAAACATTAAAAAAAATTGAAATAATATCAAGCATCTTCTCTGACCACAATGAAATAAAAGTAGAAATGAATAAGAAGAGGAATTTTGGAAACTATACAAATACATGGAAATTAAAGAATATGCTCTTGAATGACCAGTGTGTCAATGAAGAAATTAAGATGCAAATTAAAAAATTTCTTGGAACAATTGATAATGGAAACACAACATACCAAAACCTATGGGATGCAGCAAAAGCAGCATTAAGAGATAAGTTTATAGCCATAAGTGTCTACATTTTAGGAAGAAAAACTCCAAATGAACAATCTAACAATGCATCTTAAAGAACTAGAAAAGAAAGAGTAAACCAAACTCAGAATGAGTAGAGGAAACGAAAGAAAAAAGATCAGGGCAGAAATAAATGAAACTGAAATAAAAAAATCCAGAGGACAATGAAACAAAAAGTTTGTTTGTAGAAAAGTTAAACAAAAGTGACAAACCTTTAGCCAGACTAAGAAAAAAAGAGAGAAGATACAAATAAATAAAATCAGAAATGAAAAAGACATTCCAATTCATAGTGGCTACTATGAGCAACTGTATGAAAATAAGTTGGAGAATCTAGAAGAAATGGACAAATTCCTAGATACATACAACTTTCCAAGGTTGAACTTGGAAGAAATCCAAAAGCTGAACAGACCAATCACAAATAATGAGATTGAAGCCATAATAAAAAGTCTCCCAGTAAAGAAAAGCCTGGGACCTCATGGCTTTGCTGCTGAATTCAACCAAACATTTAAAGAACTAATAGCAATTCAATTCAAACTATTCCAAAAAATAGAAGAGGGAATACTTCCAAACTCATTCTACGAGGCTAATATTACTCTGATACCAAACCAGACAAAGACACATCAACAAAATGATAGCTCAATATCTGCATGAATATTAATACAAAAATTCTCAACAAAATACTAGCAAACCAAATTCAACAATGTATTAGACAGATTAGTCATCATGACCAAGGAGGATTTCTCCCAGGGATGCAAGGATGGCTCAACTTATGCAAATCAATGAATGTGATACATCATATCAACAGAATGAAGGATAAAAATAATATGATCATTTCAATTGATGCTAGAAAAAGCATTTCATAAAATTAGACATCCCTTCATAATAAAATTCCTCAAAAAACTGGAGATAGAAGGAACCTATCTCAACATAATAAAAGCCATATACAATAGAACCATAGTTAGTATCATACTGAATGGGGAAAAAGTGAAAACCTTTCCTCTAAAACCTGGAACATTACAAGGATGCCCACCGTCAGCACTGTTATTCAGCATAGTACTGAAAGTCCTAGCTAAAGCAATCAGACAAGAGAAAAAAATAAAGTGCATCCAAACTGGAAAGGAAGAAGTCAAATTATCCTTGTTTACAGATGATATTGTCTTATTTGGAAAAACCTAAAGACTCCATAAGAAAACTATTAGATTTGATAAATTTAGTAGAGTTGCAGGATGCAATATCAACATACAAAAATCAGTAGCATTTCTATATGCCAATAGTGAACTATGTAAAAAAGAAAGTTAAAAAGTAATCCCAGTTACAGTAGTCACAAATAAAATTAAATACCTGGGAACTAACCAGAAAAGCTAAATATCTCTGTAATGAAAACTATGAAACACGTATGAAAGAAATTAAAGAGGACACCAAAAAAAAATGGAAAAATATTCTATGTTCATGGATTGGAAGAATAAATATTGTTAAAATGTCCATAATACCCAAAGTAATATACAGATTCAGTGTAATCCCTATGAAAATCCAATGACATTCTTCACAGATATAGAAAAAATATCTTAAAATGTATATGGAACCACAGAAGACCCAGAATAGCCAAAATTATCCTAAGCCAAAAGAAAAAATTAGAGGAATCCCATTACCTGACTTCAAATTATACTACAGAGCTATAGTAACCAAAACAGCATGGTACTGACAAAAAAACAGACACATAAACCAATGGGACAGAATAGAGAATGCAGAAACAAGTCCACACACCTACAGTGAACTCATTTTTAACAAAGGTGCCAAGAACATACACTGAGGAAAAGACAAGTCTTTTCAATAAATGGGAAAACTGAATCGATATGCAGAAGAATGAAACTAGACCCCTATTGCTTGCCATATACAGAAACCAAATAAAATCAAATCAAAATGGACTAAAGACTTAAATCTGGCCAGGTGTGGTGGCTCATGCCTGCCATCCCCGCACTTCAGGAGGCCAAGGTGGGTGGATCACCTGAGGTCAGGAGTTTGAGACCAGCCTGGCCAACATGATGAAGCCCCATCTCTACTAAAAATACAAAAAATTAGCCGAGCATGGTGGTGGACACCTGTAATCCCAGCTACTCGGGAGGCTGAGGCAGGAGAATCACTTGAACCCAGGAGGCAGAGGTTGCAGTGGGCCAAGATTGTGCCATTGCACTCCAGCCTAGGCAACATGTGTGAAACTGTCTCAAAAAAAAAAAAAAAAAGGACTTAAATCTAAGACCTCAGTGTCTCTTTAGGTCATCTCCAGAGGGAAAGAAATCAGAAATATTCCCTGAATATTACCAAATGCATGTCTTACAATTAAGTCTTCTCAGACTTAATGGACTTGATATGGGTCTAGTGTCCATCCCTGAGCCAGTCACTGTGGCCAGGGGGATAGAATGTGCTGATTGGCTTAATCTAATTCATGTGCTATCCTCTGATATCTTGGGTTGGAGTCAGGTTCACTGAAAATACACAGGCTAGGATTGGGGAGTACAGATCCTTAAGCAAAGGAAACTCTTGTTGTCACAAGAAAGGAGTATATGCTGACAGGAATGTGTCCTACAGCTAGTGGTTCCTTCTTTATTCCATACTATTTACATCCCACCTCAGAATGGACAAGTCTTTGTATTGGTACTTTTTACTCTAACAGTAGAGAATTTTCATTATTTCATGACCACCCAGAATTTGGACTTTAGTTGCAAAACTTCTTAAACTATGTTTCTGTGTTCTTAATTTGCTACTATGTAGATTGCACAACATCAAAATGAAGGGTGCTTGAGCAAAAGGCAGAGACCTTGTCTATCTGCTTCTCTGTTTTGTCCCCAGTACTTAGTAGCTTTTCAATAAGTACTTATAGACAAAATAGAGATTTCCTGTCCTTCAGTGCACTTCCTGCAAAAGGTGTGATTCTTATTACTCAGGAATGTGTCCTTTGTTTCTCAGCTGTTCTGGGAGGAGGTGGTAGTAGTAAGAGCTTTGTAGACAGCCTTGATCTTTGTTGGGAAGAATACACTTCTAGGGAATGCTACTTGAAGAGTGCCTGCTCTATGTGAAAGTTACTGACTATAGGTTACTTTGTATGTCTTACACATAACAGATATTTCCCTTTCTTGTAGCTTCTCTGGGGTTTCATTATTTAACTTGCTCATGCCCATTGACCGTGAGCTGCTATTAGCTGGGCCCTAATATCCATTGGTACAAAGAATAGTTTTTTAGTGGCACTAATGGTTTTTCTAGATTTGACGGAAGGAAGAAAATGAGACTTTGCACTTCTGAACCTATTTTCAGTAGATAACCAGTGTTTATATACAGATTTTGTGTGTGTGTGTGTCATTCTTACTGTTTTATATAATTTTCTTCCAGGTAACAATCATAGGGCAATAAAGGAGTATTGGAAGAGGGTTGCAGTTTTTATCCAAAGGCTAGAAATTTATGGATGTTTCTTTGATTTTTGATTGTGTAGACCCTACAGTTGGCAAACCCAGAATGAGCCATAAAGTGGCAAACTGAGGTCTCTTTTCTTGATGTGTAGCATCCCTTACCTGGATATGGCACATCATGGTTCACAGGACTCTCATACAACATTGCACTTGTTCCTTCAATCCTTATTAGTAGTCGTGTGAGGTAGACAGGGCAGGGATTATTAGGCTCATTTTACCCAATGAGGAAACTGAGATTTAGACAGAAGTTACATGATTTATTGAAACTTCACAGTTAATGGTATACAGAACTGGATCCAATTCAGGCTTCTAGCCAGGTTTCCTAGCCTAGAAGCTTTTCCAGATTAGGTGTCCCATCTTTAGAGTTAATTGTAAGTGCCCGAAGGAAGGGCCTTGTTGACATTCACTCTGCAGTTCTTATGGAATCACCCTTAGCTGTCTGTGCATCCACACTGGAGTCTCAGCTTCCACACTGAATTTGAAGCAACTGGAATTTTCACTGGGAGGTTCTGCATGGTGCCAGTAAAGACCCACTTTTTCTTCATCATGATCACCTGCAGCGTAACATTTTTGAACTGACTGTCTTCTATATCTGTTCATAAGCCGGGTGCACTCTTCCTTTCTTTGTGGGACCTTTAGGCCTCCTTTTATCATGAGGCTGACTTGAATGAAAGAGGTGAGTAGCAATACATATTTACACTCTGCAGTCTAAGGGGTTTCCCAGCTTACCAACATCCAGGGAAATAGGTTGATTCATTTAGTTTTATATTTTTTAATCAGTATGAAAGTATTAAAAAATACATTACTGAAAATTTAGAAAATTGACTATTTTTCCTTATACATATTGTCAGAGTATTAATAAGCATACATGCATATTGTATTTTACTTTCCATTTAATTTTTTTATAAGTATTTTTACACATTTCAACACAGTCATCACTGAGCACCTACTATGTGTGAGGTGCTGATCTAGGCTGTTTTTAATGGTCTTTTTAGTCGATAAACTATAATTTACTCAACCATTCATCTATACATGTACATTGTTTCTGATTTTTCCACTATTGTGAATGGAAGGGCAATGCACATATTTGGAGATACATCTTTTTCTATACTTTTATTAAGATAGATTTTAGTAAGTGGAGTTACAGGGTCAAAGAGCATGAATATTTTCATGACCATTAGTACTTATTGTAAATTGCTTTCCAGAGCTAGTTTTCAAATTTACAGTGCTATCAGTATTGTATAAAAATATCAACTTCACTGGACCCTCAAGAGCATCTGATTTTATCATTTTAAAAAATGCTAAGAGGCAAAGAATGGTGTCATATTTTTTCTTTTTTTTTTTAACTCGCATTTTGTTGCTTAACTTGGGAAGGCTGAACATTTTTTGCATATTGTGTTTTTTAGTTTATATGTGAATTGCCTATTTTCTTTTTAGGGTACTAGATTTATAAACGGTGTCATTGCAGGTTAAATTAAATAGCCGCAGCAGCCAGGTTCTTGAAAATGACCAGCCCTCTCATGTGGCAATTTTGTTTCCTTCCCTTGTCCTCACCTTATTGCAGGCTAATAGAACAGTGGCATTGTTGCATCTATTTCCACAAAGATGTTAATGGTCCCTTTTCCCTCTGCTTTGACAAAGCAGCTGTGAAGGAGCCAGGATGCCAGGCATGCAGGAACTGCCGCAGGAAAAAAACCCACGGTGGTAGGAAATTACCCTAATAGGGTGAAAATTAAGAAACGACCCATGGCATAGCCTGTTTCCAGGATACAGGCGGTATTTTCACGCCTTAGCAATTATTCTCTTAGAATCAATTTGGTGGTTCTTTTTTAAAAAAATTAGATTTGAACTTGAAGAGGGTTAAAGAGAAAAGGATAAAATCTTGGAAAATATTTAATTTTGTTTAATAAAGAAATCATTCTTGTCTTCGCTATTCAATAGAAAATGTAGCTCTTTTAAACTTTTCCTTGGTATTTCTTATTTTGTGCAAAAACAAATAGTATCATTTTAGCTCATACATGTTGGAGCTCAGGTAGAGGTAGACACCTGCAGAAGGAAAGAATCAAAGCCTTTTTATTGTTCATTTGCAGGAAAAGTACAAGGGCTGTCAGGCCACTGATTGGTGGTGATGTTTTGGTGCCCAAGAGGTAGCTGTCCTGGGGTTGGAGAGGTAGAGTGGAGGATGCTAAATAGCCACTGCTTCAGCAATTTAGGAGCAGGCGTGTGTGCAGCCACCTGCTTCTGTGTCAGGAGTGCAGAGCCTGAGTCTCTTAATGCTTTTCCTCCTCATGCGCCAGTCACTTTCTTACACATCTACCCTTAAAACTTCTGTAGAAAGGGACATTCAGTTGTCTCTATTTCAGTAACTCTCTTTTTTGCTTTGAGTTATAAGTCTTGGATTGACTAAGGAATCTGACAAGCACTGAAAAACTATTCTTTTTTATGGAGAAAGTTCATTATTGTTTGTTATCTCATTTTCATTCCATGCACCTTTTTTTTTGGCACATGATAAATCTGAGTTAAACACGGAAACAATTTTCATTTAAGGGTATGGCCTGTGTTTGGTTGGCTAAAGGTGTAGATATTTAGCAGAGGAAAGCAACAACTAGTACTACGTGGCAAACTCTTGGAGGCAAGGTCATGCTTTGCTCAACTCTGGACTCTGCATTCTTGGCACAGAGGAGACACTCAGCACCTGTTTATTGAACTGGAGTAAGTACCACAAAAAGCAGCTTCTCTTTTACTCTCTGAAGCTTCCCTCTGAGGACAAGTAGATTGCCATTAGTGTATTCGATAGGCTCAATTTAATTTTAATGAATTCATAGAAATTCTGCCCATTCATAGCATCATCAGTTTCAGAGTTTGAAGAGATCTTGGAGCTCAGTGTCTCTACACTTCCCTCTATAATTGTCAGGACTCAGCTACAAAAGAGACTAAAAATCTAGAAACAATGGGTAGAACTAACAAGCTGGGATTTAATAGAGATTCAGTCAGCACTCTGTAAACATTTTTTGAACATATTCTGTGTGAAAAGCTAGTTGAGAATGAGATTTCAAAAGCCCTTGATCTCAGTTTCTTAAACATAAACAATAGGGGTAGATTTAAAGTCTGTCTTCAATTTTACAAAAGAAAACAATCAATAGCATGTATTCATTCATTTATTCATGTACTCAATTATATTTATTATTCATTCATTGGCAAAGCCAATATAGGCACGGTAGATGATGGAAAAGACATGACTAAGTGGAAAAGACCCAGGGGTTTTTGTCAACCAACCCAGCTTGAATGCTTCTGGGGTGGGTCATATATTTTAAAATAGCTCCCTAAAAACTACTTGTTAAATATATTTTTATTTTTTTAATTTTTAATTTTTGTAAGTACATAGTAGGTGTACATATTTATGGGGTACATAAGATGTTTTGGTATAGACATGCCATGTGAAATAAGCACATCATGGAGAATGGGGTATCCATCCCTTGAGCATTTTTTTTAGTTACAAACAAGTTACATTCTTTAAGTTATTTTAAAATATACAATTAAGTTATTATTGACTATAGTCACCCTGTTGTGCTAGCAACATCTTTCTAATTCAATCTTTCTAATCACTTTTTGGTATCCATTAATTGTCTCCACCTCCCATATACTGGTCCTAGTTCTACCATGTGAAAACTATAGAGAAATTATAATTTCTTTCCACATTATAACTTCGTGAATACTTGTCTGAAATCCCTGCTTATCTTTAAAAACTTAGTTGAGTATCGCCTCCTCTACGAAGCCTCTGTAAAGCCCCTCAGAGAGTTGTTTCTTCTGCTGTTTTAGATCAAACTGGAGTCCTAAAACTTGCTGTGTGTTAGAACATCCTAGGGAACAATAAAAATAAAGATTCTGGAGCTGCACTCCAGTATATAAATAAAGCTCCTCAGACAGTCCTGAGACAGTTGGTTTGCAAGCTATCATTTGTTGACTACTGCACAGAGGAGATAAACTTGCATTTATTCAGCAGTTACTAGGTGCTTTAGTGTTTTCTTGTTTAGTTATCACATCCACACATTTTTATTTTGCCTTAAGTATCTTCATTACCACTTACTGAATTATAATTTAATTACATTACCTATTTATATTCCCCATCATACTGAAAAGTATTAATTTATTTTTGATGTTTCTAAGGCCTTACCACAATGCATGGCACACAATAAGATCTCCATCAATGATTGTACAATGAATGAGTGAATGAAAAATAAAATTAAATAATAAAATAAAATAGCTTAAGTGTCAGGGAAAAGCTTAACATTTGTACCACAGTGAGGTAGGAAAATTAAACTAAGCTTTTTAGAAAAGCTCTAGGGTATGTCTTCATCACTGCATCTAGGTTTGTGGGCAAGAGGAATTGGAGCATCACCCTGGGAGCTGAATCATTTGGCTAAGAGTCGTAGCGTGGTCACCAAATAATTGCTGAAGCCCAAAGTCCTCATATGTGAAGAGAAAGGATTGGCCTATAGAATCTTATAATTTGTTGGCTTCCTTCCAGTGCCACAATTTACTTAGAGTCCCTAATGTTAGCCTCTGGACCAGGCTAAAGAGGAGGATGATTTATATCTATATATCTATAGCATCTGTATCTATCTATCTATCTATCTCTCTATAGATATCTATCTATCTAGCTATATATATATATATATAATCTATCTATCTATCTATCTATCTATCTATCTATCTATCTATCTATCTATCTATCATCAGCTATATATCTATCTCCCGGTCTAGAGATAGAGGCTCTTGGTGGGGAATTAGTTAATTAGTAAGGTATTGGCCAATGTGTCCAATGGGCTCATACCATAGCTGGAGAAGTGAAGGGTATTCAAAAACTCTTCTTTCTTCTCTTATTCAAGTAGAAGAAGTAGGAAGAAAGAAGTGGATTGGTCAACTGAATTAGAGCTTTCTGAGATCTTTCAAGTTCTTTAGTTGACCAATCCACTCTTTTTTTTTTTTTGAAATAGGATCTCACTCTGTTGCCCAGGCTGGAGTACAGTGGTGTGATCATGGCTTCTCTGTAACCTTGAACTCTTGGGCTCAAGTGATCCTCCTGCCTTAGCCTCCCAAGTAGCTACCATGTCCGGCTAATTTTAATTTTTTTTTTGTGTAGAAATGGGATCTCTGTATCTTGCCCAGGCTGATCTCAAACTCCTGGCCTCAAGTGATCCTCCCAACTTAGCCTCCAAAGCACTGGGATTACAGGCTAGATCTTCTTTATCATCTGTCAGCTATCAGTTCAATAAATATTCACCAAAGTAATTTTATTGAAGGGACATTGAGGCCCTTAATTTCTAAGACTTGTTTTGAACAGTTTGAAACAGTTACCACCTAATGACTCTGCTATTTTCCCAGAGCCCTGAGTGGCTGTTTAACATTCAAGCCATGTAGAATCAGTGAGAGCTCCCAACAGAAAAGGGAATTAACTGTTTGGTGTGTTTTAATAAATGAGTGAGCAAAGATCATGTGAATCGATTATCAGTTTGGCTAACTTTCTTGCAGGGCTTGTGTGGAAGAATTAAATGCAAACAGACTGCATGTTTACCCAAGAAGACTGCACCTTGAAGTGGACATTAGGATTCTCAAATGCAGTTTTTGTAATGCACTGGTACCTTTTCTCCTCCTTTTCTTACTTTTGTCAAGACTATGTGTTGGAAATGAAGGTGAAAATCACAGAATAGAATAGAATAGAATAGAATAGAATAGAATAGAATAGAATAGAATAGAATAGAACAGAAGAATAGAATAGAATAGAATCAGACATAGCACACCGAGGACCTATTCCTTTAATAAGTACATTTGAGACCATTACAGTATCTTTCTGTTGGTCCAAAGGCCACTACTATAGCCTCAGTTTCCAAGGACACTTGAGTGAAAAAGATATGGCACCAAAAAGCTAAAGTTGCCTTGTTTTACCTCTAGGGTGTTCACTGTTTGAGAATAACTAGAAAAGGGGATGTAAAATAAGCTTGGATTCTGGTTCTTCCCCCTTTCTTCCTCTTCTACCTTCCTTATCCTCATTTTTTTGCTTTCTGACAGGAAGCACAACTATGTATAGGTTCACGGCCAATAAGCATTGTTTCTTCAAGAAAACAGTGTTGGGAGAGAGGCCCCTGGATCTGTGAAAGGACACAAACCCCTGGCCAGCTACATTTCCAGAACCAACATCTTCCTCTGTTCCCCTTCTCTACCTTGGGGCATCTCCATGTTGGCACTCAACACAGATTTGTATTCTTATGTCTATTACTACTATTCTTTGACCACAGGATTGGGCATGTAATAGCAACTCAATTATTGCCATTGAATGACTGAATAAATAGCCTCTTATGAGCTTATGAGCTTGGTTCTGGAAATGTAGCTGGACAGGGGTTTCTGCCCTTCCTTTATCACAGGTTCATGCGTGTCTCTGCTAACCCCACCTTCTTAGAGAAACAATGCCTTTCAGCCATGAACCTATAGACAATTATGCATCCCTGTCAGAAAACAAAGAATGAGGATAAGGAAAATAGAAAAGGGAAAAAGAGGGAAGAACCAGAATTCAAGTTGATAATGAAAGTGATAAACATTTATTTATTTATTTATTCGAGATGGAGTCTCGCTCTGTCGCCCAGGCTAGAGTGCAGCGGCGCGATCTCGGCTCACTGCCAGCTCTGCCTCCTGGGTTCACACCAATCTCCTGCCTCAGCCTCCCGAGTAGCTGGGACTACAGGCACCCGTCACTATGCCCAGCTAATTTTTTGTATTTTTAGTAGAGACGGGGTTTCACCGTGTTAGCCAGGATGGTCTCAATCTCCTGACCTTGTGATCTGCCCACCTCAGCCTCCGAAAGTGCTGGGATTACAGGTGTGAGCCACCGTGCCCAGCCAACATTCATTTATTTTTAAAAATTTTTAACTGTTTCACATTTTCTGGTACTCAGAAATTTCTGGGCTTTGTTGTGAAGCACAGGCTTTCAACGGACTGTCCAGTTGAATTTTAAAAGTCCAAAGAACTAGTGGTTCATTTCGTTATGATTGAGTCAAATAAACTGGAAGGCTAGAAGCTTACTGGGCCCAAAGAGGACCAGCTGATCCTAATAAAAAGTAAGAATTGAAGTGCTGGGGATATGTCACATTCTTTATATCTTGAAGAAGTTAAGTACAGATAACCCAAACTCACAACGTCATAGTAAACAGTGGAGATGCTAGGCAGAGCTGGCTCTGGACAGTGGGAAGAGTTGAGGTTTGTCAGTCTCTGTCCTCTTGTCAGCATCCTCTGTGCTTCAGGTGACCGTTCCTCCAGGTCTCCAAGGTCATCACAATAATGCATAGGTGGCCCGAGGCTTCTGTTTCCCAGATCTTTCCCATCCTGCCTGTCAACATTTGTGTCTGTCTTTCTAGGCCCTGCTGAGTTGACCAATTTGCTTGTGTTTGATGAATGAAAATGTAGTAAGAATTGAAGGTTTGGTATTTCACTTCCTAGGTTTATTTGCATCTTAACTAGGTATGCATGGACTCTTAGTTTATCTCAAAACAAGTGTATCACTGATACTTGGATTTCCAACCAGGCAGGTAAGTGAGGTAGACAATTTTCCTCAGGTTTGCATTCCAAATGTCAGCCTTCAAATCATGTGACTCTCCCTTCTATAGACAGACATTTCTTTCTCTTCTCCCTCTTCTGCTGCTTCTTCTTTTCCTTCCACCTCCTCTTCAGCTTTCTCCTTGCATTCCTTTTTCTTCGAATTCTTCTTTTTAAAGATCTAAAGTAGAAGTAGACCCCAGAGTCAGAAATTGTATTCATTATAGGATTGTGGTTAAAGGAAAGCTTTCACAGTGTCTGTGACCTTCGAACTATGCTGGAAAATGGAAGGAGTCATGAGTCTCCTCATGGCAGAGGGAAACTGAGTCTGAGTGCCTTGAGATTTAGATTTGGCTCTTTCAAATCCCTACCGCCTTTGCACCTTAGTAAACTGAGCATGTCCCTGGAGTTCTGTGCTTCCTAACATGCAAAGTAATTATGTGGGGATTATGGGTCACTGTGCCTCTTCTCTGTGGAAGACAGAACCAGAATAGGGCTAAATGCAGCAACAGACATAAAGTTAGCACAAGAGAAGAACCTCATCATCAGTGAGATCTGAATGATTGTGAGTTGTAATAATGGCATAACCATTTTGGTAGCTATTTACAAACAGTCACCTTCATTTTTTATCATAAGTTACAATTGTGACAAGAAGGCAGGAGCCTTGGTTGGGCTTGAGAAACTTTAGAGGCTCAAGACATTCAAAGATGTTATTATTCTGCTAAACAATAAATGGCATACTCCAGATCTGTACTGTTCAGTATGGTAGCCACGAGCCACAGTGGTTGCTGAACATCTATCTGAAGTGTGGCTAGCTTAAATTGAAATGTACTGTAAGTGTAAAATATATACTGGGTTTTGAAGGCTTTGTACAAAAAAAAAAAAAGAAAATTTCAAGCACATTGGTATTTTATATGGATCATATTAGTATGTAACGTATAATATCTTTGATATATTGGGTTAAAGTATATTATTAAAATTATATTTAGTTGTTTCTTTTTGATTCTTAAAAGTGTGGTCACTAGAAAAGTTAGAAAGGCATCTATGGCTTGCATTTGTGACTGGTGTTATATTTCTATCAGACAGTAGTGGTGTGGATCATATGAATTTTCAGTATACACATTTCTTTTAAATATTGAAAAGATATTAAGTCACATATTATATTCATTCATTTTATTAGATGAGTTTCACCAGTGGCTCTTAGGTTTGCCTTATCAGTACAAGGGCTGTGGTGGCAACACCTCTTGGGTGTCACTTCT
Organism: Homo sapiens; assembly: GCF_000001405.40. NCBI lineage: Eukaryota > Metazoa > Chordata > Mammalia > Primates > Hominidae > Homo > Homo sapiens. The sequence goes on along the minus strand of NC_000003.12, from coordinate 118,644,858 downwards.
TGGAAACAACACCTTTTGGGTGTGCATTTTGGGCGTATGCTCAGGAGCATCTGATGGGGCTCTCTCATCTAGGGAGAAGCAAGTAAATGTTAAAAGACAAGTTTTTGCCTGTGGATAAAATATCTTCTTTCTTTTTGAGGACAACATCTTATTCTGTATACTATGAAAAAAATTATATCCTTAAGGAAAATGACAGGAGTTCTTTAGATTGCCAGTTATAAATTGGAGAGTCTTGTCTTGAGACAATTCAGATCCTCATTTCTATTCAGGATTTCTTTTCTGCTGTAGATCATTTGATTTGGTTTGGATCTGTGTCCCCACCCAAATCTCATGTTGAAATATAATTCCCAATGCTGAAGGTGGGGCCTGGTGGGAGGTGATTGAATCATGAGGGCGATTTCTAATGGTTTAGCACCATCCCCCATTGCTGTTCTCATAATAGAGTTCTCATGAGATCTTCTTGTTTAAAAGTGTGTAGCACCTCCCAACCCCTCTCTTCCTCCTGCTCCTGGCCATGTGAAGTGCCAGCTCTCCCTTCGCCTTCTGCCATGAGTGTGAGTTTCCTGAGACTTCCCTAGAAGCCCAAGAGATGCTCCATGCTTCCTCTACAGCCCACAGAACTGCGAGCTAATTAAACCTCTTTTCTTTATAAATTACCCATCTCACGTATTTCTTCATAGCAGTACAAGAACAGACTAATACATCATTCAGATTATTTTACTTGCCTAGATAGCCAATTGGGCTACAAAAGCCATGGCATAATCTTTGTATATTCCTTAAGATTGGATATGGCTGTGACAATACAATTCAACAAATAGGGGCTTTAAAAAGATAGAAGTTTACTTCTCCTCTATATAAAGCAGGGCTGTACAGAGTCCTGAGGTAGTATAGTGGCTTTGTTCCACCGTGTCTCAGGGACCTGGGCTCCTTCAGGCTCCATACTCTGTCAATCCAAGTTGTGGCTCTCTCTCTCTTTTCTAATCCAAGATGACATCTTCTACATTGCAGTAGGTGGGGAAAAGAAAGGAACAAAAGAAGAGGGGCAACATTTGTACAATGGCTGTTTCTTAAAGAGTTAGAAAAACTGCCACATGACAATTGCGTATAAATCTTATTGGCCAGACTTTAGAGTGAGTGGTCATGTGCCTAGCTAAAAATTCTGTGACTATACAAGAAAGATGGAATAGATATTGTGGGACAATAGTCTTTGTCCATTGCATTTTTACACATTGTGGGCATTACTGTATGAATTATGTTATTTAGAGCTCTGCAACATAGTTACTTCATATAGCTTTGTGTAGAAAAGCTGGAATGCCCGCTTTATGTTTCTACTCTGGTTTATGCTCTTCACAGGAGAGTATTTGGCCCTGATCCTTAAGCAAAGACAAGTTATTTCTGGAGAATAGCTGTCATATGTAATATGATATAATGATAACAATACTTTAAATTTGGGAAGGGATGAAGCCATTAACCTGTTAACCTGAGTTTGTGCACTCTGGACACCAGAATCTTGACTCTAATAGTCAGGTAGGGTCTGCCTGATCTCTATTAATATTTAGAGGGGGCCTATTACCTTTGGAATTAATGAATATGACAAAAGGATTTTCTAAGTATGCCTGAACTCACCCTTTAGAATAAGGAATAAATGTAGCTGGTAAAATTACTGGTTTAAGCCTAGGTCAGGCAAGCTTAGGCACATCTTTTTGAATGATGAGACTGGCATGCCATATGTCTTCTGTAGGCATGGAGGTCTGAGGGTCTGAGAAAGGGGCACTGAATATGTATGTATCCATCCCTGCTGTCAGCACTTCGCCACATGTTCGCTGGCCAGGGGCTTTGTGCTGCTGCCAGGAAGGAGTTCCGTATTAGAAGCCACCAAGGTTTCAGAGGAACCTTATATTTTTCTTTTATTTGATTTCCTGGAGCAATTGCTTTTCTGTATACATCTGGTGCTATAATCAATTTCCTATAATTTCATAAACATCTCCAAAATTTGAACTTTCTTTTCAATGGGAGTAACTCGGGAGTTTCTTTCTACAGCTTCTTCAAAAGGACTCTAAACTTTTTTACTGAACACTTTGTTAAAGGACCAGCTTTTACTTTCCCACTTGGCAAGATGATTTTCTTTTATAAATTATTGCATTAAAGCTTTGAAGAAAAAACATTTGTTTAATGTTATATAAGGTATATTTATAGCTTCTTTAAAAGGTCCCCAATTTAACAAATTTGTGTGACTTCACAAGCTTTACACATATTTTCTCAGGTACTTCTCATAATACATGTTAAGAAAATGAGTGGGTTTTGAGTCAAACTAATTTTGGTTTGAATGCTACCTATTTTTGTTAGCTTTGCCACAATTACTAGCTGTGTGTCCTTGGTCAAGTCACTTAACTGTTCTGAGTCTAAGCTGTAAAATCACTTTCCTAAGCTTTATCACACGGGGTTATTGTGAAGATGGAAATATCTATGTAAAGCCCTTAATGTAATGTCCTATATTTAAAAGAACTTCAATAATCTCTATTGTTATCATTTTAGACATCAGATCCTAGTCTACATAACATTGCAGATTTTTCCAGTTTGCACACTCTCAGGTTCCAAAGGGATATTATTTATTGTGAGTTAAAAGCCTTTCCTTTCTTTCCTGCTTTTTTCTATTCTTTATTACTTTCTCCTTAATTTCTTTTCTCCCCTTCCCTTTCTTCCTTTTATCCCCCAAATATCCCATTTCCTGTGATCTCATTCCTAGGGTAAAATATTTCTATTAATCTTGCCTCAGTAGTTCAGTATTTTCCTTATCATCATATCCCTTTGGTGATTACAGGGTAGGACTCCATAACCGGATTTCAAATATTAAGAATGTCGAATCATCATTTCATTTCCAGTCAGCTGTAATGGTCAGTTTACATTTTATAACTTCATAGTGTAGGGGTTAACCTGAGTGAAGCCAGGCTAGGGTTTTCTCCTGCTGTTGAGAAGATCAGATCCTGAGCCTCTTGCACTCTCCTGCTTCTTGTTTCTTTGCCTTGGGGGTGGGGAAAGCAACTGGCAAGTCAAGGCAATGGATGGAGCAGGGTAGGTGTAAAGAGCGAGAGCCCAGGCTCTGCTGAGTCCTGTTGCTAGGCAACCGCATGCAGGAAGCAGACACATGCATATGCCTGCTAGCATCCTGTTGTCTTAGCAACAGAACATTTGGTTGAAGGGCTCGGGGAGGAGGGGGACTGGGTTCAAAATACTCAAAGTTCCCAGCATCTTAGGATATCCCTTCGCCTGAACCCCCATGTCTTTGTTGTCTTAATTTTCCCACATTCACTGAAGCAGAAGGTTCCATCCTTTTTAAAAATTTAGTTAATCACCCAAAATTTGTATGAGGGCTTTCCTCAGAGCTCTACATTACCCAAGTCACATCGCGGTTCATTAGAGCCCATCCACCTCCAAGTCCTCTGGTGCTCTGCGTGGCAGGGCCTATTCTATGGAATTTTAAAATGATCCCCTGCTCTAAGCACAGCCCTGTGGGACAGAAGTTAAACGTTCACTTGTATGGAAATTTAAATTCTGGGGTTTTAGTATGTGAAATGATTCTAAGTCATTATCATCAGCTCCAAGGCTGTCACTTCTGAGCTTTTCAGTCAGTAACAAAGACGAAGGAAAATGAAAGAGAGCAGGATGGCCTCCTTTTTCTTACTGGTCTATACGTGATGTTCAGGAATTATGGCATTCTGTTCTATCTGTTTGCCTATCAGTCTTTCCCACTTGACCATTCTCCTCTAAGTGTTGGGGCTATGTCTTTTTCATCTCTGGATTCTTCTTTTCTGCCACAGTTCCTGGCACATAGTAGGTGAATTTATTTAATAGATGACCTGGGAACCCATACAATGTAAAAATACTTCAAAACTATGCAGTGTGGTGCATAAATATTAGTTACTATTTCTGCATGCCTGGCTCTAATATTGTGCCCTTTGATCACTAGATTAGACTTTCTTATTCCTGAGACCACCTCCTGCCTTTGGACCCCAAGGTTAATTACTAAATCCCTGTCTTGTTTTCCAAAATCTTATGCCCTGTTTTGAATACCTGTAGTGCCTAATTTCTTATGGTTGAAACCTTAGTTTTTTGTTTTTTTTTTCTGTATTCCCCAGAGACCTTATAAACCAGCCTTACAGCTGAGGTGCTGTCTCTAGCCTTCAGATTTTCCCAATACTTCTTATTAGCTACTCTGCATTTTGCTTTATTCTAAAACCTCCGCCATTTTGTTCCACCATTCCACTGGTATATCTGTAATCACAGGATCTCTCTCAGGTGATTTGCTTGTCTTGGCTCCCACCTGTTGTCTATTACTGCATCTTCCATGAATGCTTACTACCCACCTGGGGAAGCACTTAATTTTAGATCTTTCTTCACTGCAGCTAATTCTTCTATTTTGGGATGTGTCTGGTGTGATCAGAGTACTTTCTAATCACCTTCTCTAATATGATCACAGTAAACTTGGCCCTGAAGCCTGCCTGTTATCCCATGTTATTTCTATTGCCCTTCACAGGGGATTGCACACTCACTATGGAAAAAAAAAAAACCCCACCAAACTGTCCTACAAAATGATCTAATTAAGAAATTAACTATTTACTGACTTGTGCTATCATTTAATTTTTAATAGGAAACATATATGCACTGAAGTAGGAAAAAAACAAAAATTTTAAAACCCTATTCAATGTCCAGTGTAGGGTTAAGCACACAGTATCCAATTAGAAAATGTTTAAAATTAAATTGAATTCGGTTTTAATATTTACGAGGGAGTTACAACTTTCTTTTGCTAAGCCTTTGAATTTCTTCCAATGAAGAAGTTACCATAATGTGACCCAGTGTCTCAACGAAATTAGTAGGATCTGAAATAGCAGAGGAGAGACCAGTTCTCTTTAAGCGGTGTGTTGACTTTACACCAGCTTTACATTTGATTCTATATGCCCTGAATTGGGGGGCATCTTCAATGTATTTGGAATTTTTAAATCTGGCAGGCCAGAAATCCAATGGCCCATTTAAGGAAAATTGTAACCTAGAAAACTGAAATTCGTATAAACCATAATCAAGCCAAATAACAGAGATCTTCTGATTCAACCTTTAAAAGATATCCCTATCTTATCTATCTATCTATCATCTATCCAGTGGTAAGAAATTTCTTCACTGGAGTCAATAAAAAAAAAAAGACACACTATGTGCCAGCATGCCATTGACCCACTGATAACCGAAGTCTCTAAGAGAGGGAGACAAAGCCTGCCACAGCCTCTGCCAGGAAATCCTATTGCTCACTTCTGCACTTCCTTCTCTCTTCTCATTATTCCACTGGGATAGATCCTCACTGCAGGTTTTCGTAATCCTCCTTCTAGAGATTCAGCAGCTATGCCCCCTCCCACCAACCTTGTTTGTAGCACATATTAGCTCAGAGGTAAGTGCAAAGTTTGCATCTTATACCTAATCACATCCCCCAAAGGTGGCAAGAGGTGGGGCAATGCAGAGTCAGAGCAGGAGAGACATCAATGCTGCCTATGTAAGGATTGGTCTGGGGACAATCAGAGGGAGGGAGGTTTTTCTCCCTTAACATTGTCTAGAGGACTTTATTTTGCAGAAATTCATTTGAAAGAAGGAGGTAGAACAGCTCTGATATTGCTTGTCATGAACCTCAATCTATAGAAACATAACAAAGGCTCTTCTCATCTGGATGCTCAGGTACATACAAAGGTGGTGATTCCAAAGAATTAGAGCAAACAAGCTGGAGCTGGAATCTGTCCTGTTATAAAAAATCTGTTCCGCCCAATCACGAGAATGTATGGGTCAAGGTTACAGCCAATGCCTGCAAATCACCACCGTGTGTTTCATTGAAGAAAGTGCCCTGCTCAACCTCAAATTCTTATCTTTCAAATGATGAAGAAAATGTCACCTTATGGACATCATCAAAATCTTCTTTCTGTAATTGAAATGGAATTAAAAGTGATTTCCTTGGTTTACAGCAATAGCTATAAAATAAACCAAGCTGTCTCTTTGTTTATTCTTCAGAAAAGTGAAACACTTGAGTTACAAGGAATAATCAGAGACTAATGCCAAGACATCCCTGAGAGTCCTCCAGAATGATGGAGAACCACATTCCATCTCTCTAAATTGGGAGCATATTGTAGCTTTGCAGCATAGCAATAGGAGGTATCTTTCTGGGTCATGGCTTGATGTTGCAGAAGTGGCAGTGGAGCCTCCAAAATCCCTGCCTTCCTCATCCCTTCCAGCTCCACAGGGCTCTGGAGAGGCAGACAAGGTTCTGCAATGCTCACCTCAAAAACAGTGCTGTAGGAAGCACTTGGCGGGGTACTGCAGTCATAAACACTCCGGGATTCCAAGATCCTGACAGATGCCTATGTCACCAAAACTCAAATTTTATACTTGGCTTCATGTGATACTCTTTTTTATGATGCATATATGATATGGAACAACTGCTGCTATGGAATCACCCAGAATAAAAGTGACCCTCTTGGAAATGCCTCCATGTATGTGTGAGTGAGTGAGTGACAAGCTGTGACTTGTACTGTCTACTCTGTGTAGCACCTGGGAAATGTGTCCACCTTGCTCCTTGTCACAGTCTGACTGTGGCTACACTACGCGTCGGTGATCACTGTCCATCGGGCAGAAACTCTCTCCTGATTCTTGCATGAAAAAAACACTAGTTCATTCATCACTCATCAATCATTTTCTTCTGTGACTCATCATCTGGAAGTTTCATTCCTCAGTCCCCCTTTCTGAGGCTGGTAAATAGCATGTCATTCCAGCAAAAGGCGGAGGGGGCGGCAGCCCATCTGGACCTTCAAGTTTGATTTCATATTTATGAAACAGCTTAAATGTCAGTTTGAGTGCAAAACGACACCTTCTCCAGCTTCTCACATTAGTGCCTCTGGCTGCTTGGCTGCTGCTGAACGTTTCTTTCTTTCTTTTTTTTTTTAAAGGCAACTCGTGACTTCCCTGCTTGGCTCCTTTAAGGCAGGAATGGAAAGAAGAGGCATGAATGGATGGATGGATGGATGGATGGATGGATGGATGGACGGATGGACGGTCAGATGGATGGATGCAAAGATAGATGGATGAGACCACAATTAAATACTCTCACCAGAGAGGAGAAAGAAAGAAATTGGAGAAAATGAAACAAAAATCAAATAGAAGAAATATTTTGGTTTTATAGGGAGTTTTGATCAATTGAGAGGATCTTGAGACATTCTTGTGTTATTTGCCCTCTATGTTTTAGGTTGAAAAAGTAAACATAAAAATTTGGAAAATAAAGATTTCAAGAGATAAGTCATCTGTGATTTCACCACTCTAACAGTTGGTATGACCATTTAGATACGTTTCCTCCAACTCATTTTTAATGCACATGTAGTTTCTAAACTTCAAAATAAAATGTGTATATGTGGAACCTGGGACTCTATAACAGCTCAGGATTTTAGGAAAATCTTATTTTGGACCCAAGGAAGACTGCCTTCCCTGGGAAAAATGCAAGTAAGGTAACCAGTGAATGCCTTCAAGGCAGTTTCTATATGCCTCCTGGGACTTTAAGACAGCCTCGTTAATGAGGAGTTTTCCTGTTGCTGGAAGGCTGGGGAATTTTTGCAACATAGAAAATGACCTTGTGATGATGCATGTGGATTTGCTTGTTCAGGTGCACACCTCTTACATGGGGTTTTTGTGTCCCCTGAACTCACTGATAGAAAGGGAGTAAGAGGGCTCACCTCACTGCCGTTAGCCTCAGTAGCTCTATCAGGATGAACGAACTGCCTTTCTTCAGCCATCCACTTGGGGGAAGCCTCAACAGGGAAGAGAAGTACTCCTGTCTTTTCCTAGACACATGCACCTTGAGAAATAGAAAAAGGGTTAGCTGCCTTTATGGGAGATTTTAATAACTTCCTAATGGAAGGGAGACTAGAGCAACAAAGTTAAGGAGCAAGTGGAGCACAGGGAAGGCAGTGGGTCTGGCGGCGGTGATATGAGTGACTAGAAGAATACAGGGACCCTTCTGGTAGTAGAGAAAACACAGCCTTGGTCAAAGGGAGTGCAGCCTTACTGAACCCTCTCCCCTTTGTAGTGATGGCTTCTGGAAGAGCCAGACAAGAGGTACTAGCTCTGAGAGGTAGTGGGAGGCCTCTCCCTGCAGGGCTGCCCTACTGGGAGTCAGAGGTCCGTGCTGTCTTGCCAGCTCCATTGTACCAGACACAGCCATAGCAGGTAGGAATAGTGCCAGGGGTGCAGGCAGATCCAGTGGTAGGCACTGAGTCACAAATCGTTGATGAAACAGTACTAAATTTTGGTCTTCAGAGGTTTTTTGTTTAGAGGCATTTGGATGGGAAGGAAGGAGACACTTCACCACGTTTAGACATAGAGCTGACTTTGTCTTTACTAGAAATAAGTCACCATTGTCCTGCAGGGACAAGGTGAGTGGGAAGGAAGGAAACTTCGTCTCAGCTCATGGGCTGGTGGTAAGATCCTTCAATACCAGAACTTTTAGAACTGTTCATATGTACCTTTAGATTGGGGTTCCAAACTAGTGAAGTAACTAACTAGAGGAAAAATGCTTTTCTTTATAATCTCTGTTTATCCTTCTATGTTTCGTTTTACCCTTTTACTTAGATTTGAAGTTAAGTACTGTTTTTTCTCATTAAAATTATATTTAAACATTTACCCAATTGCCACCTAGTCTTAGTCATTAATTTTAATGGCTATTATTTTGAAAAAAAATTACTTTATGGATATGCCTAGTTTTACTTAATTACTTCCCAATTGTGGGCCACTTGGGTTGCTTCTAATTTTTGCTATTAAAAATTATGCTATGGTGAATATTTCATAGTTTATCCTACTCTGCCACCACCACATTTTGAATTTTTTCTTTGGGCTGTATTCCCAGAAATTAAATATTTGGGTCAAAGGGTATGAATGAACGTTCTTGGTCTCTTGCTATATATAAGATGAAGGGCCACACACACACACACACACACACACAAATGAGCCCAGGAAGAAAACTGGCTCCTGGAAGTTTTGTGGTGGAAAGAAAAAAAGAGCATTATTAGAGGCAGAATGTTTGCTTGGTAAAGGTCTGCACAAAGGGAGAGAGAGAGAAAGAGAAAGTGCACCTGGCTTATAAAACCCAAGGACAAGCAGAAAGTAGAGTGTAGCAGTTTCGATGAATGAGAGACAGCCATGCACTTCTGCTGTTCTGCACTGAGACAGAGAGGGATCCAGTCCCCAGGAGCAGGAAGCACTGAGGCAGGAGTCGTGAAGGAAAAATAAATATAAAACTAAGGGAAATCGGCTGGGTGCGGTGGCTCATGCCTGTAATCCCAGCACTTTGGGAGGCAGAGGAGGGCAGATCATGAGGTCAGGAGATCGAGACCATCCTGGCTAACACAGTGAAACCCTGTCTCTACTAAAAAAATACAAAAAAATTAGCTGGGCGTGGTGGTGGGCGCCTGTAGTCCCAGCTACTTGGGAGGCTGAGGCAGGAGAATGGCGTGAACCTAGGAGGCGGAGCTTGCAGTGATCCAAGATCGTGCCACTGCACTCCAGCCGGGTCGACAGAGCGAGACTCCGTCTCAAAAAAAAAAAAAAAAAAAAAAAAAAAAAAAAAAAAAACTAAAGGAAATCAGTAAATCCAGGGAGGGTCAGCTTTCAGGAGTAATTCAGAGACTCCTGTATTTTGATTGATTTGTAAGGGCATGAATGGACAACTTATTTATATATCATTTTTTTCTGATTATAAAAATAAAATCTGTTCTGCAGAAAACTTAGAAAACATAGAAAAATGTAAGCAAGAAAATAGAAATATCACAATTGTTGTGCCAGAAATAACTGCTGTTAAGAATTTTACTTATTTCTTTCTGATCTATGTGCACACACATATACACACAACACAAACACACAAATGGAATTATACTGTATATAGAGTGTTGTGGATTATTATAACATAGATATAGTAGAATGTATTTAAACTTCTCATATTGTTGGGATTTATGTTATTTTTATAAATTATACCTAGCAATAAGAATATGCTTTTACATTTAAAAAATTTTTTTTTTTAAAATTTGTTTAGACCACATTCCTTGATTTTAAATGATTGGGTCAAAGGATAAGGGCAACTTTAAAGCTCTGTCACATTTAGGCCGATAGTAGTATGAGTACAGGGGTGGGTATTATCTCACTCTTGCCAACAAAAGCTTTTGTTTTGTTTTTAAATCTTTGACAGGGGCTTCCTTTGAAGGCAGGGGATACCAATTTCCTCCTCACCCTCTACTTCTCTCCCCTGGCCTTGATGCTGAAATTAATTTTTTTTTCAGGTAACAAAAAAGAACCTTCAAGGATATCCAGGGCTAGAAAAAAAGCTAGCTATAGCACAAATATGTGCTAGAATAGGACTGAAGAGCAGTGGATTATGAAGCTCGGAGGAGGTTGGTTTTGTCAGTACCTTGAATTATTCAAGAGCATCAAGTGACAAAGAAAAGAAGCTATCAAGACTTCTTGATCTTGTTATATTATGAGAAAGAGAGAGAGTCAACTTTGGTCTAGAAAAGGAGTGTGCCTCAAATTCATTTTGGAAATGGATGGAATATAAAACAAAAAATATCAATAATTATCCTTGTATTTTATGCAAACTCAAAATCCTCTGGCTAACTAGCATTTTTATTAGGAGGCCCAGATATTGGAAAATTTAACCATCATAATCTACCATGGCAATTATATTTAGGTTTATATATTAGGTTTATAACACTAGTCAGCGTTATGCCTTCTATTTTCATTTTATAATTTTTGTTTATAAGTCTAATATCAAGGGAGTGCTTTTTTCTGAAATTGGCTGACTTTTTCATATACAGATAGGTTATTTTATTCATATAGTCTTGTTTGAGAAATAGTTCTCTAGAACTTCGATGTAGAACACACACACACACACACACACACACACACACACACTCTCTCTCTCTCTCTCTCTCTCTCTCTCTCTCTCACACACACTTTCTCAAAGCAGCCAAGCATGACAGAACTGGGGTTACTAATATGGGTCTCTTCTCACTTTTCTTAATTGTTCTCAATCACTCTAGTTTCATCTCTAGACTGAATATAATTTTTATTTTATATTTATGCGATCTAATCTTACAATCACGCTTCTCTTTGGACTACCACATGGTTTTGTGTCTTCCAGCTAAATCTGGCTTTTTTCAGCTGCCTTAGGACCAGGATAGTAAGCCATTCAGACGTGAGTTATCAGCTAAGTTGCTGATAACTGTTCTTCCTGTCCTGTGGTAAAGGCATGACAGATATTCAGAGCAGGGACAGCGCAAAGTGAGGCTTCCCACCCTGTTAAAAAATATCCCCTCTTATATTCCACTAATGACAGATTCATTTAAGTTCATGGTTCTTAATCTTGATTAGTTGGCAAAACACCTGGAGGAAGTAGTGTTCTCAGAAGAACTCCATGAAATATTGATATACTTAATTCCATTTGCAAACTAAGGACACTTAACCAGCAGAAAATACAACTGTATCATAAACTGCAATATGAAATCACTTCCATAATCACACAGGCCAAGGAACTAAGGATGATTCTAAGTTTTTCTGTTAATATTAACATAGTACTTAATAATTTGTCCTGTCATTTGCTAAGACTCACCAACAGCAAAACTGTAGCAGTAAAATAAATTTAAGAAAACTGTTTTTCCATGGAACAAACAAATCGAGAAAATTCACTTCATTGAAATCTTTTTTTTTCATTGTGAATTCAGATATAAGCAGCTACCATTATTTGCTTTCAGCAACAAAATACCTCAGATTAGCATTGCTTGAGAACTACTAACTTGTTCTATTACCCTCTTCTTTTAAAATGGGAACATCCCCTTGGAGGTTAAGCTGGGCTCCAGTAACATCTTAGTGTGAATTACTTTAATCAGATAATCACCTAATGTCTGTTATCTATTTACTTTTCTTTAATGTACAATTGTGGTTTTCAAACTTACACATTTTAGCTGCAGGTTCCTTAGCTTCAAATATATAACTGCTTTTCCAATCATTCAGAAAACCCCAAGTTCATCTCAGAGACTTTCTCTACTTCACCTCCTACACCTTTATTTATTTAAATTAGTATTTCATGCCTTATAACAAATTATTCCAACACTTGGTAGTTTATAATGACAACAGTCATTTATTTTTCTCATAAACCTAAAATTTGAGCAGGGCTTGGAAGGAAAGACATACCTCTGCTCCATGTGGAGTCAGCTGTGGCAGCTCAACTAAGGGCTGGAATATCCACTTTGGACCTGATTCACTCACATAGCTGGTGAGCCAGTGAAGGCTGTTGGCTGTGAGCAGTGCTGTGCTGGATCTGGCATATATTGATTCACAAAGCCGACTGTGTGCATCTATTTCTCAAATTCATTTCCAGTGGTATCATGTTTGTAGTTTGAAATTAGTCACGGTGGAGGTATTTATTGATTTAGTTATTTATTGAGACGGAGTCTTGCTCTGTCACCCAGGCTGGAGTGCAGTGGTGCGATCTTGGCTCACTGCAACCTCCGCCTCCCGGGTTCATGCCATTCTCCTGCCTCAGCCTCCTGAGTAGCTGGGACTACAGGTGGCCGCCACCACGCCTGGCTAATTTTTGTATTTTTAGTAAAGATGGAGTTTCACCATATTGGCCAGGCTGGTCTCGAACTCCTGACCTTGTGATCCATCCTCAGCCTCCCAAAGTGCTGGGATTGCAGGTGTGAGCCACTGCGCCCGGCCTGAGGTATTTGTTTACACTATGGGAATTGGCAAATGCTACCAATCAAGAGTTTCCAGCCCCACTCTACCTCCTAACACACACAATCTCACCGACAAGAGTTGGTGGTTCAACATTTAATAGCATATCACTAGTGGGATCTTGGCTAGGGTTGAGAGCCAGGGCCTCAGAATTGCTCCTTGTCTCTTTCTTTTCTTTTTTCATTTTTTTCATGGGGTTTTACCATGTTGGCCAGGCTAGTCTTGAACTCCTGACCTCAAGTAATCCACCCACCTTGGCCTCCCAAATTTTTGAGATTACAGGCGTGAACCTCCGCATCCAGCCCTTCTGGGCCTTTCTATGTGGCCTCTCCACAGCAAGATGACTGGGTTCCAAGGACGAGCAACCTTGACAGAGGGCTCATTGGCCAGAAGCTGTATCATCTTGTATGGCCCAGTCTCAGAAGTCATAGCGTGTCCTGTATGTTGTACTCTATTAGTTCAGATAGTCACAGACGTTTCCAGGTTCAAGGAAGAGGACATAAACTCTACCTCTTGATGGGAGAATGGTAAATTATGGATAGGCATGTGAAACCAAAAATTTTGTGTGGCCATTTTTGGAAAATACATACGATCTGCTACAGCATTTTATCCAATCAGTCAGGCATGAGTTTTTTTGCTCAACATGCTTTAGAAATCTATAAGGATAATTTGTGTAGGTGAAGAAAGGTCATGGGATTATAAAAATTGTCATGAGCTGTATGAGTAAAGTGGAAGAGGTGGCAAGGGACAAATACATTCACACGTGGGGGAAAGACTGCTCAGTTTGGAGTAATAAATTTGTCTTAGTAATTACAGAGTACTAAAGCTAGCTAGGTATATTATGGCAAAATTATAGATGACCCCTGTGTTTGTTTCCTATTACTGTGTAATAAGTTACTACAAACTCAGTGGTTTAAAACAACACAAATTTATTATCTCATGGTTTCTGTAGGTAAAGGTCCAGCATGTTTTAACTGGGTCCTCTGTTGAGGCTGTCTCAAGGGTGAAATCAAGGTCTTTATCTGGAGACAATGACCTGTTTCTAAGCTCCCTCCCACATTTGGCAGAATTGCTTTCGTTCTAGTTGTAGGGCTAAGGTTCCCATTGTCTTGCTAGCTGCTGGTTGGGGCCATTCTCAGCTCCTGAGGCTGCTCTGAGGTCCTTGCCATTTGTCCCTCTCCATCTCAGCAACAGGAAACTTCCCTCAAGTTGACACTCTCTGACCTCCCGTGCTGAGACCAGCTGAAGAGGCCTCCCTCTCTTTAAAGGCTCATGTGATTAGGTCAGGTCCACCAGGAAAATATCTTTTTTAAAGTTAATGGTGCCATCTAACATAACCCAGTCAAGGAGCAAAAATCCATCAAGTCCACAGTCCTGAAGATTATTCTGGGAGTGTGCATGGGAAACCTTGGGGGCCATTTTAGAATTCTGCCTACCCCAACCTGGAATGATACACTGAAGATCCTGCCTTCCTGAGGGGTTAAGGAAACTTGTTTGGCAGTGTGTTGCCCTGGTGACTTTTAGCGTGTCATTTAAATTATCCAAGGCTGTTTCTTCATTTGCAAAAAAAGAGATAATAACAATATTACTAATGTTTCTATCCTATAGGGTTGTCATGGAGCTCCAGTGAGTTAGTGAATGTAACAGGGTTTTGGAAAATGTAGTGTTTTATTGATTTTTGTGTTGAAGAAGCTCGACTTGTCAGAATCCTGTTCTTCCATTCAGTCTCAGTTCAAATTCTATGTACTCCAGTTTTCTTCATCTTTTTAGAAATCCCACCATTCCTTGATCTCACCTAACATTTTATCTGGCAGTCTTTTCTTACGCTGTTTTTGTGTATTTTTCAATTAGTGTAGACATATTTTCTTTTTTGGCCCATGAGTTCACTGGGGGCCTTTGCATTACTCACAGAACATGTGAAAAGCCTAGCATAATGCCTACATAATGACAGGGGCTCTTCAAATATTAGACTGAAGAATGAATGAAGATGAAAGTGCTGGGATAGCAAATAGCTGCAACATGATCTTTGGCCTAACACATGGTTTCAGATTGCCACCAGAGTGGGAGCTCTGTGAAGGTAGCGCACATGCCTCTCTCTAGCCTTGGCACTATGTCTGTCTGTTGTAGCCTAATAAATAGGCAATAAATGAGTGAACAACTACTGGCTCTGTTATGGCTATAATGGAAAAAGGCTCTTTCTGATCAAATTCCACGGCCTTGTACTGTCATATCCTGTTCCCTCTCACCGATGTAAATAGGAACTGAAACTCTTATATGAAAGATATAGTAGGAATTATAATCATAGCTCTAGTGGCTGACCACGCCTCCATATTTTGACCTCAAAAGATCAAAAAGCCTGGGTTCCAGTGACAATGCCATCAAACCCACAACTGTCCCCATTCCTGAATACCGACATGGTCTTTATTCACAGGAGCTCAGTCTTTCAGCAGGCAGCAACCTCAGACAGCTTTCCAGTAAGCTTCACTTCCCACAGTCTCAGGGCTAGCTTTTTGTCCCGGACAATCTGGAAAAAAATGCCACAAGGAGACAGTGTCAAAAAGGAAACTGAAAAATCACAGTCCTGCATTGTCTATAATAAGTGTAAATCCAGTAAAGGTGGCGGTGAAGTGATAAAAATAGCAGGGTTATTATGTTCATCTTTAATGCATTTAATATAACAATAGATTATTTCATTGTCATTAAATGAAGGGAAAGTAGGAGGATCTAATTCTATCCCTAGATTCCTTAATAAGTACTTCATTGTCAGTGAAATAATTTGCATTGTTCAATCCCCAAATAAGAGAAAAGAATATACAGTGGCATATACATTCACAGGGAATGGAGAACTGTCAGTGGACTTTAGGCCCCAGTGCATAGTTAAACTGCACACAGGAAGAAGGTTGGAGATGAACTGCTATTTGTTCTGAAATGAAGTGCTTCACTGTGGTGGAATCAGGGAGGTAGTGTTTTGGTGATATGGAGTTGACAAATGCTGCACTCTATCCACCTCCTCATACCCCCATGAACGTGTGATTTTGTGGCGGAATTTGGAGATGAGATTTTCTACTGTATAGGCTGCTTGTCAGGATGAATGAAGACCCTGTGTTAGCGAGACTGCATTAACTTCTTTGGCCTGTAGGAGGAGCGTTTGCTCTAGATGAACCACCTGCAGGCTCAAGGCAGGACCGCTTTCCCAGCTGAAGTCTGCTCTGGGCATGGCAGAGTGCAGTCCTGTAAAATCTGCGCTCAGGGAATGCCTAATCGAAGAGCCCCGACACAGATCTTCTCATGCTAGATCCACAAATCCTCAGTATGTGCTAATCAGCCATTAATGTTCTATTGATAGGCAGAGACAAAACAGACTCACAGGAATGGTTACATTGCTGCTCAAGTTTATAGCCTGAAATTTTTTTTTCCTTGCTTCATTTTCCCTTTTTCTTCCTTGAGGTCCTTAGAGATTATAACTTAAGGGGTTTAAGAAATCATCAGGGATCACGGGTTTGTTGAATGGTTGAAAGAAATAAATTATTTGAGATCCACGTAAATTTAATTTCTTATTTTTGAGAGATTGTACTTATCATGATTAAAAACATTATATTAGTTCTATGGGGCAGAATTCTGCACTGTCCAATATGGTAACTGCCAGCCACATGTGACTGTTTAAAGCTAACTTTAAACGAATCAAAATTAAAGAAAATTAAAAATTCCCTTTCTTGGTTACACTAGGCATATTTCAAGGGCCCAAAGGCTACATGTAACTAGTGGCTACCGTGTTGGA
Organism: Homo sapiens; assembly: GCF_000001405.40. NCBI lineage: Eukaryota > Metazoa > Chordata > Mammalia > Primates > Hominidae > Homo > Homo sapiens. The sequence goes on along the minus strand of NC_000003.12, from coordinate 118,628,279 downwards.
AAATGTGGATGGAGAACATTTCCATCATTACAGAAAGTATTATTGGACAGCACTGGGATAGATAAAAGAAAGTCAAGTATGGGCTGAAGAGAAAAGGAGGGAAATTTAATGTGGAGAGGTAAAGGTCCAGACAATGGTCTAGGTCAGCTGAGAGAGAAAAGTGAGAGAGACAGGGAATTTCTCAGTCAAATGGACACACACAGAGGGATAATAAAAGTCATATAGACTGGCATGACTACAGATTGCAGTACACAGAGACTAAGAAGGAGGCTTTCAGAAAGATGGTCAAATATATAGAGCACTATGATTCTATAGAAAACAGTTTTTAAAACCATGCTCCATTTTTTTGTTTGTTTCAGAGAGAGGCCTCCAGCCCAGGCAGGAGTGCAGTGGTGTGATCATAACTCACTGCAGCCTTGAACTCCTGGGCTCAAGAAATCCTCCCATATCAGCCTCCCGAGTAGCTGGGACTACAGGGACAAACCACCATGCCTGGCTAACTTTTAAATTTTTGATAGAGATGGGGTTTCACTATGTTGCTCAGGCTGGTCTCCAACTTCTGGCCTCAAGTAATCCTCTTACCTCAGCCTCTGAAAGCACTGGGATGAGCCACCATGCTCAGCCCCAGGCTGCATTTTTACAATTACAGCAAAGTATGTATTGGTAATATTACCTCTTGGTACTTTTCATGTTGTCAAGATGAAAATAAATTGAGAGTTTCTCTTGGCTCATAGACTAAAGATTATCTGTACCTAATCTATGCAATGCCAACTCAATTTGTTGGAAATTTTAAAGTCTTTAGATAGTTATTTTGTTCATACAGGATGAAACCATTAGTTTGACTTATGCCTGCTGAGTTAACAAATTATCTTTGTGCCATGTAAGTGCATTTGAAGAGTCAGAAGACTAGAAGTGACTAAGAGGACAGGTTTGAATATGAACTGTATTAGGTTAATATTTATCTTATATTGAAAAATAGTAGGAATTTGGATTTTATAGATCCACTTGATAATTCTAACATTGATTGCTCTGTCAAACTTTTTTCTTAGCTAATACTTGTTGTTGTTTTTGCAATACTGTATAACCATTCCTTTTGATCTATTGTTTGGTGTCTATTGAGAAAGAGAAAATTGTTTTTGCTATTGTAGTCTATATCATGTTTCTTTGAACTCTAAAGACCGCAGTGGGAATAATAACACTGAGGGTTGGGGTGTCCATCTAGCCCTTAGCTTTTCCTTGTAATCTTTGTTATACTTACTGAAGTCATATGACAGGTAAGGCCAGCAGACCTGAACGTTTTAACTTTTACTTCCTTTTTAATGCCCAGTCCACAATTTTATAGCACTAGCAATTTGATTTTATTATTTTTTTTCCTGGCATGATTAGGCACTGAATAATTGATTCATGATAACATACCCTCCACCCCCAATTCTGATAATGATAGTTAGAATGCAGTTTTATTAATTTACAGCTGGAGGAAAACCTGGCCTGAGACCATGAGCTTACTCAGAAAAATGCATGACAGTTCAGAAGTTTTCTTGGTGAATATAGAATCAGAGCTGATGTCCTCAAGGGACAATGCTGTCAAGCCTTGGTAGCTTGATGAATTGTCTCTCTCCTCCCGAGAGATGTTGCTGTCTGAAGAGCCAGAACATTTCCAGTCTGAGCACCCTCATGCCGGAGCAGAGCAGGAGAGAGACAAACCCCCGCTCCTCAGCTCTCCTCTCTGATGGCCATTGTCACTTGCCTTTGTTGTTGCATCTGTCCTTCCCTTTTTCATTTAGCATCCTTTTGTAACAGTTTACAGTTGACAAGTTTACAGATTACTTTTAATTAATTACAGTTTAGGTTGGCTATCTTCTAGTGACATTTAAGGAAACATTATAAACTCATTTGGCAGTACATCTCCAAATCAACTTGTAGAATACATTTTTTTCCTGGGGAAGTTTTTTTTTTGTTTTTGTTTTTGAGTTTTTTTTGACAGCTTTTTCATTCATTCACTTATTTTCTCATTTAGTATTTATTAATACCTACTCTTGCTAGACATCAAGAGAAGCTCTTAGATTATAAAGATGAAGACTCTTCCTGATTTTTCACTGCTCATACTCTGGTTTAGAAATCGACTCATAAGCAATTCCACTGTTAACAAGTTTTATAGTAGAGATAGGTACCAAATGTTTGGGGAACATGAGGGAGGAATTGGCTGAGTGTCTTGGGGAGTACATGCTTGTAAACTTCATTTGCTGTGAAATGTCTTCTTTGATCTTGTGTTTATTCCTCTATTTTGGGACTAACAACAATGAAAGTGATATTGTATCTTGAGCACTTATCACATGATTGATGCTATCTCTAGCAATAAATAAATGCTATCTAATTTAATCTTCATAATAGCTCCCTGGAAGAAGATATGATATCTATTTTATGGAGGAGAAAACCAGTATTCAGACTGGATAGGTACTTGCCCATGGTCACCCAGCTAGAAATGCGTAGAGTGGGGCTTGTATCCTGATTCTGATGATGATGCCCATGTTCATCTCACCATATCACATGACACTCACCAGCCATTAGCCTTCTGATTGTGAACTCTACCAGCTGGAATTGTAGGATAAGGTGTATGTGATTGGCTGGAGGATCCCCATCCATTTGGCTTGAATAAGTAGATTACCTAAAGCTGAAACCCTCCATTTTTAGACACTGTGTAGGGAGGCAGACATATTTGAATTGTGTTGTGAAAATCAGATGATGAAAATTGAAATAAATATGTTGAAATGATGGGGAATGGCAATTTTAAGAGAGGTATAAGAAACAAGATAGGTTTAATAAACGTTGAAAGCATTTGTGAGGTCCTCAGAAGGACAGTGTGTTTGTTGGGTGAGTAGAGGCAGGACTGGAGACAAAGTTGCCTACCACAAATGCGTCTGTCCTGGCTGAGACCATCATGGCCCCAGTTCTCTCATCTCAATTAGAGGCTCACTCTGTCTGCTTTCTTAATTCATAACCAACTAGTTTGTCTGCTTTCTTAAATTCATAACCAACTAGTTTGATTTGATCACTGAAGCTAACACAGTGGGTTTGGGCTTCCTGCAAAGCAATTGAGATGCCTAATGTGAGGAACTTTTAGTTGCATTTAAAGGACATATCTTAGAAGAGTGTTGTAGTCCTTTGTAGGACTCACCAGAGAATCTCTTATTTCCTCTGAGCCTGGATTTCCTCATGAGTAAATATCTGCTGTTTTGCATCCCTTCCATGGTAATTCTTGCTTGCTGCTTCCAGAAGCTAATGCCTTATTTCCTTCTCTTTATCCTTTTGGGTCTGGCTCTGTTGCCCAGGCTGGAGTGCAGTAGCACAGTCACAGCTCATGGCAGCTGCAACCTCCCAGGCTCAAGCAATCCTCCCACCTCAGCCTCGTGGGTAGCTGGGACTACAGGCACATACTACCATGCCCAGGTAATTTATTATTTTTTATAGGGACAGGGTTTCATCATGTTTCCCAGGCTGATCTTGAACTCCTGGGATCAAGTGATTTTCCCACGTCAGCCTCCCAAAGTGATGAGATTGCAGGTATGAGCCACTGCACTGAACCTTTAGATCATTAAAAAGTCAGGAAACAACAGGTGGTGAAGAGGATGTGGAGAAATAGGAACACTTTTACACTGTTGGTGGGACTGTAAACTAGTTCAACCATTGTGGAAGTCAGTGTGTTGATTCCTCAGGGATCTAGAACTAGAAATACCATTTGACCCAGCCATCCCATTACTGGGTATATACCCAAAGGAATATAAATCATGCTGCTATAAAGACGCATGCACACACATGTTTATTGCGGCACTACTCACAATAGCAAAGACTTGGAACCAACCCAAATGTCCAAGAATGATAGACTGGTTTAAGAAAATGTGGCATATATGCATCATGGAATACTATGCAGCCATAAAAAATGATGAGTTCATGTCCTTTGTAGGGACATGGATGAAGCTGGAAACCATCATTCTCAGCAAACTATCGCAAGGACAAAAAACCAAACACTGCATGTTCTTACTTATAGGTGGGAATTGAACAATGAGAATACTTGCACACAGGAAGGGAAACATCACACACCGGGGCCTGTTGTGGGGTGGGGGGAGGGGGGAGGGATAGCATTAAGAGATATCCCTAATGTAAATGATGAGTTAATGGGTGCAGCACACCAACATGGCACATGTATACATATGTAACAAACCTGCACGTTGTGCACATGTACCCTAGAACTTAAAGTATAATAAAAACATATATATATATATAGATGTTATGATTATTATTATTATTTTTGAGACAGGGTCTCACTCTGTTGCTCAGGCTGGAGTGCAATGGCACAATCATAGCACACTGCAGCCTTGAACTCCTGGGCTCAAGCTATCCTCTCACTTCAGCAGCCCAAGTAGCTGGGACTACAAGCACCACCATACCTGGGTAAATTTTATTTTTATTTTTATTTTTTTGTACAGATAGGATCTCACTCTGTTGCACAGGCTGGTCTCAAACTCCTGGCCTCAAATGATTCTTCCACTTCGTCCTTCCAAAGTGTTGGGATTACAGGTGTGAGCCACAATGCCTGGCCTCCTTTGTCTTTCTCTAATGTCCTCTGCTATCCCTTCTAGTCCCTTGGCCATCTTCTACCACAAATGGGAAGTGAAGCACATGGGTAACAGCTTCCCTGGTGCTGCCTCCAAGGAAAGATTCCACTCGCTGCAGGGCAAGATTGGAAAAGCAACAGAAGGCACCCAGCATTTCTTTCCCTTCTACCTTCCACTGCAGGCTTTGGGGGACCAGGGGAAAGGGAAGGGACCTCATTCACAGGACTACTTGCCAGGAAGGCATGGAGCAGGGGGTTCCTATTCTTTGACAGGCACACATACACACCCCTGCCACCCTCAACATATACACACAGGGACTGGGGGCACCGTATCTGTATTTCAGAGTTCGCTGGGAAGACCAGTGCCCTGTGTTCAACACAGAGGGGAGAAACACAGCATAGCAGTCTGACTGTCCCACCATGCCTTCTGTTCCTCATAAAAGAAAAACATGAACATAGAGACTAAAGAATTCCACTATATTACTCCTTCACTATGCTGCGTCTTCAGTGAGAGTTTGGTGAAAACTTGGATGGGTTTGTGGGTGGAGCCTAGTGCGTAGATTCAAGAAAATGTAAGTTCTACTCCCCACTTTGCCGTTTACTAGCTGTGAGACCTCGGCCATTTGTATCATTTCTTCCCACCTTAACGTCCCCTTCTATCAAATGAAAATGGTTTTTTTTGTTTGTTTGTTTTTTTTTTTTTTTTTTTTTTTTTTTGCCTAGACCTGGTGAAGCTAGCTTTAGATAACAGGTTGAAAAGCACATTGCAAATTCTAACGCACGAAACAAATACAACATAGCAAATTAAAGAATTATCAGTCCTCTATCCACTCCTGTTTAGTAGGAACCACTCCTGTAGAAAGGATGCAAAGAAAGTTTGCTTCTCCTTTTCTGGGCATGAACTGATGTCTGCAAAGAAAGTAGAAAATATGTGTTTGAGAAACATTTGCCTAACTTTGGGGCTCAGTGAGAGTTTATTAATTCTAATAATTCCTTACATTTGGGAGGTGGCATTGTGGTTAAGAGCATGGGCCTCCAAATCAGACATCCTAGGTTCAAATCTTGGCTCTTACGTGGCCTTAGGCATATCTCATGATCACTCCATGCCTCAGTTTTTCCATTTGTGAAGTATGAAGATTATAGTAATAATAGCCCCTCATAGAATTGTTGTAAGGGTTAGGTGAATTAATATATGTAAATTATTACATATATTAATTAAATTACATATATTAGTTAAAAGGCTGCCTGTTACATATTAGCTTTCAAAATTATTACTATTATGTCACTTGCACCTTTCCCAAGAATGTTTATGTATTGTATGTTTTATTGTCATCATCTCAGCAACCTTGAGCTGCAGCAGCCACATTTTACGGGTAAGAAAACTGATTGTTGCAGCCATAGGCTTCAAGCTGACACCACTAATAAATGAGAGCATTGAAGCTAGTGTCCAGGGTGCTTTCCAATACGCTTTGACTATTGTCCTCTTGGATCCTGAAGCTAGGAAAAAACTGAAGACTTAAATGACAGTGAACCTATTTAGCAGGTAATCATGACAAACTTATTGCCTAGCTAAGAATAGAGATGCTGAATTTATAATCAAAATTTTTAAGTGGTCTTAAGACCTTCATTAAGTCATTAAATGTGTGAAATTATCTTTTATATAGGTTGCAGTTTTAGATTTAATGGTAATAATCCTAATTTTTTTTTACAAAAAACAATATTAGTCTTACTATTTAAAATTTGTACCCCACCTATTTCCAAGATGCAGAATCCAATTGAAATATGAGTTTCCAAAGCTATTTAGAGATTAAAAAAGATAAAAGTTCCCCTATGCTAAGCAACCCTCTTTTTTCTGTGGAAGCTAATCCAAGACAAGTACACATATTTACCTGTAATTTTTATTTCATTCAGAATGAAAATAGGTTTATTAGCTCCCTCAGGGGAAAATGTATATTTTTATAACTTAGATTACCTGTATTATTGAATGTGAAAATGTCAGTGAAATAAATGGCACTGAGTTTTAGCCATTAAAATGTTAATTAGGGGCATATCTATGTTCATTCTGAAATTGGCTAAAGAGTGGGAACTTAACCTAGATAGGCTGCATATGGCTAAGGGATTGGGGAGGGGATCACTCATTAGATTTAAATAAAATGTGATAGGTAGACCCTCCCAAGGCGGCAGGAAACAGCTGGTAAGTCTCAAGGGACACTGAGTCTGGCTAAAAGTTTCCATTGTTTCCTAATGCAAGAGTAGACATTTGTACATTATTTCATTTTTACTTTCTGACAAAATAAATATACATACCATGCAGCCATAAAAAATGATGAATTCATGTCCTTTGTAGGGACATGGATAAAGCTGGAAACCATCATTCTCAGCAAACTATTGCAAAGACAGAAAACCAAACACTGCATGTTCTCAGTCATAGGTGGGAAATGAACAATGAGAGCACTTGGACACAGGAAGGGGAACATCACACTCTGGGGACTGTTGTGGGGTGGGGAGAGTGGGGAGGGATAGCATTAGGAGATACACCTAATGTAAATGACGAGTTAATGGGTGCAGCACACCAACATGGCACATGTATACATATGTAACAAACCTGCACGTTGTGTACATGTACCCTAGAACTTAAAGTATAATAATTAAAAAAAAGAAAAATAAATAAATAAATATACATTCACCCAAAGAGACCTTTTTAAAAAAAATTCTAAAATCAAACCTAAGCAGACATTTGTGGAAAGAGAATTTATATAAAGAACCATAACACAGTGGACAGTATCTTCAAAGACAGCCCTTTAAAAAACATTAAAATCCTTGTTAAATAGAGAATGGTTATTTCAACTTTCTGTAGAGGCAGAGGCATAATATTAAATTCTAACTCAGTAAGGATTTTTTTTTCTTCTTTCTTTTTTTGAGAAAGCCATGAGAATGAGCTAAGCTGGTACACAGTTACTATGGTTTCTGATAATTTAGCTTAAGGTACAGTGGCACCAGAGAATCTAGAATAGGGTCAAAAACTCCCATGCCTGTTGGGGCCTGATCAATAACAGTGCTGAGTGAACGAGGCAGGGCAGTAGCAATGGCAATCAGGACATTGTGAGCCCTGTCTGAACAAGGCAGTGACTTCTTAGCTCCAGCACCAGGGGAGAATGTGGACCAGTTTCCTCAGATGTGCTGTTTCAAGAAAAGTAACAAATCCAGGTTATACACAAAATCTCCTTACTTTTGAATATTGGCAACTAATTCATATTTTTAAAAATTCCTAAGTGGCATGTGAAAAAATTATATATTCATGAGGGTTGTTTATTGGAGCATTGTTTGTGCTGGCAAGTTGAAAACAGCTTAAATGTTTGTTAATAAGGGACAAGTGAAATAAATCATGGCATATCCATTCAATGAACTATTATGCTGGTGTCAAAAACAAAATGAAAAAAATGAGATCTTTATGTCCTTATACGGAAATCTCAAAGGCATTGTCAACTGGAAAAATCAAAGTGCAGGGGTGTATGCTGTAAGCTTCATTGTGTTAAAAAAAAAAAAAAAAAGGAAAAGATAATATGGTGTGTAGGTAGGTGTGTGTGATATGTCTGCTCAGGCTGCCATAACAGAATACCATGGACTGGGTGGCTTTTACAAGATAAATTTATTTTCTCACAATTATAGAACTGGAAGTTCCATGATTAAAGTGCCAGCCAATTCTGTTTCTGGTGAGGGCTCTCTTCTGGGCTTGCAGATGGTCACCTTCTCCCTGTGTCCTCACATGGCCTTCCCTCTGTGCTCCTGCAGCATGAGTGAGCTCTGGTGTCTCTTTCTCTTTTTGTAAGAACCCAGTCCTATCTGTTTAGGGCCCCATCTTTGTGACTTCATTTAACTTTAATTACAGGTACCTCCCAGAATGCCCTATTTCTGAACACCATCACACATCACATTGTGGGTTAGGGCCTCAATATATAAATTTTGGGGGGAAGGATGAAATTCAGGCCATAACTATATATATACATATATATACACACACACACACATATATATATATACACCCATATATATATATACACACCCATACATATTACATGTATATATCTATAGTATAGATATTACATATATAAACAAAACAAATATCTATGCCTATATATATACACACACATATATATTTGCTTTGTTTTGTTAGTAAATACACAGAATATATTTAGAATGGTAAACTAAAATTAATAACATTTCTGACTAGTGGTGTGGAACTGGGATACACGTAACAATGCATTCTTTTATGTGCTCCCCCTCTTAGAGGAGCCAGCACCACTCTTTCATCGTTTAAGAACTGGACTCGCTGTCTTACCCAGAGGGAAGGCCAACCCCCTCCTTCACATGCAGTTGCTGCAGGGATGCCTGCTTCTACAGACGATATTAGTTTTCAGAAAAGAGCTTTGGATCTTTAAGTGCTTGTGTAACTGCTTGCTTGAGACCCCAAAGTTCTGCCCCATATAACATGTAACATAAAAGAATACCGAACACTAAAAACAAAGGAATTGTGACTTACTGAATTAATCATCCAGATTCAGTTCCGTATCATTTATCAATGAAGAAACAGACGTATTTGTGCAGCATACTAAACGTTCAGCTTGAGTCTCTCCCTCTACCTAGGCAGAAAACTCATTCCTCGAATGAAAGGAATTCTATTTTTTCTTCCACCTCATCCTCCAACCCCTCCCCTGTCCACCATGATACCACCAAATTCAAGGAAACATTAGGAATGTTTCCTAATAACTTTAGCATATGCTTTCTCTGATTCATAGGTTGGGAAATCCAACTTGTTAAGCAGCTTCTACCCCCGTAGGTGCGGGGTGGAAGTGGTGGTTGAAACAGTTACTATTAATGTACTTCCTGCAAAACACTCTGATGCTCTTTTAGGTGCATGTCTCCAGATTTCCTGGAAGCCAGAAAAGTGCTGATGACAATTGCTTATCCACCCACAAGCCTGAATACAGGTATCCAGTAGGATAATGAACTCCCAGTAACAATAAAAACAATCTGTCTTTTTGACCAGTCTCAGCCAGGATAATTTGTTGCAAGTTTCACTGTCCTCTTTTTTCCTTCACTTCACTCACTTCTGCTCCCAAATGCTTCCTGTTGCTCCCAAATGCTGTTAAACATGACACATACCATGCTGGTGCCAGGGCTGGCTCCCATCCTGTGTGATTGTGTAGTTTGGGCACTGGTGAACTAAAGAGGCACTTTTTATGTAGACTCTAACAGTGTCTTGAGCAGCAGAGGCCACTCAAGAGGAGGCATCTCTATGTGGAAAAGCTGCATCTGGATCACCAGAAGCTAGGCAGCCAAGGGCCTGGGTTCTCAAATGAAGGTGAGCACTGGGGCCATTTCATTGTCTCTACTTTTTGGGAGCTCATGGAAACCCTTTCCCCTTGAAGAAGGGAAGCAGCTGCCCTCTTTCTTCCCCTACTCTATCCAGTCACATACAAGGTAAGCTTCCTCCCTCCTCCTTTCTATAGTAGCTCAACTTTCTACCGTAGTTCAACTCTCTTGAAATGTCCTTGTCCCCTGTTGGGTTCCACTCACCTTACCTCCGTCTATTCCTATTGGCTCTGGTGGGGAGTGGGCATTTAACTTAAACCAGTTCCAGTTTGGAAACTGATAAAAAACTGGGGAGATCAGAACAATATTTATAGTTTAGTCTATGATATGTTCATTTATTAGTTTTGATCATTGTACCATGTTTATGTAAGATACTAACATTAGGGAAAACTGGATGAAGGGTATACGAGAACTGTGCTCTCTCACAATTATTCTGTAAGTCAGAAGTTACTTCAAAATAAAAGGTTGTTTTTTTTTTTTTTTATTAAATGGTATCTGGTGAAGTGAATGTACAAGCATGTTCTAAAAATCTTTCCCAACCCAGGCCTCACTTTGTCAGCTGCCTCCATATTTAGGTGGTTCTTTGAGCAACGCCCTGTGCATGTTGGTAGGTGGCACACATCCTCTCCTCACCACCCACCTATAGACTGGTCATGCTTATGCTAATTCTCGCCTGCCTATACAGAAAGGGCCCTGGGATGAATCAAGGTAAGATGGATTCTAAAATCTGAAGTGGAACTGGTTGCAGGGAAGCAAGAACAATTACATATTGAATTACAACTTCAGTGCATTTGAATTGAGAATATGAATAGAATATAAGAAATAGAGCCATTTTTATACTACTTTTCCTATTGTTACCTTACAGTAGGTTTTTAATTCTAATAAGACAGTTCTCCTGGGTGTCCTTGGGAACGTGTCCACTGGCAGCAAGAAGGCAAAGGAGACTCTTCTAGATTTCTCTTCAAGGGCATGGATCAAAGGAATCCATAAGGGAGCAATTGTTACTTTATCTGGCCACCATCCATGCCACATGCCTGGACTCCTCTCAGAAATTCCAAGAGTAGGTCCTTGGGGTGTTGCTTAACTGTAGTCTCTTCACAGTTACAAAGGCCCAAGTGATTTGGCTTATTCTTACGTTTTCAGCCACCTGTGATAGTCCCAGTTACCAAGCTCCAGCCACACTGGATTTCGTCTGTTCTTAAATTCCCTTCTATAAAGTTTTTTTACTTGGCCTTTTTTGGAAAACTATTCTATTAGGTCTTCTCATGCTACCTTCTTATTCTACAGGTTTCGCTTACATTTCACCTCCACAGGAGGTGTTTTCTAACCAACTAGCTAAAGTAATCATCCTGTTACTTTATCACATTATCTTCCTTTTTCCTTACTAATGCTTATCATTGTCTATAATTATTGTTTACCCATTTGTGCACTTGTTTATCATCTGGCTAGCATATAAATTTTACGAGAGCAAGAATTTTGCTTATTCACCTCTATATTTCAAACATCTGGAGCAGAGCCTAGAAAAGAAGCATTTACTGAATTAAAGAATGGAGAAAAATGTCTTTCCATTGTCTCTGCAACTTGCTAGGTAAAGAAGAGGAGCTCTGGCCACTCCTGGAGTTGTGGAGGGACCTCTTGTGGGTCCCAAGGAGTCTGATTGCACATTCAGTCCACAAAGGAGACTCCATAGCCATTTGATCAGTGGCAGGAAGAAGGGCATTGTGCAGACCACCCTGAACCCCTGGGGCTGTTTTCCTCTCTTAGAAAGGCAAGACTGGAGAACATTTGTTCTCTCAGAGTGAAGGGACATAGTTACTTCCTCCTTCCCTTTCTCTCTCTTCCACAAATATTTCTCATGCATTAGAACTTAGCTCAATTCTCAGTCCACAGTTTAAACCATGAACAAGACAGGCACAATCCCCAATCCTCCTGTACTTATAGACCAACAAAGCTCATAGACAAGAGGCAATTACGATTTGGTGAAAGAGGCACTCTGAGAGGAGCCGGACTTAGAAGGGGATTCTCCTGCTCACCTGGATTCACATCAGATAAAGAAGAGGGTGAGGAAACGTGCAGGAAGCACAAGCTGGATACTCAAAGGGCGCAAATAATCCAGGATGTATTATGTTTCACCAGGCAGCTCTCATGCTGGGTTCAGTTACAAATAATTAATTTAACACCTACTATGCCTGCCACCTCCACATATTTATTTTACTTGCCTGGCACCTGAAGGAAATTTTAGGATATCACTAGAGCAACTGGGCTTGGAATCCAGGGACTAGGGTTCAGATAGTCACTTTGATATGTAACAGCCTTCAGACTGTGTTTCTATTCCCAGGCTCCTGGTAATGCAAACTCAGCAATCTACCCGAAAACCTAGGTCAGCAGGCAACTCTTATGTATGACAAAGTTTAAAACAATCTCATTAGACTTCAAGCAACATAATTTAGTAATGAAGCTTTTCCTGTTTACTGTTTATTCCCAGCAAGGCTGGCACATAGTAGGTATTCAGGAAATACCTGTTGACTGTTAGGTTGTTTTGAGACAATCAATGAGCCTAAAAACTCATTAAACTTCAATTTCCTCATGTATAAAATGGGGGCAGTAATAGACGCCTTAAAAAGTTGGTAGGAATATAAATAAAATAACACTGGAGGGATCATATATTATAATCCCTGGCTCATGTGAGGAGTTAGGAGTAGACACATTGGTGTATACTGTGATTAATGTGGATTCTAACCTTTCTATTGTGCTCTTCTGGCTACATAGACTGGAAAGCAAAAATCTACCTCCTCAGTCTCCTTTGCAGGTTGGTTTTGTGATTCAGTTCCATGAATCTGATACCCTTGTTAGAGATGTAAATTAGGAACTGAGTTAAGTAGGCAGAGAAGCAGTGTGGGAGGCGTCCACTTTTACTAGTGTCCTTAGTAGCAGACACAACATGGTTCTAGAACTGGCAGATATGGTGGCATCTTCCTGGTGGCCTCTTGTGTAAGTCAGGAGCAGCAGTGCCCTTGGCTAACTGCATCCACAGTGTAGCTTTGGGATTATTCCAAATCAAAGCACATGGTCTTTATTTCAGCAGCTTCTCCACACAAAATAATTCTCTGAGCCACTTAATGCAGTATGTATTTATTTTGTAGGACTGCCATAAAAACATCGCCACAAATTGTATCACTTAAAACAACAAAAATTCTCGTCTCACAGTACTAGAGGCTAGAAGTTCAAGATCAAGGTGTCAGTAGGGCCATGCTCCCTTTGAAGGCTCTAGCAAGAATTTTCTCTTGCCCCTCCCTGGCTTATGGTACTTGCTAGCAATCCCTGGTATTCCTTGGCTTGTAGCTGCATCACTCCAAGCTTTGCCTCTGTTGTCACATAACCTTCTTTCCCATGTGTGTTTCTGTGTCTTCACTTTTTCTCTTTAAAAGGACCCCAGTCACTGAATTTAGGGCCCATTCTAATAGAGTGTGATCTTTTATAAACAACTAGATACATATTCAAAGACCTTGTTTCTAAATCAAATCACATTCTGGGGTTTTGGGTGGACATGAATTTTGGAAGGACACTATTTAACCGAGCACACAGTGTCATAATTTCATGTTACTCAAACTATCTGGAGTGAATTCTCTTCTCTGACACGAAACCTTGCGGATTTGGGTGAAATCTGAGGTTGCTGGCCATCTCTGACATTGTAGGATTCACCTCTTAATGTGAGATGTTTGATCTGTGTTGTGCTTGGCAACTTCAGGCTTGGACACCAGCACCCATGCAGAACACTTCATTGAAGGAGGGTTTCACTTACTTACTGCCATTTATAATCGTTCACTTTTGCATGGGAGAAGCAGCAAACTTCTTCTCTGGAAGCCTATAGAACCATTTGCTTAAGGCTTACTTGTCACTTTGTCCTTTTTCTCAACCCTCCTTGTGCACAATTGTGACAGCCTGCTTTTTAAACAAATTTTTTTATTTCCATAGGTTATTGGGGAAGAGATGGTGTTTGGTTACATGAGTAAGTTCTTTAGTGGTAAGGTTTGTAAGGTTTTGGTGCACCCATCACCCAAGCAGTATACACTGCACTCTGTTTGTAGTCTTTTATCCCTCACCCCCTTCCCACCCTTTCCTCCTGAGTCCCAAAAGCCCATTGTGTCATTCTTATGCCTTTGCATCCTCATAGCTTAGCTTCCACTCATGAGTGAGAATATACAATGTTTGGTTTTCCATTCCTGAGTTACTTCACTTAGAATAATAGTCTCCAATCTCATCCAGGTTGCTGCGAATGCCATTAATTCATTCCCTTTTATGGCTGAGTAGTATTCCATCATATGTATATGTGTGTGTGTGTGTGTGTGTGTGTGTGTGTGTGTGTGTGTATATATATATATATATAAATATATATATCACAGTTTCTTTATCACTCATTGATTAATGGGCATTTCTGTTGGTTCCACATTTCCCCAATTGTGAATTGTGCTTCTATAAACATGTGTGTGCAAGTATCTTTTTCATATAATGACTTCTTTTCCTCTGGGTAGCTACCCAGTAGTGGGATTGCTGGAACAAATGGTAGTTCCACTTTTGCTACTTTAAGGAATCTCCACACTGTTTCTAGTAGTGGTTTTACAAGTTTACATTCCCATCAGCAGTGTAGAAGTGTTCCCTGTTCACCACATCCATGCCAGCAACTATGATTTCTGGATTTTTTGATTATGGTCATTCTTGTAGTAGTAAGGTGGTATTGCATTGTGGTTTTTATTTGCATTTCCCTAATCATTAGCGATGTTGAGTGTTTTTTCATATGTTTGTTGGCCATTTATATGTCTTCTTTTGAGAATTGTCTATTCATGTCTTTTGCCCACTTTTTGATGGGATTATTTGCTTTTTTGTTGATAATTTATTTTAGTTCCTTGTAGATTCTGGATATTAGTCCTTTGTCAGATATATAGATTGTAAAGATTTTCTACCACTCTGGGTTGTCTGTTTACTCTGCTGACTGTTCCTTTTGCCATGCAAAAGCTCTTTTGTTTAATTAAGTCTCAGCTATTTATCTTTGTTTTTATTTCATTTGCTTTTGGATTCTTGGTCATGAAATCCTTACCTAAGCCAAGGTCTAGAAGGGTTTTTCTGATGTTATCTTCTAGAATTTTTATAGTTTTAAGTCTTAAATTTAAGTCCTTAATCCATCTTGAGTTGATTTTTGTATAAGGTGAGAAATGAGGATCCAGTTTTATTCTCTGACATGTGGCTAGCCAATTGTCCCAGCACCATTTGTTGAATAGAGTGTCCTTGCCTCACTTTGTGTTTTTGTTTGCTTTGTCAAAGATCAGTTGGCTGTAAGTATTTGGGTTTATTTCTGGGTTCTCTATTCTTGATCTATGTCCCATTGATCTATGTGCCTATTTTATACAAGTACCATGCTGTTTTGGTGACTATGGCCTTATAATATAGTTTGAAGTCAGATAGTGTGATGCCTCCAGATTTGTTCTTTTTGCTTAGTCTTGCTTTGGATATGTGGGCTCTTTTTTGGTTCAATATGAATTTTAGGATTTTTTTTTCTAATTCTATAAAGAATGATGGTGGTATTTTGATGGGGATTGCATTGAATTTGTAGATTGCTTTTGGCAGTATGGTCATTTTCACAGTATTGATTCTACTCATCCATGAGCATGGAATGTGTTTCCCTTTCTGTTGTCTATGATTTCTTTCAGCATTGTTTTGTAGTTTTCCTTGTAGAGGTCTTTCATCTCCTTGGTTAGGTATATTCCTAGTTTTTTTTTTCAGCTATTATAAAAGGGGTTGAGTTCTTAATTTAATTCTCAGCTTGATTGCTGTTAGTGTATAGGAGAGCTACTAATTTGCCTACTTTTTTTTTTTTTTTGAGATGGAGTTTTGCCCTGTTTCCCAGGTGCAGTGGCATGATCTTGGCTCACTGCAACTTCCACTTCCTGGGTGCAAGTGATTCTCCTACCTCAGCTTCCAGAGTAGCTGGGACTACAGGCACATGCCACCACACCCAGCTAATTTTTGTATTTTTAGTAGACATGGGGTTTCACCAGGCTGGTCTTGAAGTCTTGACCTCAGGTGATCCATCCACCTTGGACTCCTAAAGTGCTGAGATTATAGGCATGAGCCACTGCACCTGGCCGATGTACATTAATTTTGTGTGAGGAAACTTTGCTGAATCCTTTTATCATATCTAGGAGCTTTTTGGAGGAGTTTTTAGGGTTTTCTAGGTATACAATCATGTCATCAGCAAACAGCGACAGTATGACTTCCTCTTTAATGACTTGGATGCCCTTTCTTTCTTTCTCTTGTCTGATTGCTATGGCTAGGACTTCCAGTACTATGTTGAATAGAAGTGGTGAGAGTGGGCATCATTGTCTTGTTCTGGTTCTCCGAGGGAATGCTACCAACTTTTCCCCATTCAGTATTATGTTGGCTGTGGGTTTGTCATAGATGGCTTTTATTATGTTGAGGTATGTCCCTTGTATGCCAATTTTGCTGAAAGTTTTAATCATAAATGGGTGCTGGATTTCATTGAATGCTTTTTCTGCATCTATTGAAATGATCATGTGATTTTTGTTTTTAATTATGTTTATGTGGTGCATCACATTTATTGACTTGCATATGTTAAACCATCCCTGCATCCCTGGTATGAAACCCGCTTGATCATGTTGGATCATTTTTTTGATATCGGTTGGTTTTGGTTAGCTAGTATTTTGTTAATGATTTTTGCATCTATGATTATCAGGCATATTGGTCTGTAGTTTTCTTTTTTGGTTATGTCCTTTCCCAGTTTTTTTTATTAGGGTGATACTGGCTTCATAGAATGAATTAGGGAGGATTTCTTCTTTCTCTATCTTGTGGAATAGTGTCAACAGGATTGGTACCAATTCTTCTTTGAATGTCTGGTAGAATTTAGCTGTGAATTCATCTGGTCCTGGACTTTTTTTGTTGTTGTTGGTATTTTTGTTATTACCATTTCAATCTCGCTGCTTGTTATTGGTCTGTTCAGGGTATCTAATTCTTCCTGATTTAAGCTAGGAGGGTTGTATTTTTTCAGGAATTTATCCATCTCCTCTAGATTTTCTAGTTTATGCAAGTAAAGTGGCCATAGTAGCCTTGAATGATCTTTTGTATTTCTGTGGCATCAGTTGTAATATCTCCTGTTTCATTTCTAATTGAGCTTATTTGGATTTTCTCTCTTCTTTTCTTGCTTAATCTTGCTAATGGTCTATCATTTTTCTTTATCTTTTCAAAGAACCAGCTTTTTGTTTCATTTCTCTTTTTGTATTTTTTGTTTGTTTGTTTCAATTTCACTTAGTTCTGCCCTGATCTTGGTTATTTCCTTTCTTCTGCTTGGTTTGGGTTTGGCTTGTTCTTATTTCTCCAGTTCCCTGAGGTGTGATGTTAGATTGTCTGTGCTCTTTCAACTTTTCAATATATTGGTTTAGGGCTCTGAACTTTCCTCTTAGCTCCGCCTTTGCTGTATCCCAGAGGTTTTGATATGTTGTGTCACAATTGTTCAGTTTGAAGAATTTCTTAATTTCCATCTTGATTTCATTGTTGACCCAATCATCATTCAGGAGCAGGTTGTTTAATTTTCATGTATTTGCATGGTTTTGAAGCTTCCCTTTGGAGTTGATTTGCAGTTGTATTCAACTGTGCTCTGAGAGAGGGCTTGATAATATTTCAGTTTTCTTAAGTGTATTGATGCTTGTTTTGTGGGCTATCATATGGTCTATACTTAGAGAAAGTTCCATGCACTGATGAATAGAGTGTGTATTCTGCAGTTTTTGGGTAGAATGTTTTGTAAATATCTGTTAGGTCCATTTATTCCAGGGTACAGTTTAAATCCATGGTTTCTTTGTTGACTTTCTGTCTTGATGACTTATCTGGTGCTGTTGGTGGAGTATGGAAGTCCCCCACTATTATTGTGCTGCTGTCTATCTCATTTCTTAGGTCTAGTAGTAATAATTTTATAAATTTGGGAGCTCCAATGTTAGGTGCACATATATTTAGGATTGTGATGTTTTCCTGTGGCACAAGACCTTTTATCATTATATAATGTCCCTCTTTGTCTTTTTTAACCACAGTTGCTTTAAAGTTTGTTTTGTCTGATATAGGAATGGCTGCTCCTGCTGCTTTTGGTGTCCATTTGCATAAAATGTCTTTTTTTCCACCCCCTTACCTTAAGTTTATGTGAGTCCTTATGTGTTAGGTGAGTCTCTTGAAGGTGGCAGGTAGTTAGTTGGTGAATTCTTATCCATTCTGCAAGTCTCTACCTTTTAAGTAGACCATTTAGGCCATTTACATTCAATGTTAGTATTGAGATGTGAGGTACTATTCCATTCATTGTGCTATTTGCTGCCAGTATACCTTGTTTTTTTTTTTTTTTTAATTTGTATTTTTGTCCTGTGAGATTTATGCTTTAAAGAGGTTGTATTTTGATGTGTTTCCAGCATTTGTTTCAAGATTTAGAGCTTATATTTAGAGCAGTTATTGTAGTGCTGGCTTAGTAGCAAATTCTCTCAGTATTTGTTTGAAAAAGACTATGTCTTTCCTTCGTTTATGAAGTTTAGTTTTGCTGGATACAGAATTCTTGGCTGATAATTGCTTTGTTTAAGGAGGCTGAAGATAGAACTCCAATCCCTCCCACCTTGTAAGGTTTCTGCTGAGAAATCTGCTGTTAATCTGATAGGTTTTCATTGATAGGTTATCCGGTGCTTTTGCCTCTCAGCTCTTAAGATTCCTTCCTTCGTCTTAACTTTAGATAACCTGATGACAATGTGCGTAGGTGATGATTTTTTTGTGATGAAATTCCTAGGTGTTCTTTGAGTTCATGTATTCAGATATCTAGGTCTCTAGCAAGGCTGGGGAAGTTTTCCTCTGTTGTTCCCCCAAAACTTGTCCAAACTTTAGATTTCTCTTCCTCAAGAACACTGATTATTCTTAGGTTTGGTAATTTAACATAATCCTAGATTTTTGGAGGCTTTGTTCGTATTTGCTTATTCCTTTTTCTTTGTCTTTGTTTAATTGGATTAATTAGAAAACCTTGTCTTCAAGCTCTGAAATTCTTTCTTCTGCTTGTTCAGTTCTATTGGTGAGATTTTTCAGAGCATTTTGCTTTTCTGTAAGTGTGTCCATTGTTTCCTGAAGTTTTGATTGTTTTTTTATTTATGCTATCTATTTCACTGAAGATTTCTCCCCTCACTTATTTTTTTTAATTCCCTTATGTTGGGCTTTGCCTTTCTCTGGTGCCTCCTTGATTAGCTTAATATCTGACCTTCTGAATGCTTTCTCATGTAAATTAGGGATTTTGTCTTGGTTTGGATCCATTGCTGGTGAGCTAGTGTGAATTTTTGGGGGTGTTAAAGAACCTTGTTTTGTCATATTATCAGAGTTGGCTTTCTGTCTTTTTCTCATTTGGGTAGGCTCTGTCAGAGGGAAGGTCTAGGGCTCAAGACGGTTGTTCAGATTTTTTTGTCCCATGGTGTGTTCCTTTGATGTAGTGCTCTCCCCCTTTTCCTAGGCATGTGGCTCCCTGAGAGCTGAGCCGTAGTGATTATTATATCTCTTCAGGATCTAGCCACCCAGCAGGTCTACCAGGCTCTGGGCTGATACTGGGGATGGTCTGCACAGAGTCCTGTGATCTGAACCATCTGTGGGTCTTTCAGCTGTGGATACCAGCACCTGCTCTGGTGGAGGTGTCAGAGGGGTGAAAGGGACTGTAAGGGCCCTTAGTTTTGGTTGTTTAATGCACTATTTTTGTGCTGGTTGGCCTCCTGCCAGGAGGTGGTGCTTTAAATAGTGTATCAGCTGTGTTAGTATGGGGAGGATCAGGTTGTGGGCAGGGCCCTAGAACGCCCAAGAGTATATGCCCTTTTTCTTCAGCTACCAGGGTGGGTAGGAAAGAACCATCAGATGGTGGCAGAGCTAGGCGTGTTAGAGCTCAGACTCTTGGGTGGGTCTGCTGCAGCTCCTGTGGGGGGTGGGGGATGGTGTCCAGGTCAATAGAGTTATGTTCCTAGGAGGATTATGGCTGCCTTTACTATGGCATGCAAGTTGTCAGGGAAGTGGAGGGAAGCCAGCAGCCACAGACCTCACCCAGGTCTCACAAAACCCAGAAGGCCACTCTCACTCACATCGTGCCTCCCCACAACAGCACTGAATCTGTTTCTAGGCAGAGGGTGAGCAGGGCTGAGAACTTGCCCTAGGCTACAAGCCTCCCAGCTGCAAAAGCAAGTAGGGCGTTCATGCTTCTTTGCCTGTGGAGTCTGCACACTAGATTCACACCCTTCCCCAAGTCCTGGCCAGGAGACTTCTCTTTCAGTTGGAATTGTTACAAAGTTCAGCTGGAGGTTTCCTTCTCCCTGTGGCCTTTTCCCAGTTCCTCTAGCAGCCCTCCCCAGGTAGCCCTGTGAAACAAGTCAGAAATGGCTTCCGTGGGAACCCAGAGAGCCCACACGGCTCTTCCCACTGCTTCCTCTACCCCTCCATTTCACTTGTCTCTGTAAATTGACTCAGCTCCAGGTAAGGTCAGAGTCTTCTCCCATGGTTTAGACCTTCAGGTTTCCCAGTGAGGATGTGTGTTTGGGGGCAGATGATCTCCCTTTCTCATTTCCACAGTTTGGGTATTCACTGTATTTAGGGTGTCTCCTGGGTCCTGCAGGAGCAATCCACTTCCTTCAGAGGGTGTGTGGGTTCTCTGAGCTTTCCTGAATTATTCCTATGGTAGTTCTGGAGCAAAAGTTCACTATGCTAGACTCCACTTGCTTCTCTGTCCATCCAAGTGGGAGCTGCATTCTAGTCCTCTCCCAAACTGCTCTTTTATGACATGTGTCTTCCAAACAAAACAGACACAGCCTGCTTTGATAGACTAAGTCTTTTCATACCCAAACAGTGCTTCACTGTTGATTCTAATCTCAGCAAAAGGGGCTTGTCTAAAGAATTAATGCAAAATTAGGTCCATAGGGAGCATTTTATTACAAAATTAACGAAGTGATTAGGACTAGGAGATGGTTATTAAGAAAGGGTTGAGGAAGGAGCTGGAAATTTCTTTATAATACACACACTGAATATTATATATTTTTATATATTCTGAAATCTATTATCTATCTATCTATCTATCTATCTATCTATCTATCTATCTATCTATATTGCTTTTCTATTGCTACCATGGCAAATTCCATCTATTTTTCTGTATTGCTTTTCTATTGCTACCATGGCAAATTCCCACAAATTTGGTGGCTTAAAGCACACCCACTTATTCTACCACATTTCTATAGGTCAGAAGCCTAAGTACAGAGTAACTCAACTGGATCTGCTGCTCAGAGACTCAAAAGGCAGAAATCAGGGTGTTGGTTGGGCTCTGGGGAAGACTCCACTTCCAAATTTACTCAAGTTCCTGGCAGACTTCACTTCCCTGTGGTTATAGGACTGAGGCCACCGTTTCCTTGGCATGTGTCTTTCTTCATCTTCAAGCCAGTAAGGACACATCAAATCCTCCTTGTTCCTTAGCACCTCTGACTTCTCTTTCTGCTATGAATTGGAGAAAGATCTCTGCTTTTCAGGGTACGTGTGCTTAGATTAAGTCCATTCACATAATCCAAGATAATCTTCCTATCTTAAAGTCAATTCATTGTAGCCTGCACTACAACTTCAAAGTCCCTTTCTGCCATGTAACATAATATATTAATGGAAGTAACACCTGTAGATGAAGGTCACAAGGGCCAAAATTCTGCCTATAACAACACATTGTGTAGAAAACCCAAATCTATTGAGAAGTGTCTGTTCATGTCCTTCGCCCACTATTTGATGGGGTTGTTTGTTTTTTTCTCATAAATTTGTTTGAGTTCATTGTAGATTCTGGATATTAGCCCTTTGTCAGATGAGTAGGTTGTGAAAATTTTCTCCCATTTTGTAGGTTGCTTGTTCACTCTGATGGTAGTTTCTTTTTCTTTTTTTTCTTTTTTTTTATTATTATTATACTTTAAGTTTTAGGGTACATGTGCACATTGTGCAGGTTAGTTACATATGTATACATGTGCCATGCTGGTGCGCTGCACCCACTAACGTGTCATCTACGCTGCACCCACTAACGTGTCATTTATGCAGCCAAAAAACACATGAAAAAATGCTCACCATCACTGGCCATCAGAGAAATGCAAATCAAAACCACAATGAGATACCATCTCACACTAGTTAGAATGACAATCATTAAAAAGTCAGGAAACAACAGGTGCTGGAGAGGATGTGGAGAAATAGGAACACTTTTACACTGTTGGTGGGCCTGTAAACTAGTTCAACCATTGTGGAAGTCAGTGTGGCGTTTCCTCAGGGATCTAAAACTAGAAATACCATTTGACCCAGCTATCCCATTACTGGGTATATACCCACAGGACTATAAATCATGCTGCTATAAAGACACATGCACACGTATGCTATTGTGGCACTATTCACAATAGCAAAGACTTGGAACCAACCCAAATGTCCAACAATGATAGACTGAATTAAGAAAATGTGGCACATATTCACCGTGGAATACTATGTAGCCATAAAAAATGATGAGTTCATGTACTTTGCAGGGACATGGATGAAATTGGAAATCATCATTCTCAGTAAACTATCTCAAGGACAAAAAACCAAACACCACATGTTCTCACTCATAGGTGGGAATTGAACAATGAGAACACATGGACACAGGAAGGGGCACATCACACTCTGGGGACTGTTGTGGGATGGGGGGAGGGGGGAGGGATAGCATTAGGAGATATACCTAATGCTAAATGACGAGTTAATGGGTGCAGCACACCAGCATGGCACATGTATACATATGTAACTAACCTGCACATTGTGCACATGTACCCTAAAACTTAAAGTAAAATAATAATAAAATAAAAAAAAAGAAAACAACAACAACAAAAAAAAAACAAAACAAAAAAACAATAAAACCAGTATGGAGAGCCTCAAACAATTACACAGAACCACTGTGTGATCCAGCAATCCCACTTCTGGGTATAGACCCAAAGGAAATAAAATCAGTGTGTGGAAGGGACATCAGCACCCCTTTGTTTATTGCAGAACTATTCACAATAAACAAGATTTGGAACAAAAAAGAAAAAAAAAAAAAAGAAAACCCAAATCTAAGAAAAACTGAAGCTAAATATTTTTCTCAGGGTTACACAGCTGGATAAAGGCAGAACTGTGGTTTCATTCATTCTTTCCACAAATGCTTATTGAGTGCCTGTGATGTACCAGGAACTGTTACAGATGCAAAGGATCTAGCAGCATATTGAATAGACAAAAATTCTTGCTCTCATAAAGTCTATATCTAGTGAAATTTGTTTATCACCTGCCTATTATGCTGTCCTGACTCTATGCTTTGTGTCTCTTCTCATGGAATTTTCCAGTTCCATATAGCCCCAAGCTCAGGACTATCCCTCTTCCTGAACCAGTGGTGCCTAGAATTGAGACAGTACACTAACCAGACAAACTTTCTGTGAGAGGGGCTAGTCCTGGGCACTCTAGCAGGCTGCCAGTTATAGCTATACCCTATCCCAGTGCAGATCTAATCCAAAGTACTGGCTTCCATACATCTCTCATCCTATCTGGTATCCCAGACTTCCTGTAGGAGGTGATAACCTGCATAGCTCCTTTTCCTGGAGACTGGATATTTCCCTTGGATCTTGCCCTCCCTCCCACAAGTACTATTTAGAGGAACTGCTGTGTGTTGCCATCCTTCCCCAGGAACCCCCAGCAAGGATGGATATTCCTGACCCCTACTTTGCCTGATGGACCAGACCATACTTATCTTTCCTTCTTGTCTGACTTGCAAGCGATGAGCTCTGCCTCTAAGCACTGATGTGGGACATTTAGCCAGATGTCCAGGCACAGCCTTTGATAGAATAGCTCCCGTTTCTTTCAGCCCAGGGCTCAGGGACTAATAAGTGCCACCCAAGCAAGCCCATTCTCATTATGACAGGTGCTTTTAGGGGAATGGCTTATGTAGAGGCATAGGTCTGGGAACACATGAAGGATGCTGTATTAATTTGTTTGCATTGCTATAAAGGAATACATGAGACTGGGTAATTTATTTTTAAAAAGATGTTTATTTTAGCTCCTGGTTCTGCAGGCTGTACAGGATGCCTGGCACCAGCATCTGCTCCTGATGAGGGCCGCAGGAAGCTTTTAATCATGGTGAAAAGAAAGGGGAGCCAGCGTGTCACGTGTCCGGAGAGGTAGCAAGAGAGAAGGGGGAGGTGCCACACTCTTTTAAACAATCAACCTGCCATGAACTACCAGTGCGAGAACTCACTCATTACCATGGGGATGGCACCAAGCCATTCATGAGGGATCCACCTCGATGACCTTAACACCTCCCACCAGCCCCACCTCCAACATGGGAGGTTACATTTCAGCATGAGATTTGGAGAGACAAACATCTAAGCTATATCAGATGCTAAGTAAGCAAGTTTGTTTAGCTCACACAAAACATGGTAAAACATGAAGAGAGAAGAAAATGAAAATGTGAAAGTTTAGGATAGAATCCATTTCTATTTTTCCATTATTTAGACATGGCCAATTTTGATAAGTTGCTGAATGATTTATTTAATTTTCTGAAATAAAACCTGAGTAGCAGAGAGGTTTTTGTAAAATTGGAGATAATGAATCCTGTTAATATTACCTTCCCGGTATCTCTCATATTGCACCCTTGCTAGTCCTCCTCAACTGCCTTATCAGCATATCTGAACCCCATTGTGCTGGATAAAATGCTAAATATTACCCAACTGTATCTTGATCTGATCTCATTTCTTCTCCCCCAGTTTTTTTCCCTATTTGGTCAGCAGTGTTTATCAGTTGAGGGAAAAATGGTATCACAGAAGACAAACAAGAGTTGAGTAGCCAAATCTGCAGAGAAAGTGAGTCAAATTATTGGCTTTCGATGATCAAAAGCCAGGCTTTGTGCATAAGTAAGAATATGTGTTCACTGCAGTCTTTCCTGCTCTACCACTTCTGCCCTTGCCTATGGAAAGTTTCCACAGACTGAGGAAGGCAACATGTTTCAAGGAAGCTAGGAAGGAGTAGGCATTGTGGAATACTCAATGTTCCTCAATAGAAATACTAAGTTGCTTTTGGAGATCTGAGGTGGAAGTGACCTGCGTCTCAAGTTGCAGGCAGATTCTGAGAAGATGAAAGTTGTGCAGAGCTCCTGAGTCTCCCAGTCATGGGAGCAATACAGTGATGAGGCTATGTCAGGTGTCTCGGCTGATGAGTCTGATGCAGTCTTGCTAAATTTCCTGGTTGTCTGGATGGTCAAGAGAACAGTCAAATACTTCCCAAATACCTCAGAGCACTGCAGGAGCTGAATATGAGACCTGTGATGATTTAAACAATTAGTGTGCAATAGTCCTGTGCAAGGATAATGAGTGGAGGGCACCTTCCAGGAATGTGAGTACCTCAT
The DNA here is from genome assembly GCF_000001405.40 of Homo sapiens. Taxonomy (NCBI): domain Eukaryota; kingdom Metazoa; phylum Chordata; class Mammalia; order Primates; family Hominidae; genus Homo; species Homo sapiens. Next base: position 118,602,834 of record NC_000003.12, on the reverse strand, counting down.
ATGCTAGTGGCCACATAGGTCATAAAGAATGATAACCAATTGTCTTCTCCTTCCCTCTCTTGGAGTTAAGTAACCCCAGGAACACAGACACCCTATCTGTGAAGGGTGAGAGAAGGCCCTGTGTGTTAATCTGAGTTCTCCAGAGAAGCAGAACCCAGATTAATAGATATTATATATATATAAAATCCATGGCTCTTTGATATATAGATAAATACATAAATAAATATATAATATAGTATATAAAAATACAAAATCAAATGAGATTGTTGGGTCAATCAATCGGTATTTCTGGTTCTGAATCTTTAAGGAATTGCCACACTCTCTTCCACAATGATTGAACTAATTTACATTGACACCAACGGTGTAAAAGCATTCCTATTTCTCCACAGCCTTGCCAGCATCTATTGTTTCTTGACTTTTTAATAATTGCCATTCTGACTGGCATGAACTAACACAGGAACAGAAAACTAAACACCGCATGTTCTCACTTATAAGTGGGAACCGAACAATGAGAAGACGTGGACACAGGGAGGGGAACAACACACACTTGGGACTGTGGCAGTATGGGGGAGGGAGAGCATCAGGATAAGTAGCTAATGTATGTGGGGCTTAATACCTAGGTGATGGGTTGATAGGTGTAGCAAACCCTGATGGCACAGTTTACCTATATAACAAATCTGCTTGTCCTTTACATGTATCCCTGAACTGAAAATTAAATTAAAAAAAGAAAGAAAAGTGGAAAAATAGTAAATTTCTTTATATATATATGTACATATATATTTATAATTTTTTGTGTGCTTTCATATCAAACTCTATTCTATCTCCTTCAAAGTTCCCCAATACCTTTGAGATAGACAGGACGGGTATTTGTACGCCAATCATAAAACTGAAGAAGTATGCTCAGAAAGGCTGAGCAGCTGGCCAAAACCACATAAGTGCATATATGTGCATGTGTGTGTGTGTGTGTGTGTGTGTGTGTGTGTGTGTGTGTGTATGTGTATATATATACAAAATTAGTAAATCTCTATTATAGTAATGGTAATAGTATATATATACACACACACATATATGTATGTACATATATATACACCACACACACACACACACACACACACACACACACACATATATATATATATATATAGAGAGAGAGAGAGAGAGAGAGAGAGATTTACTATAGAGAGAGAGATTTACTCCACATGGTTGTGGAGTCAGAGAAGTCCAAGATCTGCAGCTGGCAAGCTAGAGACCTAGGAGAGCTGACAGTAAAGTTCCAGTCGCAGTCCAAAGGCTTGAGAACTAGAAGATTCAATGGGTAAATTCCAGTCTGAGCCTGAGTCTGAAGGCAGGAGAAGACCCATGCCCCTTGCTTGAAGATAGACAGAGAGAGAATTATTTCTTACTCAGTCTTTTATTCTATTCAGGCTTTCAATGGATTGTATAAGGACTGCCCATGCTGGGGAGGGCAATCAGCTTTACTCAGTCTACTGATTCTAATGTTAATCTCATCCAGATACACCCTCACAGACACACCCAAATTAATGTTTAATCAAATATCTGGTCATGTCATGGCCCAGCCAAGTTGGCACATTAAAATTAACCATCATGCCCTGAGTGGATTGAGATTACACAAACTGACAGAAAATAGATTACTGTCACCGTGCGGAAAGGGTGCACAGGATAAAAATTGAGTTAAAGTATTAAAAAATTGAGCTATATTTCTTGCAGATCTGAGTCAATAACCTGAGTTCACTTACCTGTTCTTCAAATTACTCTTCTAAGGCCCACTTGAAAGCTATGTTTTTCCTGAAGACTTTCTAAACTTTCATAAAAGTAAATATTCTCCTCTTCCTCTTCCATGATACTGCCTCTCTCTACAGGTATTGTGGCTTCTTGTAGCCATCTCTGTATCCCACAAAGCACCCAGCACATAATCTTGCACAAGACAGGAGCTCAGTAAATGCTTTTAAATAAACAAATAATCTGAAGAACTCTTATTTTAAGATAGTTTAAAGATCTTAAGAAAGAAGTTAGAGGGTGAGGGAAGGAAGCACAGGAAGAAGAGTGTCTATTGGGAAGAAGACTGGGGCCCCAGATCTTAGTCTGAGAGCCACCACTAAGCACCTATGTGGTCTTGGCCACTTGCTCAGCCTTTCTGAGCATGTTTCCTCAGTTTTATGATTGGCATATGAACACTTGTCCTGCCTATCTCAAAGACACTCAGAGCTTTGAAGGAGATAGAATAGAGTTTGATATGAAAGCTCACGAAAAAATCATAAAAAGGCTCTAAACTGTATGGTTGATTTTTTGTTGTTGTTTTTGGTGTGGTTTCATAGGCATATGTGCAGTGTCCATAGATTATCAATTCCTTGAGATCGGGAACCCTGGGCCTTGAATATTCCTCTTAGTTCCAAAAACAAGACTGTGGCCCGGGTTTTGATGCCTATCTGCCCACCTGAGTATGCACTGCTGTGAGGGTTTGTTGAGTTTAAAAGGGACTAATGATCCGCAAACCTCAAGAACTATGTCTTGTCATTACATAAGTAAGAAAACTGCTGAGGGTAATGGCTTCCAGCTCCATCCATGTGTCTGCAAAGGACATGATCTTGTTTCTTTTTATGGCTGCATTGTATACGATGGTGTGTATGTACCACATTTTCTTTATTCAGTCTATCACTGATGAGCATTTGCGTTGATTCCATGCCTTTGCCATCGTAAATTATGCTTCAGTGAACATATGTGTGCATGTATCTTTGTAACAGAATGATTTATATTCCTTTGGGTATATACCCAGAAATGGGGTTTTTGGGTCAATCAAATGGTATTCCTTGTTCTAGATCTTTGAGGAATTGCCACACTGTCATCCACAATGGTTGAACTAATTTACATTGACACCAACCATGTAAAAGTGTTCCTGTTTGTCCACAGCCTCACGAGAGTCTGTTGTTTCTTGACTTTTCAGTAATCGTCATTCTGACTGGCTTTCTAACACAGGAACATAAAGCCAAACACTGCATATTCTCACTTATAAGTGGGAGCTGAAAAATGAGAACACATGGACACAGGGAGGAGAACAGCACACACTGGGGCCTGTGGTAGTGTGTGGGGTGGGGGGTAGAGCATCAGGATAAATAGCTAATGTATGTGGGGCTTAATACCTAGGTGGTGGGTTGATAGGTGCAGCAAACCATGATGGCCCACGTTTACCTATGTAACAAACCTGCACATCCTGCACTTGTATCCCAGAACTTAAAATAAAATTAAATAAAATTCAAAAAAAGAAAACTGCAAAACTAGTTTAGTGAAAGGAAGTAAAAGTGGAAACTCCTCCATAGGGCCTCTGGAAAAGGCAAAGTATAGAACATTCACTGTGTGCAAGGTCCTGTCCTCAGTGCTGGTGGGACAAAAAGATGCATTAAGAATCCAGGCCAGGCGCGGTGGCTCACGCCTGTAATCCCAGCACTTTGGGAGGCCGAGGCGGGTGGATCACGAGGTCAGGAGATCGAGACCATCCTGGCTAGCATGGTGAAACGCCGTCTCTACTAAAAATATAAAAAATTAGACGGGCGCGGTGGCGGGCGCCTGTAGTCCCAGCTACTCGGGAGGCTGAGGCAGGAGAATGGCATGAACCCGGGAGGCGGAGCTTGCAGTGAGCGGAGATTGCACCACTGCACTCCAGCCTGGGTGACAGAGCGAGACTCCATCTCAAAAAAAAAAAAAAAAAAAAAAATCCAAACCTTGCCATTTCTGCAGCAGTTGAGCACCTGCAGCATGCTGGGCAGTGTGCTTTTCCTATGTTAATGTAAGTAGCTCTCACAACATCCCTATGTAGTAAGGGTTGTTATCCTTGTTTTGCAAGTGAGGACACTTGGAAAGTGACAGAGTTGAAATAACTTATCCAGCAAATGCCTTGTAAAACTGGGATTCAAACTGTTGTCTCAGTTCAAAGCACTTGCTTTTTCCATTATATTATATGAAGTATAAATCAGGTTTATAATTTAGAATTTTGCACAAGCCTCAATTTTTTTTCCTTAAAATGAAGAATAATAGAAAAAAAAGAGAAGGCATTCTGAGAGATGAATTCTGTTAAATGACACTCTTAGAAATTACTGTGCTATGGAGTACTAGTTCATTGTCAGACTGTAGTTTTTAATTTTCCATGAAGATTGCTTTCATTTATAATCAATTTGTCCTAATATACTTTCCTCTCTCTTTAGTGAATATTGCCAAATATTTGCAACAATCCCCCAGATATTTTGCACTAACCAAGAACTTGGTTGTTCTTATCATTTTAAATGATTAAATTAAAATTACTCCCCAAAGGGTTAGGACTCTGAAAACAAAACATACCATTTTGTTGGTTTGGGGCACATAAATGAATCTACATAGAAAAGAAGAGGTCAAATTAATATAATTGTCATGACCCCTACTCTCCATGGACTTGGGCTTGGGGGTTTGGGCAGCATGCAGCCTGCTTAAAAAAGGCTCCTTGCCTTTGGGTAAGAAAAAAGAATTAGGAACTGGGAAAAGAAAGTAATACAAAGGAAGGAAGAAAAAAATGAGTTTTAGGAAAAGGAGGAAAGGTAATTGGTAATCCTAACTTTAAATCATCAAACATTTTGGGAGCTACAGAATGTTTAATAAAAATATGTTTCCTGAAATATAAAGTTGATATAACATCACATGAATATGTCATTCAATTTACAAGTATTTTATGAGCCTCTTGTCAGTGTCCAGTAATGTTTTTATTCTGGTAAACATTACTTATTTTCTTTTTCCTGGTGATCGCTCAAAATTAACTGATATTTAATTGAGCCAGCCAGTGAATTCACAAACATTTAAGGAGCACACACTATATAAAACACTGTTTTGAGTGCTGAGGAGAGAAAAAGCTGCATTAAGAATCTCATCCTGGTCCTCATGGAGTTACTAGTTTTACAAAGGATCTAACAATTATACAAGATAGGTGCATACCAGTCATAAAATGTATTGGTGTCTCAAAGGAGAGATTATTATTTGTGGAATCTGGTGAAACTTCCTGCAGGAGGTGATATTAAATGATTATTTATGGAACACTAGCAGGGGGGTACTTTCTGGGTAAAGATAATGTAGATCTGGAAAGTAAAGAGCATGTGTGAGAACCCAAGATTTGTTTGGCTGGAGGAAATGATGATTGAAGGCAGTAGTCCGAGAGAAACAGGGAAAGGCTGGCTGTGGTCTGATTGCAGAGTGTTTTTAATGCCAGGGATAGCAGTCAGAGTTTGATCAGAAAAGGAGAACCATTACAAATATTATAGAATAATGATGTATTACAGGAAATAGACCTTACATAATTGTGGGAGGAGCTGGAAATTTTGGCTTTCTATTGTTGTGTAACAAACCATCTCAAAAGTTAGTTGTTTAAAAAGACAACCATTTTACCTGCTTATGATTCCATGAGTTGTTTGGGGCTCAGCTGGGTGGTTCTTCTGTGGGTCTTACTGGGATCTCTTACATGGCTGTAGTCAGATTGTGGCTAGATGGCAATGTCCAAATGGTTTCACTCACTTATCTTTTGTTTAACAGGGATGTCTGGGAGGCTGTGACTCCATCCTTCCCCCTAACCCCTTTATCTCTCTACTTTGGTCTTTCATGTGTCTAGTTTAGATGCTTTACATAGTGGCTGGATGTCAAGAGCAAGCATTTCAACAGAATAAGCCTTCATGTTCAAATGCACGTCAAGGCTTGCTATGTCCCATTCATTGGTCAGGCCTAGAGTCAGTGTAGAAGAAGATCACACAAGGACATGAATACTGAGAGGTGTGGTTCCCTGGGGGCCATAATAGTAATCATCTAACTACACTATGCTAAGGGATTAGAAAATTTTTCAGAAAGTAATAGAGAGCTATTAAAATTTTTGTAGAGGAAAGTGATGTATTAGTCTTTAGGAAGATTAATTTGTTAATATTGTTATAGGATGGTGTGAAGAAACACATGAGGCAAAGAGATCAATTAAAGATTATTACAAATAGTCAAGGTGAAAGGAATGAGGGGTGGGAATGTGGTATGTCCGTCAACTGCTTAAATTCTTTCAGATCCATTCCTCTCTCTTCCCCTAATTAAAGGGAGTTAATTATTGCAGTCTGTGTTTCCCAGGCTCCACATTGGGTGTCAGCTGGATTCCTGCTGGTATGGCCAATGAGAGGCTCTGGTGGAAGGATGGAGGGAGGAGAAAGAAGCCAGGGTAATTCTCTTTCACTCCCTGTCCCTCAGGTGATGCTTCTGGCAGCAGTGATAAATTCGGCTCCAGCTTTGGTAATCCTATCTTCCATTTTCTTTCTCCAGGGTAGGGCAGGTAGAATTTACTGTCAAACTAATTTCTGGTTTGCCTCTCTATCCCTTGTTTGGTTTCTTGGTTCTTCTACCATCTGTGCAGGTAAAATTCTATATTTAAATTCCTCTATTTTAAGTAATCAGTTTCTGTTTTTATTGTTCAAACCTGGCTGATAAAATTCCTGGCTGAAATCTGGAATAGTAAAGAGGAAGCAAGAAAGTAACACACAGGACTTGGTAAATAATTGGAGGGTTGTGTGTTTTTTAATAGGAGATATTAAACGTAAGTTGGAGTTTTGAAATCTGGGTAACTGAAAGAATGGTAGTATTGATACAGGAGGGGGACAGGGAAGTGCTGGGTAGAGAAAGGCGGGTTCATGGCTATGGCTCCACCCTCAGCCCTGTGCCCACAGACCTAGGTGAGGACAGGCACTACTGCCTTTGCATCCAAATGTTGTATTTCCCAAGACCACCCTGGCTTGCCCCATCCTGTGCCTTTAAAAACCGTGGGACCCTAGGGGGCACATACACAAGTGGCTGGATGTTGAGAGGAACACACCAGCAGAAGAAGACACAAGGGGCTGGATGTCAAGAGGAACGCACTGGTGTAAGAGCACACTGACAGGCACCAGCCAGCTGTCAGACCATCAACTGGTAGAACAGCACGGAGTTTTACCAGGGTGGCCAGAGGAGAGCCCAGCCTCTGAGTGGCCTGACTCCAGTGGAAAACCACCTTTCTGCTCCATCTCCCTTCTGCTGAGAGCTACTTCCACTCAATAAAACCTTGCACTCATTCTCCAAGCCCACATGTGATCCAATTCTTCTGGTACACCAAGGCAAGAAACCTCGGGATACAGAAAGCCCTCTGTCCTTGTGATAAGGCAGGGGGTCTAATTGAGCTGACTAACACATGTGGCCTACAGACAGCAAAACTAAAAGAGCACCCGTAACACCCACCCACTGGGGCTTCAAGAGCTGTAAACATTCGCCCCTAGACACTGCCATGGGATTGGAGCCCCACAGCCTGCCTGTCTATATGCTCCCCCTAGAGGTTTGAGCAGTGGGGCACTGAAGAAGTGAGCCACACCCCCATCACACACCCTGTGAGGGGAATAAGGGAACTTTTCCCATTTCAGTATAAGTAAAGAAATAGAACAATGAGGAGGAGAAGCAACCTTTGAGGAAAAAGCAATGAGTTCAGTTTTGGACATATCAGATGTTTTGGATGGTGGGTTATTCAGATGATAATGAACACTAGGCAGTTGGGAGAGAGGTCAGGGGCACGAGTTTAGATTTTGGTACCATATGAATGGAAGTGGTTGTTGAGGTTATGAAAGCTTATGAGATTGCCAGGAGAATAGGTAGGAAAAACAGAATTTAGGAATTACTGATATACAGGGAGGATGAGAGTGAATAAGAGCCAAAGAAGAAGAGTTTGGGGAGATAGAAGTAGAATAACAAAATGTATCATTACAAAGCCAATGAGAGAATTTGAGAAAGATGGAGGTGTTTTAGTTTTCTGCGGCTGCCATAACAAATTATCACAAACTTAGTTACAGGAAAGGGGTCCTGATCCACATGCCAAGAGAAGGTTCTTGGATCTCATGCAAGAAAAAATTCCAGGCAAATCCATATAGTAAAGTGAAAGCAAGTTTATTAGGAAAGCAAAGGAATAAAATAATGGCTACTCCATAGACAGAGCAGCCCCAAGGGCTGCTGGTTGCCCATTTTTATGGCTATTTCTTGATGATATGCTAAACAAGGGGCGGATTATTCGTTCCTCCCCTTTTTAGACCATATAGGGTAACTTCCTGACGTTGTCATGGCATTTGTAAACTGTCATGGTGCTGGTGAGAGTGTAGCAGTGAGGATGACCAGAGGTTATTCTCATTGCCCTTTTGGTTTTGGTGGGTTTTAGCCAGCTTCTTTACTGCAACCTGTTTTATCAGCAAAGTCTTTATGTCCTGTATCTTGTGCTGACCTCCTATCTCATCTTGTGATTTACAATACCTTAACCATCTGGGAAGGCAGCTCAGTTAGTCCCAGCCTCATTTTACCCAGCCCCTACTTAAGATAGAGTTGCTCTGGTTTACACACCTTTGACATTTCCCCACTCCCTTTTACAGGAGAACCCTCAATCCTAAGGGTTGCAGAGGCACAAAGATCCATCTTCTGTAAATTCTTCAGGCTGAATAGGGGCAATTATATTCCTGCCTAACTGTGAGGGTCTCTTGTGTTAAGGGTAGAAAGGAGATCAGTCAGAAAGCATCAGTATGGCAAGGGCCATTCATAACTCTGAGTTTAACAAAAGGTGATACCTGGAAGATTAATAAGTGTTTAGTTTAATACAACATTGAGTAAGCTTATCCTCATTCCTACACAAAGGGTACAACAGCAATATATTCCACAACAGTAATGCAAAATAAGCAAAATTATTCCAAGTAAACTAAATTAGAAGACTGTCCATGACCTGAGCAAATGTTGAAACCAAGCTCATAAGGGGTTGCTATATGATTCCAATATGTGCCTAGGATTAGAATACTGATCCAGATATTTACAATAGCCACCCCTCTTGTTTTTTCTGAGTAGAACTCAGAGATCACTGGTTGGTTCACAGGAATAAGCAAGATTGGCCTAAATTGCAGAAACAAACTTAACAACAACTGTTGAGACTAGAATTTAGTAACAAGTGTACCATAGCTCTTGAAACATAACTTTTCTCTCTCTAGTTTCCCATTTTTACTAAAGACAAATAATGGTAAGACTGATTTGCTTTATTATACTTGGCCTGATTATTTGTATAAAGTGCAGCAAGAAGACTTATTTTTTCACATAGCTCTTTTTAAATTGGCTTTGATGGAACTCTGTTCCATAGAAAGAATCTTAGATAAGACTTTTTTAGAGCTGAGCCCTGCCACGGGTTTCTACCCTCAAATACCTATGACTTGAGTAAATTCCTCTCTTCTCGGGGTCCCAACGTAACTTGGGGCTCCTGGGCCTATGAGAAACTAACATTCTTTACATACCACAGGTTAGAAACCCTGTACGGGGACTGTGGCAACAAGGTGTGAGGCATTTCCCCAAGGGGCTTTTATTGGCTTTACAGGTCAGGTTTGATTCCTTACAGGAAAGCATGCCATTCCAGTCAAAGCCTTGGTACAATAACCAATTTCTCCAATTATGTCCTGTTGCAAAAGAAAACAGATTCTTATTGCACTTATGCAAATAACTATATTGCCATAAATTAAGAATATTCACAAATAGTTGCCAAATTTCAGAGAAATCAGTTAGAGAGAAACAAATATGCTCCAAATTTTGTTCACAGCAGTATACTTTACTCAATTGTTAAAATCTGTAAATAGCTCAAAAAAAAAGTTTTCTTGACCCTTTAAAGTAAACAAAGGATCGGCAACGTTTTAAGCAAAAAGTTAAAGATTACCTTAGTCTTCTATTGGTTCAGTCAATTCAGTTAACTCCTGTTCTGCTTGATATTCATGAACATTCCAGCTCTCTATGAGAGGTTTTTCCTCTATTTTCCTCTATTCTGATTTCACAATTTCCAAAGTTATACAAAACCTGCATTTAAGTGCACCTCTTAAAGTCCTACAGTTGATTATAAAACCACCTTCTAAAGTGGACCAAAATGAGACAATTTTTTATAAATGACAAAATGTCTTAGGACAGCCACAGTTAAAAACATGATTGGCCAATGAATTTGGTTACCTCTCTGGCATACAATGATCTTATGTAACAATTATAATTATTGGGCCGGGCGCAGTGGCTCATGCCTGTAATCCCAGCACTTTGGGAGGCCGAGGCGGGCAGATCATGAGGTCAGGTGATCGAGACCATTCTGGCTAACACGGTGAAACCCTGTCTCTACTAAAAATGCAAAAAAATTAGCTGGGTTTGGTGGCGGGCACCTGTAGTCCCAGCTACTTGGGAGGCTGAGGCAGGAGAATGATGTGAACCTGGGAGGCAGAGCTTGCAGTGAGCAGAGATCGAGCCACTGCACTCCAGTCTGGGAGACAGAGCAAGACTCCATCTCAGGAAAAAAAAAATTACAATTATTAATAACATACACTAAATCATATCAGGATTACAGGAGTTTTCCATAATTTTGGAACACATAATAACACATTTATACAAATACAGCCCAAAGAAAACCAAACACCATTTCATATTTGACAATGCATCTGTATGATTTTTTATAACAAGCCAAATTTCACCTTTACATTAGTGTACTATTAATGTTAAAACCAACTGTTAATAAAACTTTATAGGTAAATGCATTCAATCTTAATCAGGTTGACCATAAGATAAGATTTTCATAAACCTCTTATAACCCTTTACAGATTTTGTTAAAGAGCAGATCATAAGCAGGTCTTTGTTCTAAGAAAAACCTGTTGTTATTCCAATGTTTAATTTACAGAAAAACTGAATAATACCCCTTTATCTTTAGCTAATATGTTCACACACAGAATTTCTTTTACAATTAATTTTTTACAAAACTTCCACAACTTGTTTAAGCCTCTAGCTTTATTCTAACTTAAAACAATCCTTTAGCTCTTTAGGCAGAAAAAAAAAGAAAAAAAGAAAAACAAAAACAAAAAAGAAAATCCACATTCCCATGGCTTTTTATAATCTTTTACCAAAAACACATTTCACTTTCTTTACACACCTTGCATGTAAAACTGTTTCTTCAGTAGTCTCAAATACATGTTAGAATGTTAACTTTTAGCAACTTTTACTTTTTGTGAAAAACCTGGCTAGTAAGCAATTTTAATTATGTACCAGGTGTGGAGCCCAGGACCCAGACAGAAGTGCAGATAAGGTCTGACTTTCTAGCATAGCTAGGGGGCGTGGCTAACTCCACATACCCCATGTCCCCAGGCCTTATCTAGACTCTAATGCTCCAAATTAGGTAAACTGAACAATTTTCAAAAGTCGAGGAAGCAGTTTATGACCTTGAAGCATTTTGCAAACATAATATATGACCTCCGTAATTTAGACCAAATGTTCACATTTTAAAAGATATTTTTATTTCACCAGTGACCTTTAAAACTATATTTCCCAAAGATTACTTAAGTCACATGAACTAAAAGGCATTACACTTTTTACTTTTCTAACAAAATATTTGATTTAAGCTTTTATTATTTTTAAGTCAACTAGTTAACACTCTTTCATATATACACATCACACACACAACACATTTTATAAATACACAGACAGAAGAAGATAAAGGGCTCCTCCTCTAAGCTGGGAATTGAACCCTGAACCCAGGCCACCATCGTGAAAAGAGAAAGCATGGCCACATAGTTACAAGGCCAAGCTCCGAAGGACATACAAGACAAGAGTTAAACCTCATCCAGTTTTTTCAGGGTCCTGCAATGAAGTTTATAACTGACCAGTTTGCTGGGCCATCTTAAAAATCAGGCTTACAGGTGTCCTCATCCTGTATTCTATCCCAAGGTATCCCTTTTGATGACAGAACAATTCAGAAAGACACACAAAGCACACCAAATTCACTACAGCTTAAGACTAGTCCCACAAATCCTTCTTTCCATGAATCAAAACTTCAGACAGGAGATAAACAGTGATTTTTATAATTCATTCAACTGGTTTGCACAGAGGAAGAAAGGATGGGTTTGCCTGAGGCAGGATAGGAAAGAAGAAGTGCTCTGGGAGGCCAGAGAAAGACCCACCCATTGCAGTGACACTGAAAAGTTCAGGCGGACACTTTTCTGTTGTGAAGGGATCTTTTCCAGCAGTCCCATCAGGTCTCAAATTTTTCCTTTTAGGCAAGAAAAAGCTCCCCATGTCCCACGATTCTGTACTTGCCTAATCTTGTCACCCACAGCCCCCAGCAAAGAGTATAAGACAGATTAATTCAAAGAGAATAGCAGTTAACATCTTGTCATGTCAAACCAGTCCTTAGACAAAAGGGACTTACCAAGAGGGGCCTTTAACCCCCTAAATCTTAGAAGGGACAGTAACTCTTCTAAGTTGGGCCTCTAACCCAAGATCTGTCAAGTGTCCTTTGCTTTTTACTAAGAGGGGCCTGCAACCTACACTGTCTTAGGAGAGACTCTAACTCCTCTAAATCGGGCCTCCAGCCCAATCCCATCTTTTACCTGGGTATATGCACCCCACTTACCCAAAGTCATCCAATTAGTGCTGCAGCCTATTTCCTGTATATCAGGGGTCTCCTCAGTATTGTCCCTTCCATGATTCACCAGAAAGATGTTATTGAACCCCATCACTTACCCAAAGTTAGCCTTTGGGTCAGGGGTTTCCACACTGTAGTTCCTTCTGTGGTCACCAGAAAGATGTTACAAGAAAGGGGTCCTGATCCAGACTCCAAGAAATGGTTCTTGGATCTCATGCAAGAAAGAATTCAGGGCATGTCCACAGAATAAAGTGAGAGCAAATTTATTAGGAAAGTAAAGGAATAAAATAATGGCTATTCCATAGACAGAGCAGCCCCAAGGACTGCTGGTTGCCCATTTTCATGGCTATTTGTTGATAATATGCTAAACAAGGGGCAGATTATTCATTACTTCCTTTTTTAGACCATACGAGTAACTTCCTGATGTTGCCGTGGCATTTGTAAACTGTCATGGCGCTGGTGGGAATGTAGCAGTGAGGATGAAGAAAGGTTATTCTCATTGTCATTTTGGTTTTGGTGGGTTTTAGCCAGCTTCTTTACTGCAACCTGTTTTCTCAGCAAGGTCTCTATGACCTTATCTTGTGCTGACCTCTTGTCTCATCCTGTGATTTAGAATGTCTTAACCATCTGGGAATGCAGTCCAGTAGGTCTCAGCCTCATTTTACCCAGCCCCTACTTAAGATAGAGTTGCTCTGGTTTACATGTCTCTGACAACTTGGGGCTTAAACAACAGGCATTTATTTAATCTTCAGTTAAGTCATAATTCTGGCATGGGTGTCATCTGCCTAAAATCAAGATATCACCAAGCTGCTTTTTTTTTTTTTTTTTTTTTTTTTTTTTTTTTTTGAGGCTCTGGAGAAGAGTCTTCTTCATTGCTCCTTAGAGTTGGCACAATTCACTTTCTTGTGGTTGTGGGGCCAAGGTCCCATTTCCTTGCTGGCTGTTGCCAGAGAATCCTTCCCAGATTCTAGAGGCTTACTGCATTTTTTGGTTGTGGTTTCTTCTCCATTTTCAAAGCCAGCAACTCTGGGATTAGTTTGTATCACATTTCAAATCTCTCTTTTTTCTTCAATCATATCTCTGTTACTGATGCTAGACTTAAAAGGGCTCATGTGATTACATTGTACCCACCTGGATTATCCATGAAACCCTCTAACTCATGAGCTACAACCTCAATCACATCTGCCAAGTCTCTTTTTCCATGTAATGTAACATATTCACAGGACCCAGGGATTAAGACTTGGGCATATTTGGGGAGTTGTTATTCTTCCTACCACAGAAGATAAATCCTTAACTGTCATGCAATTCAAAGACCAAATAGAATGAGAAATAAAATAATTTAGGATTTGGTGATTTGGAGTCCATAGGTGCTCTCTGGAATAAATACTTCCATGAATTGATGAGAGAAGAGGACAGCTTGCTGGGCTTAATGGAGCATGAGGGTAGACAGGAGGTGAAATGCAGTAGGCAGAGCTGTGGGGTAGTTGTGAGGTGTTATATATATATATATATATATATATATATATATATATATATATATATATATATATATATATATAAAATTATGCTCAGCACAGTGACTTGCAGGTAGCCAGAACTCAGTCCTTGTTTACCAAGTGCACACCTCTCTCTCTAGTAGTTTGGTGATAAAGTGAAGGAACACAGGTGCATACTTAGAGACTAAAGGAAATCCCTAGAGAAATAGAAATAAAAGCATGGGTAGAGGAGGGGGCTATTGAACAATAGCTATTGGGGTTATTTAGGAGGCAGAAATGCATGGGCCCAAGTCAAGTTGAAGGATTAATCTTAAAAAAGAGAAGAAATCTTTGTACTGAATGCAAGAAGGAAGAAGAGGATATACAAAAACTAGCATTTAAAAGTAAAAAGGAGAGGAAGTGGTGTCTTAGGCTACCTAGGTTGCTAAAACAGAATACCTGAGGCTTGATAATTTATAAAGGAAAGGGGTTTATTTGGATCACAGTTCTGTAGGCTGTACAAGGAGCATGGGCACCAGCATTTGCTTCTGGTGAGATCTTCAGGCTGCTTCCACTCATGGTGGAGGGGGAAGGGGAACCAGCATGCAGAGAACACATGGCAAGGGAGAAGAAGTGAGAGAGAGCAGAGGAAGGTGCTAGGCTCTTTTTAACAACCAGCTCTTGCTTTGGGGAGGGGGTGATCTCTCATGGGAATTAATAGAGCAAGAACTTGCTCATTACCTGGAGGAAGACAACAAGTTATTCATGAGAGATCTTTCCCTATGACTCAAACACCTCCCACATCAGGGATCAGATTTCAACATGAGACTTGGTAGGGCCAAAGAAACCAAATCCAAACCAAAGCAGATGGAGATGACTATGTCAGAGACACCTCAATCTTTGAAGGAGGATATGTGCTTCTTTGCATGTGTCCATGAGGTTTGTGATGGGTGGGACTGAGGAGATAGTAACTTGAACTGAAAAACTACCAGAACTTTATTTTTTTCCTCCTGCAAATTGACTTCATTTTTTCCCTAATTCTCCATCACATAGCTGGCAGAAGGTCACCAACTCACACCTCTCAAGTTTTCAACTTTTTCACTCAAAAACCAGGTCAGACTGACTAACTCCTAATTCTAAATTTTTCAGAAGAATTAATTTGACAGGCTTATTTTGTTTCAGATGTCCCTTTTAAATTCAATTACCCGTGTCTGAGAGGAGCCCAAATCTGAGAGCAGAGAAGGAGGTGACAGGTACTTCAGTGGGGTGAGGTACTGACAGGATAGCTTTACTGAGTACAATGAAACCACAAGCATAGCAGCAGGAGTGGATGAATGGCTCATGGCTGCAATAACAGCATGAATTGTGGTTAGATTATTACTAGAGCTGGGGTTCAGGGGTTTATTCTAAGGGTTACTATGGATCAGTGAACAGAAGAAAGCATGAAAGGCTGTTATTAAAAGGACTATTTCTATGTCAAACTTTTTTTTTTTTAAAAAGAAAGGATAACAAAACAAACAAACAAAAAACACAAAAATACCACGGAAAGGAGGAGTTTGAATGAAGGATATGGAAAAGGGAAGGCAGTCATTTGGAGCTAGGCATTGTGCCAGTTTGGCTAACCTCCATGACCACAACAGACATCTTCTTTCTTGTAGTGGGTAGTATTCACCCAGGATATTCCAACTGGGACTAGGATAGAATGTTCCAGAAGCTTAAAGCCTTCCTGACATGAAGCTTTCTTCCAGGAATTTAGTGACAGTATAATGTTGAATAGAAGTGGTGGAAGTGGGAATCTTTGTCTTATTCCAGTTCTTAGAGGAAAAGCTTTCATGTGTTCACCATTGAGCATGATATTTGCCAGGGACTTTTGATACATAGTCTTTATTATGCTGAGGTAGTTTTTTCTTCAGTTTTTACCATAAAAGGGGGTGTCAAATCCAAAAGTTCCAAACAGATTAAAATAATGCCAGGACTTAGTGTGGTTTTGCTCAATTATTTTCTTTCCTTCAAGTAACATGATTATCATTGTTATTAAATCAATTGTATCACGTGTGAAGAAGCCAATTTTCAGAAACTAAATTGCCTCATGTGTTTTTTCCAGATCTAAGTCATTGAAGACCGAAGTTCTGAAGGTAGTACCAAAAAGGCAGTTTTAAATACGTAAATCGTTCATTTAGATGTGTAGACAAGATAATTGAAGGCACATGCACTCTGCACAGTTACTATGTTCCATTTTCATGGGGCATGTATCAGATCTACTTGAATATTGAGGGCATATCATTGTGGGTACACCTGTTACATTCATCTTTAGAAACATAGTCACAAATGGGTTGAAGCTCTTTCATGAATGAAGGGCAAGGAAGAAACTCTTATTTTAGAAGTAATACCACTTAAATATTTATGATGAGTTTCAAATCACTGAGAATATTACTTCTTAATGAGAACATCAATAGGCCCACAGCTAGAATGAGGTGAAAGCTGCTGCTAGTCTTCTAATGCATCAATTTAAATGGTCCCACTGATACAAGCCCACACTCGACTTTCTTTTTTATGCATTACCAAGAAGACGAAATAAATCTCAGCATGAAATTTGCTGGAGCAATATAATTCACCTCAATGGTATCTCTGCTATCCTGCATTTCATTTTTTTCCTAAGAGTCTGCTACATCAACCCACACTGATGGTTTTTGACTAGAAAGTCAAGAATTTAATGGATTTAACTTCTTCTCATAGAAAATTGTTCAACTGGAAACTTTTTTGTGCCTAACATTTTACTCTCAATTGCTAAAGACATTGCCTACCAGTGTTATAATCATATATGAATTCAAAGCCAATTTAAGATCAAGTATCCATCTGTTTATAGGTATGTTGTTAAGTATATATAGTTTGCCTTAAGTTGATAAGATTCCTCCTTAAATAGAGTCCTGCCCATCATTTTTTCTTGTCATAATAACTTAAAGTTTTATTTACTGAAGCCCATACAATTGACATTTAAAAGAAATAAGGACATTACACTTTCCTCCTTTTCTGACATTATCTAGAGCAGTTCTATTCATTAGTACTTTCTGTGGTGAGAGAAATGTTCTATATTTGTGCTGTCTAACATCTAACATGGTAGCCATGAGCCACATGTGGCCACTAAGTGCTTAAAATGTGGCTAGCATGTCTAAGGAACTGAGTTTCTAATTTTATTTAATTTTAATTCGTTTAAATTTAAATTTAAATTGCTACATGTGACTCTTATCTCCCATATTGGCCAGAACAGATGTAGAATATTTTCATCATTGCAGAAAGTTCTATTGGACAATTCTGTTCAAGAGATATAAAATTTTTCAAGAGTAGGGAGCAGGTAGTCTTCTCTGTAAATCTCAGCTCCTAATGTACCATGGAGAATGCAACTGCACTTGATAAACACTTACTGCTTGATCAACTTCTTTATAGGAAAGCCTACTTCTCATTTCTGGCCTTTGAATCATTACAAAATCTACCTTTTCTATATTTTTTCTATATTTTTCTTTCTCAGTTCTTAGCCAGCAATTAGAGCTAGTTACAACCACACAGTATGATGCCTTTGCTGGTTTTCTCTGCCGCACTCCTGATAGATGTAGGTAACTAAAAAACAAAAACCAAAACAACAGATTGTGTTTCTCTGCTGTATTTATCAAATAGGATATAATATTTTAATCAGAGTACATAAATGAGAGTAAGATTTAAAGAAAATCTAATACAGGTATAATGAAGTACCTCTCAGTAAACTTTATATGTGATGGATCATGGCATAATCTAATTCTAGGTTTTTTTCAGGGTATGGTAATTGGAATGAAATTCCCCTGAATTGGTATGGGTTTCACAATTCTGTGTGCTTCAGTTATTCAAGAAAACTTGGTATTTAAAATCTCCGAAGACAGCTTGACTAGCCTGTTATTTGTTCAGCACACATGGTTTTCTCTCTGGAAACAGTGGAAATGTACTTTTCTCCACACAGAAAAGGGAGTTGGAAGGAAATGAAAGCAAATCATGGTCTTCTGCTATGGTTATGTGGACCTATAGACAAGATTCAATCATTGTTCTTCTTTATAACCGTACTATGTACTGTAAAGCAGTATTGAAAAATTAACATTTATGCTTCCCACTCACATATCTTTTGAAAAGATGTGCGTCTTTAAAAAGAGGCCATTCTAGATCAGAGATCACCCTCAAAAACTACAAATTTATCAAAGGTAGATGAAAGTCAATGAGAATAACTTTCTATCCACTATCCAGTTGTTTAGAGCAAGAACTCTAAAAAGTCTGAATTTGAATCCCATATTAGTAAAAGTGTAACCTTGGGAAAATTATTTATTGCCTCTGTGCCTCAGTTTGGTCACCATTAAAATGAGGCTATTAATAATGCATAATAATAGCTCACATGACAAAAGGCTTATCGTTAGTGCTCAAAAACCCATTATTATTACTACTATATTATTATTATTACCTTACTGGCTACACTTGAAAAGGCTATCCTTAGAACACATTAATTAGACAGAGTCAGGTAAATTGCCAACTAAGAGTGGACCATTAGGCTGTTTAACACAGACTAGAGAAGTAACATTACTGCAATAAGCAAGGAGAGATAATCAGTGAAATCCTGTTTATGAGAGAAATATTTCTGTGTGTCCAGGTCATGTCTTCCAATGCCTTCTCAGTGTAATTCTTTGTTGTGGAAAACTTTTCTGTTGTGCATTCCATCTGTGGGTGCTCATTTCTACCTTTCCTCCCAACTGCATTTCCTTAATCAGGGATTGAGCTGAAGATTTGCACTAGGAAGTCTGAGGTGGAAGGACAAAGATGACCTGTGATGTTGAGGGAGAACAAAGGCCAAGACAAAGATGCAGGTTATTTCAGGTCTGGCCCCCTAGCTTCTGCATTTCTTTATTTTTCATATCCAGGGTTACATAAACACATCAGGCATCTTAGACTTATCCCTAGTTCCAGGTGAAGGAGAAATGAAAATCTCTCCAGATTCACCTTGTAAGGCCTTGACAGGAGGTACTAACCACCTTGCTAATCTAACCCTCATGATATGCCTCCAATTTGGAAAGTAAATTTCTGGTTAGTTGCTTTTACCATAGAGCCTCTTCTTCCTTTCTCTCTTAATTAGAGTTTTGGCCTTGATTTCTTAAATGCCTTGCTGACATGAAGCTTTCTTCCAGGAATTTAGTGACAATATAATGTTGAATAGAAGTGGTGGAAGTGGGAATCCTTGTCTTGTTCCAGTTCTTAGAGGAAAAGCTTTCATCTGTTCACCATTAAGCATGATACTTGCCATGGACTTTTCATAAATGCTCTTTATTATAATGAGATAGTTTTTCTTCAGTTTTTACCATAAAAGGGGGTGTTGCGTTTTATAAAAACCCTTTTTTTGCATCAATTGAGATGCTCATGTGTTTTTTTCCTTTATTCTGTTTATGTGGGATATTATACTGATTAATATTTGTGTGTGAACCATCCTTGCATTGCAGGAATAAATCACAATTTGTCATGGTAGATAATCCTTTTAGCGTATTGTTGAGACCTGTTTGCTAGTACTTTGTTGAAGAATCATACCATTTTTGATATGGGAAAGACTGTTCTCCTATTACATATGAGGAAACTAAAACTTTAGGAGAGAAAGTGGTCTGCCCAAAGCTGTATATCTGGATGTTATTGTCAAGGTAGAGTATAAAACCTAAAATTTCTGAATACCCCTCAGGTGCTTTTTTAAATATTGTTTTGAGTTTTGAGTGATCCACAGGCTGCTTTGTGTTTTCTAATTTAATTGGCTTTGGGGTGGGGACGAGTACCTAGGCAATGAGATTTTTTCAGCTGTAACCAATATTAATCACCTCTGACATAGACATGATAACTGTGGAGAAAGACCTGAGTACTACATAAGTCAGTTGTAGATCAATAACATGGAGACACACTACCCTCAGTTATGAAGTGCAGCCTTGAGGCATAGCATTGTGGAGGGGTTACATGGAGATGGAGTGAGCATCGTAGACTTTCAGGCTGTCAAACTGGAAGAAACCTAGGCCAAATGTTTTATCCAATGAGAAAAATAAGACACCGTCATGAGGGTATAAATGGATGGATTCATTTTAATGACAGGGCAGTGTTCCTGGCCAAGTATGTTATTATCAGGTAGCAGGGGAAAATTACTAGTGCTGATGAGACAACTATTCAAAAGGCAGCACACTTTCCACTTTCATGCTGAAGGAAATCCAAGCTTGCTGGCTAATGGCTATGCTCACCGTAGGGAAATTGTCAGGGGCAAATCAGTGCAACAAAACCTACATTTCTGCATTAGTTTGTCTAAAGGTCACTGTAGTCTTTAATCCTCTACAAAGTTTTCCAAAGATGTCTTACAAAATTTCCTTAAAGAAATTTTTGTGAAATCATGACCCTGTCAAAGAAGTATCTTTACCTGCTGCTTTATTTTATCATATTTTTTTTTCTTTGAGGTGGAGTCTTGCTCTGTCGCCCAGGCTGGAGTGCAGTGGTGCGATATCGGCTCACTGCAACCTCCACCTCCCAGATTTAAGCCATTCTCCTGCCTCAGCCTCCCGAGTAGCTGAGTAGCTGGGACCACAGGTGCGCGCCACCACCCTCAGCTAATTTCTGTATTTTTAACAGAGACGGGGTTTTACCATGTTGGCCAGATTGGTCTTGATCTCTTGACCTTGTGATGCACCCGCCTCAACTTCCCAAAGTGCTGGGATTACAGGCGTGAGCCACCACACCCAGCCTATTTTATCAGAAATTTTAAGGAAGATGAAAACTTCGTACAGTAGAACTTTATGATGGACTTATAAAATTTTATTTTATAGGCTGCCATTTTGCCTTGTTCAATTGATTTACATATACTGTAGAAAGCTTTATACAATATAGTGTACAGATGTGCCATTTATAAATGATTAAATAGTGTGCTTCTGATCATTCATACAAAGAAGTTGGGTACCAGACCTCAGTTAAGAACAGAAACCAACTTTATAAGATTGCTTTTATGGGAAAAGTAAACTGAACATACTTCTCTTAGGCTTACAGGATCTGATTCAGTCAACAATCTGGTAATCAACCTAGTGAAACTACTATAAAATGCCTCTCTTAGTTTTTAATAAGAAACAGGAAATATATATGTGTATACATTTCCTCCCCACTCCCCATAATATTTTCTGCTTATGTTTGAGATCCTTAGGAAAGCAAGCCTCAAGTCTTGCATTTACCGGTGAATCCAGTGACACATATTAACTGAGCATGTATTATGAATTCTATTTTGGGAGGAAGAAGACAGGTTAGAGATAAAGGTGCTTCCATTCTATAAAGGCAGAAAAGACAATTTTTTAAAATACAAGGGAGAATATGATTAACATGAAAGGAATACAATTGGAGTCCAGAGATTAAGGAACTTCAGAGTACGATTTTTGACTGCCTTTCTAGAATAAATAGTGTATAAATAAGGCTTTGAAATACTTCAGTGGGTAGATATAGGGCAGGACATTCCAGATTGAGAAAACAGCACTAAAAGAAGGTGGTAGGAAAGGGTGAGATGAGTTTGGGGAATAGTGAGTAACCCCATTTGCTAGAACATAGGGTTCACGTGGGTCAGTAAAAGATATCAGTGTAAAAAATAGGACTTTGAAAACTAAAGTCAAGCTATAGGAAGATTAAGGAGGGCCCAGTGTGTGAGGTGAATTTGTAGGAAGAGAGAAGGTAGTGGCAGGGAGGCAGCAATTCTTTAGAAAGTCATGAATAGGAGGAGAAGAGAGAGAAGGATGGATAGGGAGAGAAGGATGGATAGGAGATACCTTGCAAAGCCACAACATTAGTTAGCCAGACTGGTTCAGTCATCTGGGAGACGTGTGTTGTCAGTGGTAGGATCCTGGCAAAGTGAATGCTCCACCCAGGGCTCCGGCTTTCTTGGAGGCAGTTCCTGAGCACATCTACATTCAGAGCTGAGCACAAGGAAAGAAACTCTTCCCCTTGAACATGAACTCTTTGAAATTGGTCTGCACTACAATGGGTTGCTTCTCAGAGCAATCTCTTAAAACTGGGTATCTGCCAACTTTAAATGGAGCTCAGGCCTTAAAAGGCTCCAAGTTACAGCAAAGGTTGTACCCATGTTGTCTGCATTGAGTTTAATGTACCCTGAGAGCCCTTCCAGCTCTGTGGATGAGATGGCACCAAATCAATACAGGGTTCTGCCTGTATTCTAAACTATGAACCAAGTGGGGAGATATGAGCTTTGTAACCCCAAATGTCCTAATTACCTGCATTGACTTGCTAGGCAGTTGCAGGTTATTTACTTATTGAAACCTTCATTTCAGATGGAGAAGACCATTCGAAGACAGTGAAATATTTCACAGTAGGTCTGTTTAGGGATCCTGACTCAGCCTGATTCCTATGGAAAGTTCTACATGTTAGGCTTCTAGTAAAACAAATTAGTTGCACTAGCCTCTGTCGTCTTTTCAATAGCTGTTTTTGCTTCCAAAGTAGATTTTTCAGAATGCCTAATGAAGAGCTCAGGTAAAAATTATGGGGTTGTGTGACTATTCTTGATTTTCCCCCAGCTTATTTTTCATTTTGTTTTCACCTTCAGCGTAGGCCTACTGATGTCCCAGGGCATAGAAGTAAGAGAACTTCCCCCTACCTTTGTCTCCCAAGAGTGTTGGCTGAGCCAGGCTTCTACCTGATCATAATGGAGAATAGCTCAGCTGTCACGGCCAACTGCTCTGGCTGACAGGGAATGAAAATTCAAAGACAATTCTGAAAACAGCAAAGAGGGTTGTGGAAGGTTCTCAGTGGCAGCAGCTGTTTCTTCAGGAGAAATGAAGGGACCACTCCTTTAACAGGGGCTGTAAAATATGTCCCAACTCCCATATTTTCATTTTTCCTGCTGTCTCTGCAAAATAGGATTGCACAGGAGCTTATAATGTGAAAGGAGGAAGCCAGTGACTTTCCAGTGTCCCAGAGGAAATGACAAATTTTTCTTTCTCTTCTCAAATCTGGACAATCCTCAAATAACCTTAGCTTTATAAAGTACTTATAATGCACAAGTTATCTGGTATGTAACAAACTATTCCCCATGCAAAACAAAGGAACATGGACTTCAGTGCAGAGTGAGGAACTTTATAATATGATAAATCTTTTAATGGTGATGGTTGTTTGATGAGTTAATGAGGGAGGTAGGGGAATCTTGAAAACGTCTTTACTCAAACATCTCAGATAGATAAAAAGCCGTCTTAATATCCATTTCCTGAAATTCAAGGATATATACCACGGTTGGCAAACTATGGCATAAAAAGGCAGCCTTGGGCCAGCTGCCTTTTTTTGTGTGTATATGGTGTAAAGTTGTAATAGAACACAGCCATGCCCATATCTACATATAGTCCATAGCTGCTTTTGAACTACAATGGCAGAGTTGGACAGTTGCAACAGGGAACTTATGGTTCACAAGTCCAGTATGTACAGAGTATGGTCCCCCAGTAATAACTGTAATAATAACTTGCACTGTATAATACTTTATCACTATCTAAGGACTTTCTTGTCCATTATCTCATTTGGCATCTACACCAACTCTATGAGATAGGCAGAGAAAATGTCATTCCTATTTCACAGATAAGGAAACTAAGCCACAAGGGGATATCTTCACACTACCTGGGTACTGACTGGTGAAGAACCAGTGATGTCTAGAGAAGACCTTTAGGGGCTGTAAAAATTGAAGAGATAATGGTCCATTATGATAGGTGGGAATATTCACCCCCATTCTTCACTCCTTCCTATATCTACAGCCTATGTCATGTAACTTGACAGTTTGTCTCTCAAAAGGTGAAGTGTACTGTCCTATCTCTTGAATTTGGGCTTGGCACTTTGACTTGCTTTGTCCAGTGAGATGTTAGTAGGGAAAATTCTAGCAAGGATTTGAACTGTGCTTGTACACTGCGGCGTGCCCTCTTTTCCATGTCTGTCAGTGCCAAGAGTAGAATACTCAGTATAGGAAGCTGCAGGACAGTTCTCTGGGTAACCTTGAATCAACTCGTATCTCTTCCCTGAGCTAGATGGATGGTCCAAACAAGAGAAAAGTGTATGTAGCAGTGCCACCTGTCTGTCTCTCAGTTCTATTCTAAGAAGTAGAGCTGCTCCACCCACCCTAACCTGAAGCAGAGCTTCTTAGCTGAGTCCAGCCTAGATGAGACAAAACCTGACGGACCTATAGGTCACTGACGTTTTAAATCACTGAGTTTTGAGCTGCTTTGTTACACGGTATTTTTGTAGCAATGCTAACTGTTCCAGAGCACACTGAACTGTAGCACAAGTATAAGAAACTCTATTCTAGTTTCTGTAAAGCAGCTTCACTGTGCACTGATTACCAACTTGTCTGAGCCCAGTGAGACGGAGCACACTCATATGCAGTAAGTAGATGAGGTGGATTTTCACTTACAGTTAGGCAACATGGGGCAACAGAAGCCCAGGATTCATTGTGAGCCAGTCCCCCAAGGTTCAGAAAGCTTCCTGGGGTGGCTGGAGTCTCATCTGCACATGCCTCACTTGCACCACAGATGAGGGGCCCTCAAAAGGTAGCCTGCCCTGGGTTACATACCTTGGGGTCACATGACACACCTGGCTAAAGCATTGAAGGACATCCTATTATTAGGGGGTGACTGGAACAGAGCCCAGCCTGTTCCAGCCAGTTTCCCCTGCTGATTTTATCTTTTAAAAAATAGCAAATATTATTAATCAGTCTACCAAACATATTCTCATTTGTTTCTCTGTTTTGTTGGGTACTTGTTGCTCACTGAAGTCTGCCATTTGGATCATACGGTATTGCTCCATTGTCTACTCTCCTAGCATGAATGAGAGATTTAACAGCTCTGATTACACATAGTCATGAGAAAAGGCTCCTATGGCAAGCACAAGCCCCTCAAAAGCTGTATTATGGCTGCTCCAGTCTCCAGCTGATTTTCAGGACAAATCCACTCACTTGTCCTCTTATTAAGGACCTGCATTTTTTTCAGAACAGAGGCAGAAAGACTATTTGGACACCTCCCATCGAAAAGCAAATTCCTTTCTGGATTGGACATTTTGTATTAGTGTTGTCCCTTTTATTTGTTTCAATGGAGCCTAGGAGACCAGAGGATGCAGAAATTCCCCAGCTTGCAAATATACTCATTTCCTCAGCTTTCTTTTTGTTTCCCTCCCTACCCTTCAACCCTTTCTGTTCTTGTTTACTTTTTATCCCACAGCTTATAAATATCCAAGGCTTAAAAGAAGGGTTTTCTTGGCATGAAGTCAATTCAGACAGTAAGTGCAACATCTTGGAGAGTAATCAGGAAGGACTGGAGGCTTTGGAACCTCTGAGAAGCAGAAGAAAAAGCTGCTCACCCCTCCCTCTCTCACAAGTCCCTCCTTCCTCTCCTGGGATCCTGTAGAGCCCGACTCATTCATCAACATGTCTTTCTCTCTTTAAAAAATAAATCAACAAAACAGAAGAGGACTTTAGAAAGCCTTTGTAAAAACTACTTAAAGAAACAGGCTCTTTTTATTCCAGTCCACGCTCTTGAAACCAAGAACCTGTCTACACACTTAATTATCTAGATAATTGAGGTCCAAACCACATTCTGACCTGACATATTCAAATAACTTTAAGTCAAAATATTTGGGAGTGAAGGAGTTTCAAAAAGTCTTCCTTTCTTTGAGGGGACCACATTAGGCTACCAGGGCTGCCGCCAAGACTCAACTGTGGAAACTTACCTAGCTTTAGTTATCTAAGGTAGGAGGGTAACTGTTTAACTCTTGAATAAAGTAAAGTGGTTAAGGAGAGAAAGTCTTCTCTCAGCTGTTTGTAAACCGAAGCCAGCTCAGAAGATTTTGGCAAGTGATTCCCATCAGTCCCAGCTCTGACCCATTTCTTACCTGCTAGCTTCTGTATAATCCACAGGATTTAGAATCAGGACAACAATCATTGGATATACCTGATCCTTAGTTTTCTTCTTCCTCCAAAAGTAGGGGATCATGCAGGCTTTTTTCTCTTGTCCTTTGTGTTTATCCATGTTGAGTCCTCTTAACATGGAACCTCTGAAGCTGCATGCATTCTGGAAACAGTAATTTCTTTGCCACTGATAGCAAGGAAAATTGTGTGGCTATCATCCTTATCAGTTGTGTGGCCGCTGCTGCTGGTGGTGGTGGTAAGGTACAGCAGGTTTCTCGTTTTTGATTAAGGGCAGCTTTGCAGGTCACAATGTGGGGAGGCTAGAGGAAGGGACTAGATGTGGCATAATATGTACTCTGTGCGGTCACCAAAACTTCTACAGCTGAGGACTAGCTCAAGGAAGATGAGATTTGAGATAATTCCCCACAGTGGTACTCAAGATTGATTGGAACAAGAAAGACTAAGGCAGACAGGATGGCTGGGGGCAGTTACTACAATTTAGGCCAATGTTTCCCAGGGTGAATTTCAGGTAATGCTACAACCACAGGGGTTCCATGATCAAATATTTTATCTCACCCTTGAAAATTCACAGTGCACAGGAGCACATTAAAATCTCTGGGAGGTTCTGCAGCAAAGACTTTAACACAATGTTTCCCAAACATATTTGACTACAGAAAGATTCCTGTATGTAGCACCTATTACCTATGTGTGGTGTCAGGTCTTCACAGAGAAATAGGAGAAAGGGATAGCAGCCAAGGGGTGAAGGTGCATAGTTCTGAGGTCGAAATATCTCCATGGTAAACTATAGCTGCTCTTGCCATGGAGGGGTAAAATGAGTAATAATGTGAGATAATGATGTTAATTTATTCCACTATTATAGCCATTTTACTATATATATGTATCTTGCAACATGCTGTATACCTTAAATATATGTGATACAAGTTATTAAAAATAAATTAATAAATACCACTCTGGTTTCAAGTCTGGGAAGGAAGAGTGTGGGTCAGATACTGGCAGTAATAAGGGAAATCGAGGTGGTGAAGGTATTGTCAATTTTTGACACACTAGAGTTTGATCGGGATGTGAGTGACTGAATATGCTCCACATTTCAGTCTTTTATATCCACTCCATTAGTCCAAATTAAAAATAACAAACCAGGGCCCAGGCCCAATTTATTCAGAGGTTCATAATGTTGCTTGGACAGGAAAGACTCCCTATGGAATATTTTAATTGGCTCAGCCAAAATTTCTACTCTACTATATTTTATTCCATTTCCAATTTAGTAGTCTGACAGAATCATAGTAAGTCAAATATTATAATTAAAAAAGAGAGAGAGGATTGCCAATTTTCCCCTCAGCTGGGACAGATATTAGATTTTTTTTTTACTTCAACTAGGAAAGCTTTACTAACCCACTCCCAGAGGCCTCTGGGTCATGCCTGCCTGGGGCAGATTCGCACACTGGCACCTAGGGTGTGCCCCCCCCCCATTATTCTCATCACTGCTGTTTGTAGTTAGCAGAACCTGCCAGAAAACATGGCAGAGTTGTACAGACATTGCCTACTCCATGCTTAACTTTTTCCTACCTCAGAGAGGGTCCTTCTTGCTGCCTCACAATTCTTTATTATTTCTGTTTGGGCCATTCCAGATTTCCCCTCACGCTCCAGCCCTCCTCTAGCAGGTGGTCTCACCATCTCACCTTCTCACTGAGAAGACCAAGCAAATCAAACATAAAGCCCCAATAGCTACCTGGATCCCTTTCTTCACATATACTTGCCTCTACAAACACATTTTAATTCTTCCCTCTAAGCCTCTCTCTAGCAACTTCAGTTTCTGCCTCTTCATGCAGTCCTTCCCCAGTGCTGTGTTACGGGCCAGCTTCCTCCTGTGTGACCTTGGGTAAGTTACTTCACCACTCTCAACCTCAGTTTTCATAATAATGCCTATCTTGAAGGATGCTATAAGAATTGAGTGGTGATAAAAACAAACACTCTGCCCTGTGTCTGACCCATACAAGATACTTAAGAAACAGCATTGTTATGCTTACTACTTACTACAGTTCCCTTTTAAAAAATCAACTTAATTGGGGCATAATTGACATAAAATGAATGTAAAATTTTGATCATAACATTTGATGAGGTTTTGTAAGTATATGTACCCTGGCAACCACCACCCCAATCAAAACAGAACATTTCCATCACTCCGGAGAAAACTTTCCTGTCCATTTACAATCAATTCCCTCCACCCGCTGCTCAAATAAACACCTGATCTGATCCTATCATTTTAGATTTACGTTACATGTTCTAGAACTTCATATAATTGAAATTATTCAGTAGGTACTTTTCATGTCTAGTTTCTTTTGCTCAGCATAATTAAAAAAAATTCTTCCAGGCTGAATGTCGCAGTAGTTCATTCTTTGTGTTGCTGAGAAGCATTTTATTGTATGAATGCATACAATTTTTTTTTGTATAAATACATACAATGTATTTATGCTTTCACCTTTGATGGATATTTGAGGTTTTTCTGCTTTTTGGCAATTGTCAATAAAGCTGTTATAAACAGTCATCTAAAAGAGTTTCTATGAACATATATATATATATATTTTTTTCTCTTGGAAAAATACTTAAGAATAGAATTACTAGGTCATATATTTTGTATATGTTTAACTTTTTAAGAAGTTGCTAAGCTGGTTTTCAAAGTGGCTGTGCCACCTTATACTCCAAACGGTAATGTATGAAAGTCCCGGTTGTTTCACAACCATGTTACATTTAGCATTATCAATTGTTAATTTTCTCCATTCAAATGACACAGTATTTCACTGGGCTCTTAATTTGCATTTCCCTGGTGACTAGTAATGTTGAGCCTCTCTTCATGTGCTTACTGGTCATTTGCATACCTTCTATTGAGAATTGGCTGGTAATTTTTTTCTCCCATTTTTATAAATTGGCTTGCTTATCTTATTATTGAGTTAGAAGAATTTTCTTTATTATGTTGTGACACATATTTTTTGGTAGATATTTGTATTGCAAATATTTTCTCCCAGTCTATGGCTTACCTTTTCATTTCTTTTTTCAAGCCTTATTGAGGCATAATTGACAAATAAAAATTGTACATATTTAAGGTGTACAACTTGATGTTTTGAAAATTGTACACCTTGTGAAATGATTATCACAATCAAACAATTAACGTTTATCATCTCACATAGTTACCATTTTCTTTATATCTTTTTTTTTTTACTGAAGTGAGGACACTAAAGTTCTACCCTCTTAGCAAATTTCAAGTGTGCCATATAGTGTTGTTAACTACAGTCATGATGTTGTACATTAACTTTTCATTTCTTTGTGGTATCTTTGGAAAAACAGTTTTAAATTTTGATGCAGTCCAGTTTAACTTTTTTTTTTCTTTTCTGGTTGGTGATTTTAAGTATCCTATCTAAGAAATCTTTACCTACCCCACAGTGTGAAGATTTGCTCATATATTTTCTTCAGAAATTATCTAGTTTTTATGTCTATGATCTGTTTCAATTTTAATTTAATATTTATTGAAAGGTAGGAGTTGAGTTTCACTTTTTCCCCATTTGGCTCTATTTGTTTGCATTTATTCCAACATCATTTGTTGAAAACACTGGCTTTTCCCTTGGAAACTTTGTCAAAAATCATTTGATGTGTGTGTGTGTGTCTGTGTGTATGTATGTGTGTGCATGTGCATGTGTGCTATAGGTTCTACTGATGTTCCATGCTGGTACTATTCTGTTTTGAATACTGTAGCTTTACAGTAAGTTCAGAATTAGATAGTATATGTTCTCTAATTTTGTTCTTTTTTTTTTTTCGATATTATCTAGACTGTTCTAGGTCCTTTCTGTTTCCATATAAGTTTTCAAATCAGCTTGCTAATTTCTACCAAAATGCCTAATAGGACTTTGATTGGAATTGAATCTACCAATCAATTGGGAAACAGTGGACATCTTAATACTGAGTTCTCTAATCCATGAATGTAGTATATATAAATCTCTATTTAAATTTTCTTTATTTTTTTCTCAGAAATATTATGTAATTTTCAGAATCAAGATTTTGTACATCTGTTGTTGAATGTATTCCTAAGAATTTCATATTTTAGAGACAGGACTAGATTGCAGCTCCAGATAGAACACCATGCGGAGGCTTGCATTGTGAATTTTAGCTCCAGATTGACTACAAGAACAAACCGGCAATCCCAAAAGGACCCACAGACCCTCTGAAGGAAGTGGACTGCTCCTGCAGGACCTGGGAGATACCTCAAATACTGTGAGTGCCCCAACTGCGGAAGTGGGAAAGGGAGACCCTCCTCTCCTGAACACACACACTAACTGGAGAAACTGAAGGTCCGTTTGTGGGAGAAGTTTCGACTTTACCTGGAGCTGAGTCAATTTAGAGAGCCGAACAAAATAAAGGGGTAAAGGAAGCCGTAGAAAGGCCCTGGGAGCTCTCTTGGTCCCCAAGCAGCCCATTCCTGTCTGGCACCAAAGGAATCCATCAGGAGGGCGGCAAGAGGAGCATCAGGTAAAACTCCACAGGGAGCCGGACGGGGTGGCTGATGCCTGTAATCTCAGCACTGGGAGGCCGAGGCTGGCAGATCACGAGGTCAGGATATCGAGACCATCCTGGCTAACATGGTGAAACCCCGTCTCTACTAAAAATACAAAAAATTGGCCGGGCGTGGTGGCGGGTGCCTTATGGTCCCAGCTACTCGGGAGGCTGAGGCAGGAGAATGGCGCGAACCCAGGAGGCGGAGCTTGCAGTGAGGCGAGATCGCGCCACTGCACTCCAGCCTGGGCACAGAGCGAGACTTCGTCTCAAACAAACAAACAAACAAACAAAAAAACCCACAGGGAGAAGGAAATCGCTACTTGTAACAATTTGAATCTGGTGAGAATCTCCTGGCTAGAACTCTGCCGGTGGGGCGGCAGGGTCGGGGGCGGGGGGAAATGAAAATCCGTTGTGCAGACTCCACGGGCCGGGTGGGGAAGAACCAAGTTCTTTTCTTTTGCAGCTGGGAGACCGGTAGCCTGGGGCAAGTTTTTAAGCTTGTTTCACGGTCCACCTGGAAACAGACTCAGGGCTGTTGGGGTAGGGTATAGTTGGAGTGAGACTGACCCTTCAGTTTGCATAGGAGCTGGGTGAGGCCTATGACTGCTGGCTTTCCCCCACTTCCCTGATAACCTGCATGACTCAGCAGAGGCAGCCATAATCCTCCTAGGCACACAACTCCAGTGACCTGGGCATCTCATTCCCATCACCCATAGCAGCTGCAGCAAGACCCACCCAAGGAGAGTCTGAGATCAGACACGCCTAGCCCTGCCCCTACCTAATGGTCCTTCCTTACCCACCCTGGTAGCAGAAGACAAAAGATGTATAATCTTGCGAGTTCTAGGGCCCCGCCCACTGCCAGTCCCTCTCCATATTACTACAGCTGATTCTCTCTGGAAAGTGGCACCTCCGGGCAGGAGGCCAACCCACACAAAAATAGAGTATTAAACCGCCAAAGCTAA
Source organism: Homo sapiens (assembly GCF_000001405.40). Classification (NCBI taxonomy): domain Eukaryota; kingdom Metazoa; phylum Chordata; class Mammalia; order Primates; family Hominidae; genus Homo; species Homo sapiens. Next base: position 118,571,403 of record NC_000003.12, on the reverse strand, counting down.
GGACCCTCATGGAGTCCATTGCACCGCCCGCCACCTCCACCAGAACAGGCGCTGGTATCCACTGCTGAGAGACCCATAGACGGTTCACATCACAGGACCAGCCCCGAGCTGGGTAAATTCACTGGTGGCTAGACCCAGAGGAGTGATGACAATCACTGCAGTTCAGCTCACAGGAAGCCACATCCATAGGAAAAGGGAGAGAGTACTAAATCAAGGGAATGTACTTTGAGACAAAAGAATCTGAACAATAGCCTTCAGCCCTAGACCTTCCCTCTGACAGAGCCTACACAAACGAGAAGGAACCAGAAAACCATCCCTAGTAATATGACAATACCATCCCTGGTAATATGACTCCAGAAAAATCACACTAGTTTACCAGCAATGGATCCAAACCAAGAAAAAAATCCCTGATTTACCTGAAAAAGAATTCAGGAGGTTAGTTATTAAGCTAATCAGGGAGACACTGGAGAAAGGTGAAGCCCAATGCTAGGAAATCCAAAAAATGATACAAGAAGTGAAGGGGGAAATATTCAAGAAAATAGATAGCTTAAGGAAAAAGCAATAAAAAATTCAGGAAACTTTGGATGAACTTTTAGAAATGTGAAATGCTCCCAAAAGTCTTAGCAATAGAATTGAAAAGGTAGAAGAAAGAAATTTAGAGCTCAAAGACAGGTCTTCAAATTAACCCAACCCAACAAAGACAAAGAAAAAAGAATAAGAAAATATGAACAAAGCCTCCAAGAAGTCTGGGCTTATGTTAAATGCCCAAACCTAAGAATAATCAGTGTTCTTGAGGAAGAAGAGAATTCTAAAAGGTTGGAAAGCATATTTGGGGGAATAATCAATGAAAACTTCCCTTGCCTTGCTAAAGACCTAGACATCCAAATACAAGAAGCACAAAGAACACCTGTGAAATTCATTGCTAAAAGATCATTGCCTAGGCACATTGTCATCAGGTTATCCAAAGTTAAGACGAAGGAAAGAATCTTAAGAGCTGTGAGACAGAAGAGTAAAACCTATTGGATTAACAGCAGATTTCTCAGCAGAAACCCTACAAGCCAGAAGAGATTGGTGACTTATCTTCAGCTTCCTCAAACAAAACAATTATCAGCCAAGAATTTTGTATCCAGCAAAACTAAGCGTTATTAAGGAAAGATACAGTATTTATCAGACAAACAAATGCTGAGAGAATTCACCATTACCAACCACCACTACAAGAACTGTTAAAAGGAACTCTATCTCAAAAAAAATCCTGGAAATACATCAAAACAGAACCTCTTTAAAGCATATCACACAGGACCTATAAATCAAAAATACAAGTTAAAAAGCAAAAATAGAAAACAAAAAATCAAAGTACACAGGCAACAAAGAGCATGATGAATCCAATGGTACCTCACATTTCAAAACTAACATTGAATGTAAATGGCCTAAATGCTGTCTCTTAATGAACCACAGAATGGATAAGAACTCAACAACCAACTACCTGCTGATGCCTTCAGGAGACTCACCTAACACATAAGAACTCACATAAACTTAAAGTAAAGTGGTGGAAAAAGACATTTCATGCAAAGGGACACCAAAAGTGAGCAGGAGTAGCTATTCTTGTATCAGACAAAACAAACTAAAGCAACAGCAGTTAAAAGAGACAGAAAGTGATATTACGTAATGATGAAAGGCCTTGTCCAACAGGAAAACGTTACAGTCCTAAACATATATGCACCTAACACTGGAGCTCCCAAATTTATAAAACAATTACTAATGGACCTAAGAAATGTGATAGAGAGCAACACAATAATAGTGGGGGACTTTAATACTTCACTGATAACACTAGACAGCCCATCAAGACAGAAAGCCAACAAAGAAAACATGGATTTAAACTATACCCTGGAACAAATGGACTTAACAGATACATACCAAACATTTCATCCAACAACCACATAATACATATTCCATTCAACAGCACATGGAACTTTCTCCAGGATAGACCATATGATAAACCACAAAGCAAGCCTTAATAAATTTAAGAAAATTGAAATTATATCGAGCACTTTCTCAGAGCACAGTGGAATAAAACTGGAAGTCAGCTCCAAAAGGAACCTTCAAAACCATGCAAATACATGGACATTACATAACCTGCTTATGAATGAGCATTGGGTCAAAAACGAAATGAAGATGGAAATTTAAAAATTATTCAAACTTAACGACAGTAATGACACAACATATCCAAACCTCTGGGATACAGCAAAGGCAGTGCTAAGAGGAAAGTTCATAGCCCTGAACACATACATCAAAAAGTCTGAAAGAGTACAAACTGACATTCTAAGGTCACACCTCAAGGAATTAGAGAAACAAGAACAAACTAAACTCAAACCCAGTGGAAGAAAGGAAATGACCAAGATCAGAGCAGAATTAAATGAAATTAAAACAAAAATTACAAAAGATAAATGAAACCAAAAGCTGATTCCTTGAAATGATAAATAAAATTGATAGACCATTTGCAAGATTAAGCAAGAAAAGAAGAGAGAAAATCCAAATAACCTCATTAAGAAACGAAACAGGAAATATTACAACTGACACCACTGAAATACAAAAGATCATTCAATGCTACAATGAACACCTTATGCACATAAACTAGAAAACCTAAAAGAAATGGATAAATTCCTGGAAAAATACAACCCTCCCAGCTTAAATGAGGAAGAATTAGATATGCTGAACAGACCAGTAAGGAGCAGTGAGATTGAAATGGTAATTTAAAAATTACCAACAAATGGCTGGGTGTGGTGGCTCGTGCCTGTAATCCCAGCACTTTGGGAGGCCAAGGCAGGCAGATCACAAGGTCAGGAGACTGAGACCACGGTGAAACCCTGTCTCTACTAAAAAATACAAAAATTAGCCAGGCATGGTGGCGGGTGCCTGTAGCCCCAGCTACTCAGGAGGCTGAAGCAGGAGAATGGCGTGAACCTGGGAGGCGGAGCTTGCAGTGAGCTAAGATCATGCCACTGCACTCCAGCCTGGGCAACAGAGCGAGACTCCATCTCAAAAAAAAAAAAAAAAAAAAAAAAGAAAAAGAAAATTACCAACAAATAAAAGTCAAGGACCAGATGAATTCACAGCAGAATTTTACTAGACATTCAAGGAAGAATTGGTACCAATCCTTTTGACACTATTCCAAAACGCCGAGAAAGAAGGAACCCTCCCTAAATTGTTCCATGAAGCCAGTATTGCCCTAATACCAAAACTAGGACAGGACATAACCGAAAAAGAAAGCTATACACCAAAATCTCTCATAAATGTAGATGCAAAACCTTAACAAAATACTAGCTAACTGAATCCAATAACATATCAAAAAGATAATCCACCATGATAAGGTGGGTTTCATATCAGGGATGCAGTGATGGTTTAACATGCACAAGTCAATGAATATGATACACCACATAAACAGAATTAAAAACAAAAAATTATATGATCATTTCAATAGATGCAGAAAAAGCATTCGACAAAATCCAGCATCTCTTCCTCCTAGCAAAATCAGCATACAAGGGACATACCTTAATGTAATAAAAGCCATCTACGACAAACCCACAGCCAACATAATACTGAATGGGGAAAAATTGAAAGCATTCCCTCTAAGAATTGGCACAAGACAAGGATGCCCACTCTCATCAGACAAGATGAGAAAAATATAGACAGTCAGACAAGAGAAAAAAATAAGGGGCATCCAAATTGTTAAAGAGAAATTCAAACTGTTACTGTTGGCTGACAATATGATCGTTTACCTTGAAAACCCTAAAGACTCCTCCAGAAAACTCCTAGAACTGATAAAAGAATTCAGCAAAGTTTCCAGATAGAAGACTGACGAACACAAATCAGTAGCTCTTCTACACACCAACAGCAACCAAGCGGAGAATCACATCAAGAACTCACCCCCTTTTACCATAGCTACCAAAAAAAAAAAAAAAACTAACTTAGATTATACCTAACCAGGGAGTCAAAAGACCTCTACAAGGAAAACTACAAAAACAATGCTAAAATAAATCACAGATGACACAAACAAATGGAAACACATCCCATGCTCATGGATGAGTAGAATCAATATTGTGAAAATGACCATACTGCCAAAAGCAATCTACAAATTCAATACAATCTTCATCAAAATACCACCATCATTCTTCACAGAATTAGAAAAAACAATCATAAAATTAATATGGAACCAAAAAAGAGCCCACATAGGCAAAGCAAGACTAAGCAAAAAGAACAAATCTGGAGGCATCACACTACCTGATTTCAAACTATACTAAAAGGCCATAGTCACCAAAACAGCATGGTATGGGTATAAAAATACGCACATAGACCAATGGAACAGAATAGAGAATCCAGAAAGAAATCCAAATACTTAAAGCCAACTGATCTTTGACAAAGCAAACAAAAATATAAAGTGGGGAAAGAACACCCTTTTCAACAAATAATGCTGGGATAATTGGCTAGCCACATGTAGGAGAATGAAAATGGATCCTCATCTCTCACTTTATACAAAAATCAACTCAAGATGGATTAAGGACTTGCACCTAAGACCTGAAACTATAAAAATTCTAAAAGAATTTATACATCAGAAAAACCCTTCTAAGCATCGGCTTAGGTAAGGATTTCATGACCAAGAACTCAAAAGCAAATGCAGTAAAAACAAAGATAAATAGCTGGGACCTAATTAAACTAAAGAGCTTTTACATGGCAAAAGAAACAGTTAGAAGAGTAAATAGAAAACCCACAGAGTATGAGACAGTCTTCACAATCTATACATCTAACAAAGGACTAATATCCAGAATCTACAACGAACTCAAATCAATAAGAAAAAAACAAACAATCCCATCAAAAAGTGGGCTAAGGACAATTCTCAAAAGAAGATATGCAAATGGCCAAGAAACATATGAAAAAATGCTCAACACCACTAATGATCAGGGAAATGCAAATCAAAACCACAATATGATACTACCTTACTCCTGCAAGAATGGCCATAATAAAAAAATCATAAAACAGTAGATGCTGGTATAGATGCTGTGAACAGGGAACACTTCTACACTGCTGGTGGGAATGTAAACTAGTACAGCCACTGTGGAAAACAGTGTGAAGATTCCTTAAAAAACTAAAAGTAGAACTACTATTTGATCCAACATTCCCACTACAGGGTATCTACCCCCGAGGAAAAGAAATCATTTTTCAAAAAAGATACTTGCACATGCATGTTTATAGCAGCACAATTCACAATTGCAAAAATGTGGAACCAACCCAAATTCCCATCAATAGAGTGGATAAAGAAACTGTGATATATATATATATTCCTTCATATATATATATGTATATACATTCCTTCATATATATATTCCTTCATATATATATATATTCCTTCATATATATATTCCTTCATATATATATTCCTTCATATATATATTCCTTCATATATATATTCCTTCATATATATATACACACATATATATACACACACACACACATATATATATATATACACACACACACACATACATATATATGAAGGAATACTACTCAGCCATAAAAACGAATGAATTAACAGCATTTGCAGTGACCTGGTTGAGGTTGGAGACTATTATTCTAAGTGAAGTAACTCAGGAATGGAAAACCAAACATTGTACATTCCCACTGATATGTGGGAGCTAAGCTATGAGGACACAAAGGCATTAGAATGATGGACTAGACTTTGGGGACGTGAGCGGAAGAGTGGGAGAGGGGTGAGGGATAAAAGACTACAAATGTGGTGTAGTGTATGCAACTCGGGTGATGGGTCCACCAAAATCTCACAAATCACCACTAAAGAAATTACTCATGTAACCAAATACCACTTGTACCCCAACAACTTATGGAAAAAAAAGGATTTCATATTTTATGATGCTATTACACATATTGTCTTTTGAAAATTTTAGTTTCCAGTTGTTTTTTCTAGTATGTAGAAATGCAATTAATTTTTATTCATTGACCTCGTTTCCTGTGACCATGCAAATTTTATTGAGTCTAGGTATTTTCACGTATAGAGTCCTTATGATTTCCCATGTAAATAAGTCATGCTGTCTACAAATAAAAACAGATTTACTCCTTTTTCTTCCAATATTTACTCCTTTTAATTTTTTTCTTGCATGTTACTGCCTCAGCCCCTAGAAGGATATTAAATAGAAGTTGTTAGAATGAATATACACCCATTGCCCTAATATTTTAGTTGTATGTATGCTAGAGCTACACCTTACAAAATTGTTGCTTTTGCTTTAATCTGTAAGTTGTTTAAAAAAATTAAGAAAAGAAAAATTTCTCACAGTTACTCACATACTTATTTTCATTTCTTCATTTTCTGCAAATATGGGTTCCCATCTAGTATCACTTCCATTTAATCTGTAGACTATTCTTTAGCATTTCTTGAATGCTAGTCTGTGGGCAACAGATTATCTCAGAGTTTTGTTTAAAAGAAAATGTCTTCATTTTATTCTCATCTTGAAAGGAAATATTTGCTGGCTGGATACAGAATTCTGGGCTGACTATTGTTTTTTATCTTTTTCTTTCAACATTTGAAAGACATCATTCCTTATGGCTAATGGCTAGTGTATGTTCTTTCTGAAGTGTCAGCTGTCTGCTGAGTACTAATGTCTTAACAGAATGCTAAGGCAGCCTAGATCTGGCTGGTCTAGAACTCTAATACTAGTCTCCCACTTCTGCCTGACTTCTAAGATCTCTGTTCTGCTCTCAGCCCCATAGTAATTACTTTCTTGTAAGACTCCTGTAGTGTTTTCTTGCATAATAGCAGTTCAGCCCTTAGCCAAGGTCTCATGGGTGGGGAGGCCCACGTTAGGTTCTGGATCTCCCTTCTGCACAGGTACCTCCTATTGACTATGGTGCTCTTCAGGTTCCATCCTCTTCTGCATCTCCAAACTGATGTGTAACTTCTCAGCTCAGGCAGAGTGCTGTATATACTGCACACCAGCCCCAGCTCCACCTGTTTTGGAAATTGTCCACAGGTGAAAAGCAGGGTGAGGTAGTAGGTGGTACACATGGTTCTCACCTTGTGAGCTTCCCTTTTTTCCAGTGGCTAAATATAGTTTCTTTTAGTATTTTCCTTAGTTTTGTAGCAATTTATGATGTGCTGGAGCCAGATCATTTCAGCTTGTGAGAAGCAACTTTAAAAATTTTAGGAATATTGCCAGACAGTTTTTAAATCATTGGTAGGTCGAAATCAACCCAACAGGGAATATGTATATCATGAAAAAAGGCAAATGTTACAAATCAAGACTTTTTTTTTTTAATTGGAGAACTGATTGTTAAACATTACCAGCACACCACTGTTTAATGATGGTAGGGCTGGTCAGGTACTAATTGTTCCATCATTGCTGGAAGATGAAGTTTCATTTTCTCTTAATTCACTTATTTCTTAATCTCTTTTCAATTTGACTTTAATTGCCTCCAATCTGCTATAAAAGACTGTTTTATCCCTGAACTTTTCTGCATTTTTTTTGATGCTTCTCATAACTGGACCTATATTTGGTGATCTTTCTTTTGACCTTGGCTACTGTAAATACACATTAAAATTGATTTTTTTTTCTATCTCACTAACTGTGGTTTCTGTGTTGTATTTAATGACTTCTTTTTTTCTGTTCTTTAAGTGTGGGTTCTCTGTATCATTCAGTTTCTCCTTCAGATAGCTGGATGGTGAAGAAAGGGGGTTCTGCCATGTAATGAAATTTGAGGTATGTGGAAAAATAACATGCTTCTCCTTTCTTGCCTCTCCACATACTTTTGTTGGTCTGGTGCACCCTTTTGTGATTTTCTATTTTCAATTTACTTTGTCTACCTATGTTCCACCCTACTCTACCTGCTGAAAAGATTTATGTCAATGACTCCTCTGATCTTCCACTGAAGACAAATTGAAAGACTTGAAGCTGAGAAATCAAGGGAAATAGAGATGACAACAAGAAGGGAAAGTGTCCTAAAAGTATTTGTGTACCTGTCAATTTTGTCATCTCCATTCTCCTTTTGATTGCTTATGTCTTCTACAAATTCTAGTTTATGCACAATATATTCATATTGGATTTTGTCAATTGAAACCAAATTCTCAATTCTACTTTTAACACATCCTCTATGAGCCTTCTCTGACTACCCTTGCTCTGTAATATTCCATTTCTTCTGCATAATTAGTAATTTTCTAGTCTTTCCCAAACCAGACATGAAGTTATGTTATTCAATATCTTCAGTTCAACTAATGGCTACTTAAATGCAAGTATCATTTTCTCTTTCTTTCTTTATTTCTTTTTTTCTGCCCAGTGTCTAGTAATTTTTAGAAACTCAACCCATCCATGGTGAGGCTTGATTTCAGAATCCATTTAAATATAAATATTCTTTGCAGGAAACTCAATTTAATTTTTTTTCCTCTGCAAATTAACTTATCCTGTTGACTTCACAGTACATCATCAACACAATTAATCACTGCTTTTAGAAGAAAAAAATTTAATTACTTAAACATCAATCCATGGATTTAGTAAAATGGTGAATCCAATACATTTATCTTAACAAACAAAATAATTTGATGTGCTCTAGTTATTTATTATAGTTGATCAAATGTGTTTCATCTACCATGATGTGATTGGATGATTGTCAGTAACCTCCAAGAACCCCTAGTATCTCTCTTCTAACTTGTTGTGGAGACTATAGGGTATCTAATAAAGCATCTGTGACTGCATTTCCTCTGTTTAGGATATTCCCCTTGCTCTCTATTCACTCTCTCTTCCTGGAACTTTCTCATGCTGGCTTGATTTCTCTTCTTTATAACTTGTTTTCACATAACTGAAATTCTCAATCTCAATATAGCTGCTTGTGTAGAGTAATCAAGTACACTTGGCCTTCCATTTTAATACTACTTACATGATGCAAGTAAGCTACTCAAGTAACAGGCACAGTCAATAAAACAAAATTACCATAATTTTAAGACACAAGAATGACACATTAAAGACTGGTTTCATTATGAGACTTGTCAGAGAAGTCACAGAAGTTGAGGACCATTTATACTACCTTTTAAAATATCTAGTCTGAAAGACATCAATTTACACATAAGAAAACCAAAGCTCAGGGAACTGGAAATGACCTGCCCCAGTTCATGTAGTTAGTTATTTTTAAAGCTGGAAACAGAAGCGTGGTCTGATCCCTATTCAAAAGCTCTCTCCACTATCACAAATATTTTAGGTTAATTTCTCCTCTATTCTCTTTTGTCCTATTTACCTGCCTTGGAAACCAAACAAATATTCTTTTTTCATTGTTTCTTGACTTCTCATCTTCTCCAACTACTGCCCTATTTATCTGTTACTCTTGACAGAAAAGAAATGGTACAGCAAATTGGCTGTACTAGCCCTCTTATTTTCCTCATTTCCGGTTCTCTCTTCAATCTACTCTAATTTATCTTCATTCTACCCCATCTCTATCCCCAAGTTTCATATTAGTGTCACCAATTACCTCCACATTGCCAAATTCATTGTCACTTCTCTCTTCACATTTTACTGAACTGTCAGCAGTATTCAATATGAAAGACTGTTGTCTTTTGGATTCCTTGAATCAACAAACTGATTTTCCTTCTCCCCTTACAGAATGTCATTTCTCATTTTTTTTCTTGTTTTCTTTTTGCCTTAACTGATCTCTATATGTTAAAGTGTAATTCAACCAGTTGCCAAAATTTCAAAAAGAAGCTATGAAAAGCACTGATTTGAAAATCTGACAAAGATATTACAAAAAATATTAAATTACAGTCAAATGGACCTCATGAACATAGAAGAAAACATTCTTAACAAAATATTAGGAAATAAAATACAACAGCACATGAAATGGATAACACCAAATAGAGCTTACCTCTAGAATGTAAGTTTGGTTTAATATTAAAAATTTAATGTGATTCATCATACTAATAGAATGAAGGAGAAAAGACATATGATCATCTTGACCGAAAAAGTTATTTTACAAAATTCACATCCATTTATTGATGAAAGCTCTTAGCACTCTTGGAATAGAAGGGTTTTCCTTGTTCTGATAAAAGTCACCTACAGCCCAGGTGCAGTGGCTCACGCCTGTAATCCCAGCACTTTGAGAGGTGGATCACGAGGCCAGGAGATCGAGACCGTCTTGGCCAATGTGGTGAAACCCTGTCTCTACTAAAATACAAAAAATTCCCCAGGTGTGGTGGTGCATGCCTGTAGTCTCAGCTACTCAGCAGGCTGAGGCAGGGGAATTGCTTGAACCCGGGAGGCAGAGATTGAAGTGAACTGAGACAGCACCACTGCACTCCAGCCTGGTGACAGAGTGAGACTCTGTCTAAAAAAAACACAAAGTCATCTGTGAAGAACAAGTAACCAGTAGTTAACATCATTCCTAATGGTGAAATACTGAATGCTTTCTCCCAAAACCGCAAGCAAGGCAAGGACGTCCACTTTCACTACTTCTATCAACATTTTATCAGAACTCTTAGCCAGTGCCATAACAAAAGACAAGGAAATAAAATACATATATATAAAAATGAAGTAAATATGTCTTTATTCAGATGACATGATTGTCAAGGTAGAAAAGTATAATAGACCTTCAAAAGAAACAGGTAGAGCTAATATGTGAATTTAGCAATGTCTCAAGATACAAGCTCAATATATAAGAATCAATTGCACTTCTCATATTTAACTGCATAAAAAAGAAAAATGAAAAATAAATTCAAATTTTAATAAAGCAAAAAAGCATAACATAGGAATAAGTTTAACAAAACCATGTAGGATTTCTACATCAAAAATTGAAAGAAAAATTAGAGAAATGGATTGAGAGATATACCATGTATATTTATTAGAATATATACCACTGCTAATATGCTAATTCTCCTCCAAATAATTTATAGATTCAATGCTATCTCAATAACAATGCTACCAGGATTTTTAAAAAGATATTAATAGGCTGATCTAACATTCTTATGGAAATGCACAAGAGCTAGAATATCAAAAACGATCTTGAAGAAGAACAAATTTTGGGGACCTAACCAGGCTTTAAGATTTGCTATTGAGATACAGTAATCAAGAAAGCATGGTACTAGCAAGAGTAGGTCAATGGAAGAGATTAAGAAGTCCAGAATTAGACTCATACTGATATAATTGTGTTTGATTTTCTACAGTCACCAATGCCATATAGTAGGGAAAAGAAAATATTTTCAACAAAATGTGCTATAAAAACTGGATATCTATACAGAAAATAAAATAAACCTTGATCTGCACCTCACAACAATAACTTGAGATAAATCTTAGACCTAAACATAAAGGCTAAAAGAATGAAGATTCTAGGAGACAGCACAATAGAATGTCCTTAGGACTTTGAGACTAGGCAAAAGTTTCCTAGAAAGGACACAGAAAATTGTAACCATAAAAGAGATCATGGCAATTTGGTATTATCAAAATTAAATGTTTCTGCTCATCAAAAGACACTATTAGTAAAATTAATAGGCAAACCATAGATCTGCATAAAATATTCACAAAACATACATCTGACAAAGGACTGATATTCAGTATATATAAAGAAATCAGGTTATTCAATAATAAAACTACAACCCCATGTTAAAATAGGTAGTTAAATGGATACTTTGCAAAGAAAATTATATAGATGACCAATAAATACATGAAAAAACACTCAACATTAGAATCATCAGGGAAATGCAAATTAAAATCACAATGAGATATGCCAAACACCTACCAGAATGGCTAAAATTAAAATTATTGACAACACCAAGTGTTGACAAGGATATAAAACAACTGGAAATCTCATACATTGTTGATTGAAAGGTAACATGGTGTTATTACCTTGTAAGTGTCTGGCAATTTTCTAACAACAGATACCTATCCCATGACTCAGGAATTCTGCTTCTACCAAAGAGAAATAAAAACATGTCCAGGAAACAATTATATGAGAACGTTCATATCAAGTTTATTCATAATAGGTAAAAGTGGAAACAGCTAAATTAATCCATCAACAACCAAATGGCTAAACAAACCCAAGTATAGTCACATATGTAATACTGCTTAACACAGAAAAGGAAAAATCACTCGAACCACTCGTATACATGACATGGGTGAATCTCAAAAATGTAGTAAAATTTAGTAAGAAATGCCTACCACAAAAGAGCATGTACAGTTTGACTACACTTATATAAAGTTCTAGAACATGCAAAACTAATCTATGTGGCAAAGAATTTAGAATATTGGTAGCCTTGGGAGAGAGGTGTGGGGATTTGCTGGGAAAGCACATGAGAAAACTTTCTAGATGATGGTAATGTTTTATATCTTGGTTAGAGTTAGGGCAGTGGTTATCAATTTTGCCCACCCCCTCCTTCCACCCAGGTTATTTTTGGTAAAGTGTAGAGACAATTTAGAGGCCAGGAATGCTGCTAAACATTCTACGTTGCCCAAAGATAGCCCTTCACAACAAAGAATTATTTAAGGTTCAGAACAGTGTTGAGGTTTTAAAACCCTGAGTTAGGGTTACATATTTGCATGCATTTCTCAAAACTCTTTAAGTTGAGTGTTTTTTGTTTTTGTTTTTGCATTTAACTCTATGAAAAGTTTCCTATAGAAAACAAAGAACCAAAACAAATCACTGATTGTAGTTAATAATATGCATACTGTAGTGGGGAAATGGGGGTAACGTGGTCTTTCACTCCAAGAGCATCAAAAGATAACATGGATTGATGCATGGATAGTGGGATGGATAAATGAATAGCTATTTGATAAAATATATATAGTAAAATTTTAATTGTATAGTCAACATGATGAGTATATAAGTATTCATTATTCAATTCTCTCTTTTCTGTAAGTTTGAAAATTTTCATAATAAGATGTCATCCTTGATTTCTTCTTTTAACTCACCCATCCATATTACCTCCATCAGTATGTCCTGCCTGCCTACACTATCATCAAAATATATTTTTAACCAGTTCCATTTTATCTATTTCTATTCAGTCTAAACTACCAACAACCCTCTCAACAAGGCAATAGCAGTATCCTGCTAACTAGTCTGTCTCTCTCTGCTGCCTCTCATGCTTCTTTATAATGCATGCTTCACCCCAAAGCCAGAGCAACCTTCTTAAAACAGAGCTGATATATAACACTCCCTGATTCAAATCTTCTGAACTAACAGTTTGCTGTCCTACTGCCTTACCATGCCCTGCGAGGTCCTGGATCCAACACTTGCCTTCTTCTTGAACTCTTCTCTCTGTCACCTACTATGTCACAATTATCTAGATCATCTAATCAACTTGTGTTGATTCGACGTATCACACTTTTTCCCACGTCATGCATTTACTCTACCTGTTTCCACTGCATGTGATACCTTTTTCCTGGCTCTTGACATGGAAAACTCTTTTTCAGGTTACAGTTAACATACTACTTCTTCTTTTTCCATCTACAATATATGCCTCCCTATCAATCCCTTTCCCATTGCCTGTTTTACTTCCTTTGTAACAGCTACTTGAATTTATCTTATTTGTGTGTTCCAGTTAGATTTTAAAGTTCCGGAAGGCAGGGACCTTATCTGTCATTACAATATCACCAGGCCCAGAGTAGTGTCTGACATGTTAAGTACAAAATAAATGTTTGCTTAATGAATGAATGGATGATATGTTTAGAAACTTGATAGAGTGACAGATATTTTCGTTTGTTCAGTGTCCTAGAAACAACCACATGCTGGAGAATGGAATTCCATAAGGTACTCTCTTAGATAAAGGAAGTGCCAGGTAAGAGACTTACAGAAGAATATGAAACAGATGATCGATCATAGAGCTTGTTCCTCAGGCATACATGCCTCTGGGCTCAGCACACTATTTTGATTTTCCATTGACTTGGCTCAGAAATAGAGGGTTAGTTAAATGAATTATGGAATGTCTTTCTGAAGATGGAATCTTTGCACATAGTAAAAATCATGTTGTAGAGAAATATTTACTGACACAAACAAAAGTTCATGATATATTGTCAACTGAAAAAAGTGGGCTTCAGGAAAATGTGCTCAATATTATCTCCAGACCACTAAGCACCTTGAACCACCTCTTACCTTTCTTAACAACACTCTTCCAAGATTGTTAAGAGATTATTTTCCTTTCCTGAGATCTTTGAGGGCAGGTACCTTTGGTAACTCTTGAAATCAGAGGAACTTGGTGTTTTTGTAAGTCCTAAATATAGAAAGGCCTTGAAGCTGTAACTCTTAGGATATTTACATAATGTTAAGTGCCAATAAGGTACTAAGGAGATGATGAAACTAATCAAGGCATTTATGTTGTGTTGTATTGTATTCTATGCTATGAAGGAGTTTAATTCTAGCTGGTTTCCAGAATGGACTCCTGTGATATAATGAGGGAGCTTGAGTGCTCCACTCTGAAAGCAATGTGGATGGAGTCGTCTGCTATCTGAGTGTTCCTAAGTTTTTCACCCTTACCTTTAATAGGTAAATTATAGTAACACGAGAGTCCCTCCTGTGTGACTGCAATAATCCATTCTGTGTTCATCTCTCTCTGAGGTTCCCTGGAGGAATACTATATCAGTTTCCTGAGGCTGCCATAACAAAGTACTGAACTGTGTGTGGCTTAAAGCAAAAGGCATATTTATTGTCTTACAGTTCTGGAGGCCACAAATCCAAAATCAAGACGTTGGGCAGATTGGCCTTTTCTGAGGGCTATGAGGGAGAATCTTTTCCATGCCTCTCACGTAGCTTCTGACAGTCTCAGGTGTTCATTGATTTGTACATGTCATTCTCCCTGTATCCTCACATTGTGTTCCTTCGGTGAATGTCTGTCACTGGGTCCAAATTTCCCTTTTTTATAGGAACATGACTCGCATTGTATTAAGGTTCAATATGAGGTCCTAATTGTATTAGGACTTAATTCTAACTTATTCATCTGCAAAGACACTATTTTGGAATAGGGTTGCATTCATAGTTAGTATGGATTAAGATTTCAACTTTCTTTTTTGGGGGCAACACACTTCAACCCATAACAAATGCCATTCTGGGTGTGGCTGTGCTCTGCTCATGCCAGCCCTCTGTCTGGCTTCATCCCAGTTGTCTCCACATCACAGCTTCTTCATGCGGTGGCAGCTCACTCCTATCTGTCAGTGAAAGGCTGTCATTTAACAGAATCTTAATAAAGATGCGAGGGTGATATAAGTAAAATATATGACAGAGAAAGGAAACTTGAAACTGGATATTAGATACATCAGCTCTTCAAGCCTGGTGTCCACAACCTCTTACTGGGTTCTGGCCATCTCTATCTTATCCTTTGGTCCACTGCCAGATTGTAGGATCTTATCAACTTTCTTATGGTGGTTTTCTACATTTCAGTTATTTTTTCACCCCAGTCTGGGGCTTCCACCAGAGAAAACACAAAATAAATAAATATTAAAATAAACATCTCAGAAATATACTTTTTCACAGTTAAAACACTGTGATATTATTTAAGAGATGGCTTAAAAACAAATCTGCAGCATCTTCATTTGGCTACAGGCCTTTCTAGTTAAGAGTGGGTAGGTATTTGCCTTAGAGCTGCTTGACTAAAAACTATCACCAAAATGATCTTGCCCAGAACAAAGAGAGGGCATTCTATATCAACCTATTTTAAGCAGAAATCATCACAGTGTTTCGTAAAAGCATCATCATTTTTTCTTTCTATAACTGTGTCATGGAGTGGGTAGGGTCTCCTAGAGGAATTTGGATGAGATCTGCACATTAAAATATTTTGTTTATTATATGAAGCGGTAATTTTTTTAAAAAATACATCCTTATAAACAGTGTGTAGGCATATAAGTTACTAGAAAAAGAATTGTTCAACCAAGGGATATGGGGTACAGGGCACCGAAGCATGGGCTACAGTGCACACTTTGCCCCACCAATATATGACTGTGCTCCACATTAAGTCCACCTTGTCACTGACACTTCAAGATAGTGGCAGATTAATATCTCTTAATGAGCACATGAATGAGAGTAGAAGGGTCACTCTACTGGGCTAAGGGAGTAAGAGAAGCCATTGCAAAGATCCAATATTTGAACAAGGTCATGAGGCTGAGATTTACAAATTTGTGCCCTTGGGCTGGATATAGCCAACAACATGTTGATCCAACCTTCTCAGGAGATTTCACAGAGCAATACAGATGACTTCTCTAAAAATTGGAAAGCTCTGTTAACACATTAAACCTGCTTACTTGAAAGCAACAATAGTCTAGATCTCTGTCCCTTTAGAAAGGATATGGAATCTTCAGTTCTCTGAAGTCCCCACCAATCCCTTTTGTGTTCTCAGCATGCAGGTGCAATTAGTTACTCCTTGTCATTCATTAATCTTGATCTGATTTCTTTTTAAAATAGATAAATATTTCTTTGTCCCTTGGTTCTACCAGAGGTGGAAATGTAAAAGATAGGCTCGGATAGTAATATGATTTTTCTTATAAAATCAGTTTTACTTAATCATATTGTTACCTGTCAGAACCCAATAAAAATTTCATTTTTTAAAGTCTCTGTTATTAAAAAAAAGACTTAGTAGGGCTTATTAGGCAGAGAAGGGCAATGGGGTGGATTAGCAGAAAATGTATTCCAGTCAGAAGAAACTAAATAAGCATAGTCCCAGAGTTATAAAAATGTAAATGAAGTCCCAGAAGCTGTGACTATTCCTTGTCATGTCCAGGAATTCTGCCAAAACTAGGATGTTGACCTTTTAACTGGGGTGGTGGAGAGGGATGAAAGGGTGGGGTTAGAGATAGTGCCCGAGCGTAGGAAGACTGTAAGGTGGCCTGAATGACCTGCTGAGCAGTTGGGGATCTGTGAGATTCCTAGTAATAGAATTGATGAAACTAGGTGATCAATTGTATGATGGTTGTTCAGAAAGAGAATGGACAAATGAGTATGGGCTTTTTGTAGTACTTCATGACATAGCATATATTGAGGATTGAGAACTGAAACAAAACTTTGTCAGTTCAGTGTAGGCCAAACAAATTTTTCATGCCATGCAGGTCACCACAGCAGCCACGTGACATGTGAAGTGTGGTAACAATTTGGAAGGGAAAGTTAATTAGATTGGTTTTATTTTGTTTATTCGCTGGTTTTCTGGGGACCTCTTTGCGGTAAAGGAGATACTAGATGTAGCTTTCTAGCATTTTCTTTCTTGGCCCAAATGAGTGTCAACATAATGCCAATTAACATGAAATGTGTCAACATGGACACAGCATGTTTTAAAGCTTAGCTGGCTCCTGACCTGGGGTAATGCTGACTTCCATTTAGCTTTAGGAACCTTCTGC